>NC_000002.12:111125981-111429011 GCF_000001405.40 Homo sapiens
GTGAAACACACGTGCATTAAAGACCCTCTGGAAGGTATTAGCTTTTCACACTTTCACAACAAAAGCTTCACACTTGTGGTTATTAAGCTATTTTCTCTAACCAGTTCCCTTTCAAGCAAAATGCATACATTGGTCTCTGTAGGTGATGGGTTAATGCATGGAAATAGTTTCTCCTTCCCTGGAACTGGGAATAGTGGGTGAGATAGTGTATTTTTTAATGTAAAGACAGGCACAAATGCTTTTTTTGTTGATAAATACTATTTTACAAGCTAATTATAAGTTAAGCACTGTTACTTGAGATGAAATATACAGGGCTTCAAAGATCATAATCTAAATAATTATGCACAGCTAATGGTTATACCTGTGAAGTAAAGTAGTGGATCCTGAGGTGTAATTTTATAGTATTAGCTGCATTTCAGTAGATGGTGTGATGAAGAGTTTAATGCATAGGATTAAATGAGAAGTTACGAGGAGTTTGTTTAAAGTTAATGTACCGAGGTAAGTTTTCAGTGTTAAGTTTTTGGGAGATTTGTTTTGGGAGAGGATGAGTTGGGGTTGGGGGAGGAAAGGACTTAGCCAGATGTGAGTTTCTTAAATTGAAGCATAAAATTTACAATTTATGTAGTCCATAATTTTCTCTGGACATTCTACAGTCTTAGTTCATGCCTGAAGACCACTGAAATAATGCTGAGTTGATAAGTGGTTCTCTTGACTTTGTTTAGTATTCTTTACTCAACCCTATCCATGAAGTTCTTCAATGAAGCTTTTGATAATTTATTGCAAAATACATTTTCCACAAAGAAGTCATTATGATTGGTTTGAACTAGTGGAACACAAATGTGAGGTTATAAAGAGGTTCGCCTTAGCCAGGGGCTCCTTTAGCTGCAAAGCAGTTTTTTGCTCAGCAACTTGGGGTAGAGATCAGTGTGTCTTGAAGTTTTGTTTTGCAAAACTTTGTTCTAATGAGAAAGTCAAGTCTTAGGAGGAATGTATAGTAGTTGAGTGTTTGTATTAACACTGTTTTCATATTTTCCTTTTATGTCTCTGATTTTTCTGAAGACAAGTTCAAGGAATATATTTCTCTGTGGGGCAACAGATACAGTTTTTTCACTTTTCCTCAATTTTAGTCTCCTTACACTCTGGGAGGATTAACTTGACAAATGATACCTTAGTGAATAACTGATTATTTTTATCAAAATCACTCACATGTGTTGGTTTACTGAGTGCCTTTTTGGATGAGTGTTTTATGCCATATGTGTTTTTAATGGAAATTAAAGTGTAGTCAGTACACTAAAGTGTAGTCAGTACAATTGGAAATAAGAGTTGAGAAAAGTCAGGATATGGAGGAATGCTCCCTAGTGTCATGTTAGTAAATGTCTTAAATTTTATACTTGTTCCCTGGCACATTGGAATTCACAGATGGGAGTTAATGGCTTTCTTTTTTTTTTTTTTTTTTTCCTCAGCGTCTTGTGGGTACTTCTCTTATAGCTGGTACTTGTCTGACCCCTCCTTTAGTTTGTGAGCTCCCTGGGCGGGGAATAATGGCCTGCAGATGCTAGCGAGTGCCTGACAAAGAGGAGAAGCCCAGGAGATGTTGAGAGTCAGTCCAGCTCTGCCTGTTAGCCTTTCAGACAAATAAAGTTGAAGAAGGCAGGTAGCAAGAAAAAGATCCTGACCTCTGCTCTGCCAAAGTGTTTTTAATTACCTGGATCTAGCTGTAAGGTTTGCCACGTAGTGGTGACAGCTGAGGTCTAGCTCAGCACTACTCAGCAGGGAAGCCACACATGCATTAAGCACTTGACATAGGACTAGTCTGAACTGAGTTGTGCTGTCATTATTGATACACACTGGATTTTGAGGAGACAAAAAAGAATGCAAAATAGTTTAATTGTTTTCATATGGGTTACATGTTGAAATGGTGTTTTAAATATATAGGTTAAATAAAATATAAACTTGTATTGCAGTTAAACACAAAGCGTAAAATTTACCATCTGAACCATTTATTTCTAAGTGTACTGTTCAGTAGTGTTAAGTGCACTTATTTTGTTGTGCGGCCAATCTCCAGAACTTCTTCACCTTGCAAAACAGAAATTCTGTACTCATTAAACAACTCCCCATTTCCCCCTCCCCCCAGCTTCTGACAACCACCATTCTATTTTCTGTCTATTAATTTGACAACTTCAGATACCTTATATAAGTGAAATTTATATAGTATTTGCTCTTCCATGACAGGCTTATTTCACTTAGCGTAATGTCGTCAGGGTTCATTTATCTTGCAACATGTCAGAATTTCCTTCCTTTTTAAGGCTGAAGGTTGTTCCAGTGTGTGTATATCACATACTTCATTTATCCATTCATCCATCAGGAGATACTTGGGTTGCTTCCACTTTTTGGCTATTGTGAGTAGTGCTGCTATGAACATGGGTATGCAAATATCTTTTGGGGGATTCTGCTTTGAATTTTTTTGGATATATACTTGGAAGTGGAATTGCTGGATCATATGGTAATTCTATTTTTAATTTTTTGGGGAACCATCATGCTGTTCTCCATAGAGGCTGTGCCATTTTACATTCCCACCAACAGGGCACAAGGGTTCCAGTTTCTCCACATACTTACCAACACTTTTTTTTTTTTTTTTTTAACAGTAGTCATCCTAGAGGATATAGGTGATCTTTCACTGTGCTTTGGATTTATATTTACTGGCTTAGATTTGTATGGCCACCACCATAGTCAAGATACAGAACAACTCAACCACAAGGATTTCTCATGATACCTTTTTATAGCCACAGCCACCTCTCTCCCTCTTCCTTGAGCATTTTGTCATATGGTCATTGGTGATTAAATAAAATGTATTTTAATATTGACTTTCTCTGTTTCTTTCTACCTTTTTAAACATGGCTACTAGAAAAATGCACAATTAGATTTGTGGCTGGTGTTCTGTTTCATCTAAACAGGCTGGCCTCACAGAGGAGCTGGAGTGTGCAGTGCTGCTCTAGCAAGCCAGGCTTGACTCTTCCCACTCAGGGCACATCACTTCCATGAAGCTTACTCCTTGGGTTGTTTGGTTGACTTAGGAGAATGGAAGTGATTAGCAGAATCTTGTAAGCATTTTAAACATTAAATGAGCATTGTAAACAGCGGCATTCTTCAGGCAAATACAGTTTTGTTTTACCTCTTTAAATTCCATGGTATATTCGGACTTCAAAAAGTAGATGGTAGAGCACATGCTTTCTCAGCACCTTCAGGCTGCCTGGAGCCTCCCAATAGAGGTGTCTTCGAGGGAGTCCCAGCTCTGTCTCTGAAACCCCAAAGTTACTTGTTTGACACCAAGAGAAATAAGGAAACTTTTTAGGTCCTAAGTGGGGAGAGAAAGTGCTAGAAGAGAAAGATATTTTTCTTTACTAGTTCCAAACACATTTATTAATTGTTAGTTACCCAATTTTAAATTTACATCTTAAAAAAATTTTTTTTCAGATAATTACAGATTCACATGCATTTATAGGAAATAATACAAAGAAATTGTATATGCCATTCACCCAGTTTCCTACGATGGTAACATCTTGCCTAATTATAGTATACTGTCACAACCAGCAGTTGACATTAACAGAATCCATCTACTGTATTGAGATTTCATCAGTTTCACATGCAGTCCATTTCATGTGTCTGTGAGTGTTTACTTCTATTCAGGTTTATCAAATGTGTAGATTTGTATGGCCGCCACCACAGTCAAGATGCAGAACAACTCCACCACAAGGATTTCTCATGGTACCTTTTTATAGCCACAGCCACCTTTCTGTCTCTTCCTTACCCATGATAACCACTCATCTGATCTACATATCTGTACTTTTGTCATTTCAAGGATGCTGTATAAGTGTAATCATACTGTATGTGACCTTTTGAGATTGGCTTTTTTCACTTAGCATAATTCCCTTGAAATTAATCGGAGATGTTGTGTAACAATAGTGCCTTGTTTTTTTATTGCTGAATAGTATTCCATAGATGATGCACCACAGTTTGCTTAGCTATTCACCTGTTGAAGGACACTGTGTTTGCATGTTCTGGCAAGGCCCTGGCACAGCTGGAACTCAGGGAGGATTAAAAGAAGTATTTATTGTACTTTTACTTCTCTTTTTTTTTTTTTTTGTGACAGTCTCACTCTGTCACCCAGGCTGGAGTGCACTGGTGCGATCTTGGCTCACTGCAACCTCCAACTCCCAAGTTCAAGCGGTTCTCCTGCCTCAGCCTCCCAAGTAGCTGGGATTACAGGCACGTACCACCACACCCAGCTAATTTTTGTATTTTTATTAGAGATGGGTTTCACCATGTTGGCCAGGCTGGTCTCGAACTCCTGACCTCAGGTGATCTGCCCGCCTTGGCCTCCCAAAGTGTTGGGATTACAGGCGTGAGCCACCACACCTGGCCCTACTTTTAGCATCTATGTGTTCACTTGTAGTATATAGAAATACAATTGATTTTTGTGTGTTGGTCTTCTGTTGTGCAGTTTGCTGAACTCCTTAATTCTAAGAGTTTTTCATAGATTTCCTGGGAGGTCTATATAGTTATGTGATCTGCAAATAGGGACAGTTTTATGTCTTCTTTCTGATCTGTGTACATTTCTTTTTCTTGCCCAGTTGCACCAGCTAGAATTTCTAGTGTTTATGTTGACTAGGAGTGGTGAGAGCAAACATCCATACCTAGTCCCCAATCTTAGGGGGAAAGCTTTCTGTTTTTAATCATTAAATATGATGCTAAGTGTAGGTTTTATATGGGTCGTCTTTAAAAGAATGAGGAAGTTTTAACCTGTATTCCCAGAATGCTGAGAGTTTTTGTCGTAAATGGATGGATGTTAGATTTTATAAAATGTTTCTGTACCAGTTGATATGATCCCATGATGTTAATTTATATTAACCTGTTGATATGGTACGTTCCATTGATTTGCAATGTTAAGTCTCTCTTGGATGTCTGAGACAAATCCTGCGTGGGTAGGGTCTGTAATTCTTTTTGTGCACTGCTGGATTGAATTTGTCGATATTTTGTTGAGAGTATTTGCGCCTAAGTTCTTGAGAGGGGTCTGTCGTCTTCTTTTAAGACTGGTTTTTATATCAGAACCTTAATTAGGAAGGGTTCCCTCTTTTATTTTCAGGACGATATTGTGTAAAATTGGTATTGATTCTTTTCTCAATGTAGAATTCTGTAGTGAAACCATCTAGGCCAGGAGATTTTTTTTTTGGCGGGGGATGGGGGCGGGGGTGGGGGGGATGGGGGGCGGGCGGGCATTTAGATTATAGATTTTTTTTTTCTTAGTTTTTGTAGGATTGTTCAGGTTGTCTGTTTCTTCCCAGTTGAGTTTTGATAGTTTGTAGCTTTTGAAGAATTGGTCCCTTTCTTCTAAGTTGTTGAATTTATGAATGTGAAAAGTATTTGTAGCATTCCAATATTTTTAATGGATGCAGGATCTGTTGTGATAACCCCTGCTTCATTTCTAATACTGGTAATTTGTGTCTTTTTTATCTCTGTCAGTCTTTCCAAAAGTTTATCAGTTTTGATTTTTTTAATCAGCTTTTTGTTCCACTGATTTTTCTCTACTTTCCTATTATTAAATTTATTGTTTATTATTTCCTTTTGCTTGCTTTGTGCTAGGTTCTTTTCCTAGTTTCTTGAGACAGACACTTGGAATAATGTTTTGAGACCTTTCCTCTCTTTTCTTCTTATTGTTTTCTCAGAAAGAAACATTTAATAGGTATTTACAAACAGAAACCCTATCTCGGGCAGCCTCAAGATGAGATGGTAGATCCGTGCATGGTTACACTCCAGACCCAGGGCTTATGAGCCATAGGGAAAGTGTATATATGCTTCAGAAGGGATGTATAGGACAGTTGGCTTAAGTTCAGGATTTATGGAAAGATAATATCAAACTAAGGACAGGATTGATGGTAAGTACATGCTCATACCCAAGGAACAGTAGATAAAATAGAAATCTTGGAGGCATTCGCAAAACCAGGGTTAATCAGAAGTTAACACAGCAGATTAGCATACAAGATGGAGTTGTTTGGCCTCCACACTCCAGCTCCCAATCTGGCTCTTACAGTCTCATGTGCCTTGCTCTTCTGCCATGGTCCCTGAACCTTCAGTGGGTGTGCTTCATTTTGTATAGCTTTACCAGTAGTGCCTTGGCAATGGAAAATAAATCGGGCACAGTGGAATTCCAAATGAGGGAGATTCTCAGGCTTTGTTGAATCATTTGTAGTCCTCAGAATACCATGATTCTGGTTTTCTGGGAAGAAGTAAAACGAGATAAATACTGTTAATATGCACACAAAGATTATAATGAAAAAGAACATGAAGAAAATTAGAACTCGGTTCTTCTTTAGAGACTTGTAGCTAGGAAGTAATTCAGGATGCAGTTTGAGTTGTAGGCAAATAATAAAAACTCAAAAATAATGGTTAGGGCTAGAATCTGTTAACAGGTATTGTAGTTTTCTTTGGAGCACATTTTTTTCTCCAGTTTCCCCATTCCTACCAAGGACCAATTTATTTGCAAAATACATTTTAGTCTCATTATACTTAGCCTGATTATTTGCATAAAGTGCAACAAGAATAGTGATTGGCCATATAGGCTCTTTTTAAGTTGGCTTTGCTGGAATTTTTTCATAAGGAATCTCAGATTAGACTTTTAGAAGCCTCCAGGCTTGAAAGCCAAGCTGAAAATTTGCCAGCAAACATTGCCTGTAATACCTACAGATCGGGTGAATTCCATTCTCCTCGAGGTCCCAAAGTATCTTGAGGTTCCTGGGCCTGTCGGAAAATGACATTCTTTGCTTATCGAAGATCAGGAACCTTGTAAGGGAACTGTGTAGACAAGGTACCAGGCCTGTCTTTTTTCAAGGGGCTTTTTATTCTTTAAAGCAGTCTGGTCATATCTGAAAATACGCTATTCAGTCAAAGCCTTGGTAAAATAACCCATGTCTCCAATTGCATATAGAACATACTCTATACAATTTCAGTTCTTTTAAATGTGTCAAGGTTTGTTTTGTAGCTCAGGATATGGTCTATTTTGGTGACTGAACAAAAGAAAACAGATTCTTAACTGAACTTATGCAAATAACTATATTGCCATAAAATAAGAATACTCATGAGTAGTTTCCAAATTTTGGAGAACTCAGAAAGGTAAATTTTGCTCATGAAAGTATACTTTACTCAATCATAAGCTATAAATAACTCAAAAGCAAAAGGATTTTCTTCAATTAGAATGGCAGCCTGCCAAACAGCGTGCTGTGCATTCACCTTGGAACTGCCATCCACAAACCAAGCAGCCATGTCTCAGGAGCAGAGATGGTGGAGTCTTACCCCCTTTCGCTTTTCTAATGTACGCATTTATTCAGCGCTAGAAATTTCCTTTCCACCACTGCTTAGCTGCATCCCACGTGTTTTGGTATGTTGTGTTTTCATTTTCATTGAGTTCTGTCTATATATTTTTAAATTTCCTTTGAGACCTCCTCTTTGACCCTAGGTTATTTAGAAGTGTGTTTTATTTCCAAAAATACCTAAGTGTGTTTTCTGTTACTGTTTTCTTTCTGATTCTGTTATGGTCAGAGAGCATATTTTATTCTATTTCGGTTTACAAATGTGTCGAGAATTTGTTCTGTAGCTCAGGATATGGTCTCTTTTGGTGACTGATCTATGCTGCTTGGGTACTTGAAAACATCTGTATTCTGCTGCTATTGGGTAGAGTGTTCGTTATATATACATCTTTCAGATCTTACTGGTTGATTGTGTTGTTCAGTTCTTCTCTGTCCTTGCTGATTTTACTGTCTTGTTCTGTCAGTTGCTGAGAATGTGGTGCTGAAATCCCCAGCTGTTTCCTTTCAGCTCTATTAGAGTTTGCTTCATGTCTTTTGAGGTGCTGCTGTTTGGAGTTTACACATTTAAAATGTCTTCAGGTTGGATCCAATCTTCTATCATTGCTGTAAAATGTACTTTATCTGGTATTAATAGCACTTCTGCTTTTTTAACATTAATGTATTAATGTTAACATAGTATTATCTTTTTCCATCCTTTCACTTTCCATCTGCATATGTTGTATTTGAGATAAGTTTTTTATATATGGCATGTCTTTAGATAAACCTGTTTTATCTAGTCTGCCCAATCTGTCTCTTAAATGGTCTAGACCATTTACATTTAAGATAATATATGTAAGTCTAAATGCCTTTTTGTTATTTGTTTTTTGTTTCCTCTGTTCCTTGTTTCTTTTTTTGTTTTTTAACCTTACTGTGGGTTATACGAACATTTTCTAGGATTTCGTTTTGATATGTTTATGGTGTTTTAAAATATATTGCTCTGTATCATTTTCTTAGTGGTTGTTCCAGGTATTACAGTATGTGTGTGAAATATATATTCTAAGTCTACTGGTATCAATGGTCACAGCATTTTATGATGGGAGCTGAAGAGTAGAAACCTTACTTTTCTTTAGGCTCCGTTAGCCCCATTTTTCCAATATAATTGTCTGAAGTATTTCCTCCATGTACATTGAGCACTGAATGAGTTGGTATTGTTATTTTTGCTTCAACCATCAAATATGATTTAAGAAAGTACTGTTAGTCTACCAATAGTCGCTTCCATTTTTCCCCTTCCAATGTTCTTTCCTTTCTGAAGTTCTAAGCTTTCTTCTTTTGTCATTTCCTTTCTGTTTAGAGAACTTCCTTAGTTCTTTAATGATAGGTCTGTTAGTAACAACTCCTCTGAGTTCTCCTTCTGGGAATGTCTTTATTTCCCCTTCAGTCCAGAAGGATATCTTCACGGAAGATAGAATTCGCAGTTGATGTATCTCTTTCAGTACTTGGAAAACATGCCACTTTCTTAGGGCCTCTATGGTTTTAGATGAGAAATCCCTTGTCATCTGAATTGGTGTTCTCAACTAAGTTATGTGTCATTCCTATGTGGCTGCTTTCAAGATTGTCTTTTAGTATTAAGAAGTTTAATTGTGATGTGTCTTGTCATGGGTTCTTTGGGTTTATCCTTTTTGGGGTGCACTCAGCATCTTGAATCTGGAGTTTCACGTTTTATGCCAGGTTTGGGAAGTTTTCAGCCATTATGTCTTTAAATACTTTTCCAGTCCCTTCCTCTCTTTTGGAACTCTGATGATAAGAATGTTAGTGCTTTTGTTAGTCCTGTAAGTTCCTGAGACTGTTCATTTTTTTCCAGTAGATTTTCTCTCTCTTCAGATTGAGTAAATTCTATTGATTTTGCCTCATATTCACTGATTGTTTTTAAAATTATGTTTAATTATATTTTTCAATTCTAAGATTTCTGCCTGTTTCTACTAGGTAAGTTGGAAGTTCAGATTTCTCCTTGGCTTTGCTGGTACTTTCCAAACAAAAGAGGGGCCCCAGTGCACACTGCTTTATTGTGTCCAGTTGTTGGGGGAGATGTGTAAGCTTGGCTCCCTCAGCCACTGCTGACACCAGGAAGCAGGGAGACCATAGAGGGCTGCCTCATACCTTGTTTCTGCAGAGTAGAGGTCAGAACTCAGCTTCCCTCTGAGGGAAGCTGACCCCACCAGGGGTGGGGGGGTCAGGTACAACATGCCAACCAGGCCCACTTTCTACTACCTGATTCTCCCTCTTTGATGCTAGATGGGAGAGTTCTCTTTTGTTCTCTTTAATTAGCCAGATGGGGCGAAGACTCAGTACCCACTGGGTGCCCAGACACCCAAGGCTGGGGCTGGGAGAGCCGATGGGCCCATGAACCCTGTTTTGCACTGTCTGGTTCAGTGGGTGTGTGTAATGTCATGTCAACTAACTAACCCCACCTTGTACCCACCCGTTGCTGTTTAGTAGAGGTGGAGGCTTAGCTCACTGCTCACTGCTCAGCCCCACTAATGTAACCCTGGGAGGGGATGTTAGATAACTGCCCTACTAACACTGCTTTGGCAGGGCAGCCGGATCACCTCTGCCTGCTTCTGCCAGGGAGGGTCTGGGAGATCGGCCTGCTGACACCATCTGGTGGTGGAATCAGAGCACCTCCTGCTTCCCCTGGGCTGGGGATGGGCTGGAAGATCAACTCCCCACTCTGGCCACGCGGTGCTGTGGGGCTGCTGCCAGGGGCGTTGTGGTTTTCCCGTTGCTGTTTGGCTAGAGTAGGGCAGGAGTCATGGAGTGGTTTTCTGTTGTTAGGTCACCCTCTTTTCAGTCCCTTGGCGATGGAGAACAGGCCTCCCATGGAGCTGTTATCTACGCCTCTTGGAAAGGCCCAGTTGGAGGTTTCTTCTGCAGCATGCTGTCCAGGATACATGGGAGTGAGGAAAACGGCATACTCCCTGTCCGTCATCCCTCAAGTCCTGAGGTCCCCAGCAGCCTGTCCTATTTCCCGCTTCAGTTTTCCTGGGCCTGCTTGCTGTGTTCTCTCTAGGGTTGTCTGAGGTTCTGTCTCGGGTTTTCAGTTGGGAGAGGAAGGACCTGGGGAGATGGCTCCTCCACCTTAGTGGAACTAGAGATCTGCAGCTTCCTTTAGGTGTTTATGGTGGCTATTTGTCTTAGTCCCTTTGAGCTGCTCTAATGGAATACCTGAGACTGGGTGGCTTACAAACAACAGAAGTTTATTTCTCACAATTCTGGAGGGTGATAAGTACAAGACAAAAGCAGGTTTGGTGTGCGGTGAGGGCCACTTAGACGGCACCTTCGAGCTGTGTCCTCGAGTGATAGAAAATGTGAGGGTTTCTCTGGGGTCTCTTTTGTGAGAGCACTAATCCCATTCCAATGGCCCCACCTCCTAACACCCATCACTTTCAAGGTCAGGTTTCAGCGAGAGTTTTGGGGGCATGTAACGTTTATACCATAGCAGTATCAGTTGGCTCTGGCTGCAAAGACTACTCTGAATTGTAGAAGTTACTTCTTCACTCCTTTTTACTCTCCATGTGGAATAACAGACTTACAATGATGGAAAGAGATTTAGCTGTGATCCAGGCCACCTTTTTCAGATGATAACCGTAATATCTATTGCTGTAACTCCACTGTGTGTGACTCTCATGGTGTGACCATAGGGCGTGCTCTGTGCTGCTTTCGAACATCACTCCTGAAAATGGCTGGGTAACCCAATTCCGATTTTATATGCCTTAGGGGGGACTTCTTACTAAAGATTCAGACTTGTTTTATATTTAGAGTACTTGTAGTAGGTTTAGAGATACACACCTAATTGCCAGTTGAATGCTGTACATTCTGATGCCTTGCTGCTTCACTTACTTTAAAACCATTAAATCTGATCATTGGCCCAGTCTCCACACACCTCATGTCTGTGGTCATCCTGCCTGTCACAGGACTCGCTATGAACCACCACCTCTCCCTGCCCATCTCCACCTCCCGCACCAGAATTAAGTTGTCTCCATTCCTTCTTTGTTAGACCAGCCTCAGTCTCTTGGTGTATTCCTCATGTGGTGACATTTCTAGCCTAATCCACTTCTGGTCCCTGCTCGGTCAATGGCTGAGACTTGTGCTGGGGCATCTGACCTCAGACTGCTTTCCTTCTCTGCAAGTCTCATCACACCTGTCCTTGGAGACCTCACAGGCTTGGTCCTGTGCTGACTGTAAGCTCTGTGCCACCCACATCTCAGACCCTGCACTGCAGGCATAGAGCAGAAGATGTAACATTCCTCCCCACTTTTTTTTTTTTTTTTTTTTCAGGAAATGCTAGCAGAAACATATATGCAAGGGGGTTCATCACAGCATTGTTTATACAGCCAAACGACTGTCCTTGGTCCTCTAATGGGAGGGGAGAATCTACATTATTCTGCCCTTTTTTTGGCAGACTGGTGCTGTCTTCATGGTGTTAAAAAGAATAATGGCATAGGGGAAATGCCTGTTGGCCTGATGTTAAGTTTTAAAAAGCTGCAAGATTATTTATGATAGTCTAGTTTAATATTAAAGAAGTTCATTGGCATATCAAAAATATAAGAATACATTAAACTGTCAGTAGTGGGTATTGTTGTATTTTCGTTACAGGTGGGCTTTTCTCCCTTTTTTCTTTCTTTCTTTCTTTCTTTTTTTTTTTTTTTTGAGATAGAATCTTACTGTCACCCAGGCTGGAATGCAGTGCCATGATCTCAGCTCACTGCACCCTCCACCTCCCAGGTTCAAGTGATTGTCCTGCCTCAGCCTTCTGAGTAGCTGGGATTACAGGCACCCACCACGACGCCTGGCTAATTTTTGTATTTTTAGTAGAGACAGGGTTTCACTATGTTGGCCAGGCTGGTCTCGAACTCCTGACCTGAAGTGATCCGCCTACCTCGGCCTCCCAAAGTGCTGAGATTACAGGCGTTGAGCCACTGCTCCTGGCCACAGGTGGTCTTTTCTGTGTGCCTTTGTGTATGTACACAATTGTCATAACTAGTATTATGTTTATAATCAGAACAGATTTAATAGATAATACTTACTAAAACTTTTGCTCTTTATAATTTTAATCTTTGTTTTTGGCATTCCCAGCAGCCTGTCACTGGGCATGCATACCTTGTTTGTGTGATTCAGTGTTAACCGTTGTGTCTTTTGCATTGTTGAAGATTTTGTCCAGGCTGATCAAGCTTTGGTCCCATCAGGACCATCACCGAAAGTACTCGGGGTGAACATTAGCCCCCTAATTTACTCTTTTGGGGTCTGCCTTTTTATTTTTTGCAAAGTGAGTAATCTCTCAGGGAACATCTCCATCGGACAGGATCATGGATGGATTTGGTGTTGGCAGGTTGCTCTTGGTAGCTGTCTCCCCCACAGGCTGCTCTTGGGTCTGGAGCAGGTTTTGGGTCGGGTCCTGCCTGCCCTCCATGGAACCTGGGCGGAGCAGTGAGTCTGTCTGAGCTTCAGCTTCCTCAGCCATCAAGTGAGGACATAGTGCTCACCTCTGAGGGTCATGGGGAGTTTTTCCATAAGCAAATCGACAGAAAGCCCCTGGTAGAAACTCGCACAGGAATCTTTCCTTGCCCCTCAATGAGCCCTCAGCCCTGGCAGGTTAGTGAGCATGACTGTAATGAAGTGCTCTCTACTGCTTTCCGTGGAAAGGAGCTGTCGTTCCAGGAGTATAGGAAACTCCTAGGGAAGTGAATTCATCTGGAAATGCTACTATAATTCTAATCCCCTGGGTCCCAGAACAAACAAGCAAGCAAAAAAGAACATCTTTTCTAGAAAGTGGCCTGGAGGGGGGCGTGGGAAGAGGAGGTCTGAATCACCCCTAACCTGCCAGTGAACCAAACATCACCTGAGAAGAACCTCAGCTTCTTGGGTAAATCATGGAGAGACATCTGGAAACCTGCCCCACCCCAGCGCTGTCTGAATTGGGGGTGAGTTGGGGACACCTGCTGGAGACGGCCCATTTGATTTGGCAGAAACTTGACTATAATTCAAAATGTGTCTTGAGACATGAGACATAGACTCAAGTACTTTTTCTTGCAATCCAAACTTACGTACTTTTTCCCAAAATAAGGGATACATTGGTTGCTCGTGGATTTAACATTAGGAGTGTTCATTGTGTGAATGAAATCAAGACTTCTACAACTGCGTTTTCCTTCTTTTCCCTGAGGTAATTAAACTCCTTTAGTGAGAAGACAATTTAGACAGACTGTTGGCCATTGATAATCAAAATTTTGATATTTCTAAGTGAGTGAGTTATGGATCCTTCTTCTTGGTAACCTTTTTTCACACACTATGAGGTAGCGGAAGTAAACCGTCAGTATAAACAACATGTACCCGGTTTAACCCGTTTGTAAGAGGCCAGGCCTTCGTGGTTTTAAGTATTTGCTTAGAATGAATTTGTCTCCCCAGTGTCCTCTGGGAAACCAAAATGTGCTTTGTATTTTCTCTTCTCTGCCTTGGACCAGATCCACATGATTCGTGAGTAGAGTTGCCAAGACAGGTGTGGCAAGAAATAGCCCTGAGACAGGGCTGCTGGCACGCAGCTCTCCTCCTGTTCTGCCTTTCTGTGTGGACCACGAGGCAGCAGTGAGGGCTTCCCATGGAGCATGTCTCCCTTTCAGTCACACATCTTGCGCTCACAGTCACTGCCAGCCAGTTGACTGCAAGTGCTGTGTCTGTAAACCTTGCAGTGGGGACTTGACATTGCTTTCAGAGTGAGGAAACCGAACTTGGGGATTTGGACATGAGTCTGGGCTGTGCTTAGTGTTGGAGCCCCGGGTTGAACTTGGGTCTTTGGTACTGGCAGACTGCCCTCTGCACAGTACATAATGCTTGGTTTAGTTTGGACTTCCCTTTCTTAGGAGTGAGATGGTTTTGAAGCTAAAATTTAAAAAAAAAATCATTTCAAGCTGATAAGAGTGTGTGTGTTAAATGGAAACACGTTCAATATAAGGATTTCAGCTATTTGAAATACCTTGGGGCCTTTTCCCCCCAAAATATATTGTATTCCTGGGTCATAACATGCTTCCCATTCCAGTTCCTAAAACATTTTACTATTAGCAGTTTATAGAAGACTTACGGAGTGGTTTGATACTTTTTTCAAAGAAGGCAGCTTAAGTGGATGGAATCTGATTTTCTCTTAGGCACGTGCATCTGCGAAGGTGTCTGAGGTGAGCCAAGCTCGATAACCTGATTTGTTGAGTGAGTTACTTTTCTGTGGGATGTGTGGTGGAGAAAAGACTAGAAGTGTATTTTCTTGTTGATTTGTCTGTTATTTGGTCCCTTGAGAAAGGCATTAACCTGAAGTAGTCTATAGTGAATTCTGAATAGATACAATGTTAGTATATATGTGAGTTTACACCTCATTTTTGCTGATACTTGATCATAAATTCTACTAAATTAGTCAAAACAACAACTTAAGAAAAAGTTTGATACATAGCAGGAGTGCAATATTTGTTGATTTAAAGAGACTCTCATTAGCGTTTAATGCAATATACGAGTGCCACCAGTTCCTTCTCTTTTCACTTGGATTTCACCAGGGTGCTCATTTGAAGCTTAGAACTCTGTCCTCGGCAAAGAAAGCCTGGCATACACTGTACAAGGTGTTGACTCATCTTTGTGTTCCTCTGCTCCTCTAGTGTGAGGTGTGGAGTAGGAGGTTCCAGCAGGTGACCCAGCCCAGCCTTGGTCCTCCCATAGGCCTATTAACAACCCTGGGGCAAATGCCTTAGCCTGCCTGGAAATCTCAGTGTTAGGGCCATGGCCCTTCCGCAGTGGTCATAGCAGTGTAGGGAGTTGGTGCCTATGGGGAACTGGCCTACATTGAGTTAGAACAATCCACACGTATGTTTATTGCGGCATTATTCACAATAGCAAAGACTTGGAACCAACCCAAATGTCCAACAATGATAGACTGGATTAAGAAAATGTGGCACATATACACCATGGAATACTATGCAGCCATAAAAAATGATGAGTTCATGTCCTTTGTAGGGACATGGATGAAATTGGAAATCATCATTCTCAGTAAACTATTGCAAGAACAAAAAACCAAACACTGCATATTCTCACTCATAGGTGGGAATTGAACAATGAGATCACATGGACACAGGAAGGGGAATATCACACTCTGGGGACTGTTGTGGGGTGGGGGGAGGGGGGAGGGAGAGCATTGGGAGATATACCTAATGCTAGATGACGAGTTAGTGGGTGCAGCACACCAGCATGGCACATGTATACCTATGTAACTAACCTGCACATTGTGCACATGTACCCTAAAACTTAAAGTATATAAAAAATAATAATAATAATAATCCCAATTCTTGTGAGTTTTTTTTTTTTTTTGAGACGGAGTTTCGCTCTTGTCACCCAGGCTGGAGTGCAATGGTGCCATCTGAGCTCACTGCAATCTCCGCCTCCCAGGTTCACGCGATTCTCCTGCCTCAGCCTCCTGAGTAGCTGGGATTACAAGCAGGTGCCACCATGCCTGGTGAATTTTTGTATTTTTTTAGTAGAGACAGGTTTTCACCATGTTGGCCAGGCTGGTCTTGAACTCCTGACCTCAAGTGATGTGCCCACCTCAGCCTCCCAAAGTGCTAGGATTACAGGCGTGAGCCACTGCACCCGACCAGAACAATCCCAATTCTATCTGTATCACACAGTGTGTTTCTCATCTAGGATACAGACTCACTGGGCAGCAGCCGTGTCTGCCCTGGAAAGTGGGGGCATCAGGGAGGAGGAGGAATGTGTGAACCTAAACACATGGAAGACCTTCAAAAGCACCAGAACACAGTCTTTCAGCACAGAATTCTTTACATCCTTAACTTGCACTTGTGCTAATGAAGACTCTACCTCCTGTTCTTTTCCTTCTGTGACAAAACAAGTTATCTGTCTGGGAAGACATGGCACAATTTATTTATACAACATTTTTATGGCTTGCAGATGACTCCGCTGGATCCTCCCTCAGAATTGCCCTTCATAGGGAAGTTCAGTGGCCACTCAAGTGGTTAGCAAAATCAAGGTGAAAAGTTTTTCTTTTTATTCAAAATGGGATAAAAAGAAGCAGCTGCCTTTTGTGACTTTTAAGTGAGAAGCTTTCATTATGTCTTAGCCCTACAGTGTGTTATCAATAATCATATCTGTGTTAAATTGTACTTCACTTTGTATATCACCATTGTAAGTTTTAACCGTATACATTATAGGCTTTTTCCATTTTTATTTTAAAAACTGTTTAAGGTGTAGCTTTTTAAGGATTCTGTTTTTGCTCTTATTTTTTACCTGTGTCTTGGTCTTTCTTATCATGGAGGTGAAAACAGTAATACTGAAGACCTTAATGTGAGTTTAGGAGAAAAGATGTTAATCACCAGTTTCCTGCTACTGGTTTTAAATTTCATAGAGGAAGCCACACTTATTTTGTCATCAGAAATTCTTATATTTTTTGTTTAAATTCTCATCTCCCTCCCCTCTTGCCCAGATCTGGTTTTTTGGCTAGAAACAACTTACAGTAACTTCAAATTAAGCATTTTAATTCTAAGGAATGGTCTTAAGTGAACCAATGTATATAGAGTTTTATCTTTACTTTTAAAAGGTCTCTAAAGCATTTTTCTTCTTATGGGGAAATAAATTGGGTAGTTTACCTCGTCAGTAGAAAAAATATAGGGATTTGTGTCTTTGCACTAAAGTAATTTCAGGGTTGGTCTTCTTTTAGCTGTCCTTAGTTTTGGGATTATTTTTGTTTTTCAGAATAAAATGGCACAGGTCAGATACTTTTAATCCCCTGAAAGTAATCTAAAGCTATAGAAATGGAGCTGTGGCTGTCGCAGAGACTTACTAGGATGAAGGTTGGTGTAGAAAAACTAAGGAGTAGTAGCAGTATTCAGTGTCCCGTGTCTTTCCCCAGAAGAACACTGGCAGAACACCAGGGGCAGAACACTGTCACACACTATTCAGAGCAGCGATTTCAGGAGCACACCAAGGCGGGCCAGGTGGTCAAGGGGCTTCCCAGGGGATGTCATACAAGGCACATGGAAAGAACTGGTTTAGGACCAGGTTTGGCACAGGTTCACTGACAAAAAGTGGGGTGATGATTGAGAGGGATCATAGATTTCCTTTATAGTCCCAGGGGCAGAATCAAGATTGAAGTGGGGCTTAGAAGGGAACATTTCAATTCCCTACGAGGAATAGCATCGTAGCACTCAGTGTTCTTCAGCGAGGACAGCAGTGCCTTAGGAAATGTGCATCTGTCCCAGGAAGCGGGCACACAGGCTGGGAGTCTTAGAGGGCTCCTGCTCAGGTCTCCCACATGGTGCAAGATGCTGGGCTTCTGTCGTGACTCAGCTGGGGATGTCCTTGAGTATAGGGATCACAGCTCAGTCTGGGTTTGCTCCTGGCTTGTCCCCAGCTGCTAGTAAATATGTTAATATGTGTGTCGGGGACAGCTCTGGTGACATGGATAATTAGTTTTTCTGATGTTGAATGAGAAATGAGTAAAAAGGCATAACACATTAATCTTAATGTCTTTAGACTTGTATTTTTATTATAAGGGACAGATAATAGTGAATGAGGGAAAAAATCTCATGAACACTAGTTTCCAGACTTCTGTCCAACTTCACAGCCTTGGTTTACTGGCAGTTTCCAAATGGTCAGGCTGGAAATTGATGAAAGCTGTTTCTTTTGACCATGGCTCCATAAAGGCAATGGGCAGTGCACGTTGAAAGAGTAAGTATGAAAACACTGGCCTCATCTCATAAACTTTATTATTGATAGTATTTTATCCTAGCAGCTGTTTTTGAAGCACTGTCTTGAATTCATGTGACTGCCCAGGCTTTTGACACAAATGTGTTCCAGGGAGACAGATTGAGGAATCTTTGAGTACTAATGCTGTCATCGTATTTCTCATAGCTTTTGTTTTCATCCAGTGGCTCAGCGGAATTGATTGGGATTGCCAAAAAATAAAATGATACAAGTGAGAAATAGACCTGGAGGGAGGTGTGTGTGTGTGTTGTTGGTTACTTGCTTATTTTATTTCTGAGAACCGTCAGAGTTGAGGATTTCAAACATGATTCTGATAGCATTTACCGCAAACGCTGATGGCAGTTGCTCTCCTTTGCCTTATAGCTAACTGGGACTAGAAACAGCTCCATCACCCAGGTGAGTTTTATAAGGAAACATAAGGGGGCTGGTCTGTTGCTTCCCTCCTCTTGTAAGCTTTGGATAACTCTGAATTTAGAAAGATATTTCTGAAGATATTTAAAGAAGGAGACTTACAGAGTTGAATAAACATCCTGGAATTTTTCTTTCTCTAAATGAATGTCAGCTTCAGAGAGCCCACCTGCAGACAGAGGCAGTGACTCCCCTAAACATTTTCGGAGTATCTCTTGGAATTGGTTTAAAGCTGGTTTCAGAGTCCACAAAGAAATGGCCCTTTACAGGATCCTTTATTGCTTTTGGTGGTTAAAGCAGAATCTCTCTGGAGAGTAAAGGTAGACAGCCCTGCAATGTCTGAAGGACAGGCCTTCTTTCTCCTCACACCCCTGCAGTCCCTGGCTGTGCCTGGCTGTTTCCCGCAAGTGCCAGACAGAATGTGCACTTTTTGGCTAAGTATGTTCTATTATGTGTGTAAAATCCTCTCTCAGTTCTGAGTTGAATATCGATTCAAAGCTTAATTCACGCTGATGACTTGAAAATCTAATCTTGATTCTACTCGAGTGTTTGTAGATATCTGAACATCTGAAAACAGTACAGAGTGCAGCGTTCCTGTGAATTTTAATTTGGTTTCTGGTACTACACTTGAAATTCCAGTAATGATAAGATGGGAACTAAAACAGCAGCTGCCCCTCGGAAATGAGGGTCGCACCACCTCGTTCCCAGACTGAGGCTGCAGTTGAGAATGCTTGTGTGTGACATGCCCCTGCCACCCAGTACACACACCTGAGTCATTAGATGTCACTTTATGGCATCGTCACAGAGAACAACTGGGTTTTGGAGAGAGAATGTCATGATGTGACTTCATTTCCTTGGAGCACTGGGATAGAGGCTCTTGGGTTAGAAGCTCTTGGACATTAAAGAGAAATCAGAAGGTTTAGCCTGACTGATACTGAGCTCATTATAGATTGACAATCTCTCTTTTTTTAAAAAAAAAAGTTTCCTGCCGTGGCTGCTGCTACAGAAAGTCCTTTGTGAAAGCCCCAGCCTGATTTCACTATCAACCACTTAACCACGGTATTAATTTTTCAGTTGTTGAACTTTTAAGATTTTAAATTACTTAAGACTTTAAAAATAGTCTGTTGCTGAGCCAGAATAGTTTGTTAAGAAACATGCATCTTTGAGTAGAACTAAAGTCCCTTGGTGTTGGAAAATGCCCTCCACACTCCTCCAAAAATGGATTAAGAATACTTCATGGTATTTTCCCATAGGTAGTAATGTTACCAGTAAGTTCCGGGCTTCAAAAAATGATTTCTAAGAAGTTTGAAGATTCAGTGGACACACTTTTGGCAAAAATTGCTTATATCTGACATATTGCATTATAAAAGTTTTGATTAGTGGCTTTCTTTTTTTTTTTTTTTTTTTTGTAACAAGTAAAGAGAAAGAAAACATGGATCTGCCTAGGAAGTCACCTCTGCCTGAGTCTGCTACTTGCAGGATTGGAGCTTTTGCTGCAGATTACAGCTTTGAAGTCACTTTACCTCAAGAGCAGTTTATATTTTATTGTGCTTTAAAAAAAAAATTTAGTGCCAGGTTTATGGAGTGAAGTGCTTTCATAAATGCTGAAACTACATTTTCTGTGGGTAAAAATGCAGCTCATCAGAATTTCCCCTTTGAAGAATTTTTTATGTTCACATAAAATTGCCAAGTTAAAAATTTGATCTCCCTACAGAGTAAGAGCTTTCATTTCAAATAAAACCATTTTATAGACCAGGTATCAACATTTACGGCGGTCAGACACATTGCAGATAGCAAAATAAAATATTTATGCTTGGTTCTTACTTTTCTTATAAACTAGAAATGTCAACCTAAGTTATCTTTTTGATAGCTCGAGTATGTTAGGATAGGAGGAATTGGGTTGAGTATCCAGGTAAGATTACAGGAGTGAGGGTGGAGCAGCGTGTGTTTGGAGATTTCTGTATGCCAAACCCCACGGGCTCCAGGCACGCTTTTGGAAGACCATACCGGTGGATCCCTTTGTCATCGTGGTGGCAAAGCAAACTGATGCTAAAGGAAATAACAAAACTTAATTCTCGTGCTGATCGGTGCCACTGTGGGGCTTACAGACCCCATTCATTTGTTCTGGTTGATTTCATGTGGTGTGAGACTCACTAACATTGAATTAGTGATGAAGTTAAAGAGAGGCTTTCTCTATCCCCATAGAAGATATTTTGTCACTTAAGAAATAATTGAACTTTATGTTGCACTGTACTAACAGATTAAAACTACCCTTTTAAAATACAGGAATAAATAAGAGTTAAAATAAGAGTTTTTATCATATAGTCTTTATAGCCATGTACTACTGTGTGCATACTAGCTAGGTCTTATTGCAGGATGAGTGTTTGCCATTACTTTTAGGTTTATAAATTCAGGAAATAACTGTATTTGCATCTCAAAAAAACAAACTGGTTTTTAAAAAAATAGTGATAGGTGCTAGTTAGAGTAGCCCTTACAGATCAGTCTTTTTTGCAAAATGTAATTTATAGTATCTATTTCCATAATAACTTTTTAAAACTACACCTAAGTACAGTTGATAGCTCTTACTAATGTAGTTATTGCCAATTCCAGTATAAGCCTAGTCTCTAAACCATTATCTTTGCTTAATACAACTCTCCTAACTCTGAAATGCTAAAGACACATCTCAGGGCTCCAGAGCATTGCCATGGTTTCTTGCCTTTTGCCCACCAGGGTCTGGTTGGGAAACCGTCTGCACCAGAGTTGCTTAGGGACTTGAAAGAGTACAGCCTCCTGTATCTCTCTCTCTCTCTCTCTCACACACACACACACACACACACACACACACACACACACACACACCCGCCATTTCTCCCTGCCAGAGCTTAGGGATGTGTTTATATCCATGAATTTATTTAGGCTAATTAATGTTAACTACTGAACTTTTCTTTTTGTACAAGAAACAGGCCATTCGTTTATTTGCTTCTGCCAAAGCCAGCAGGGCATTTATCTCTTAAGATGAGTAAGTTGAAATTGGCTAATTTGTTAAAAGCTCCTACCTGCTGGCTAGGTTGAATGCATTCACTAAGTGCTAGTTTTGATAGGTTGGCTTCTGACAGAGACTGCCCCTTGATAGTATTTGGTGGTATTTGCAATTGCCAGCCCAAGCACGAGCCATGTGGAAGCTTCTAAACCACAGACACAAGTCAAAGTGTTAAAGAGAATCCAGTGGACTTAATTTACGAGTTAGGGGAAATTGACAGGGGGAATTATTTTTGTTTTGTCTTATAAAAAGTATAAAATATGTCTCCTTGTCCCAAAGAAATTTAGCAGTTAGTTGAAATCAAGTGGTTAATCTACAAGAAGGTAAGCCCCGTGGGAGCAGGGCATGGCCTCCTTTGTTGCTATACCCAGAGCACCTCCTAGAACAATGTCAGGCATGTGAGTGTTTGTGTTTGTTGAGTGGATTTGTGAATATCATTGATGTATTAAGTATTGGGTAACTTGGCCTGCAATTTTTACCAGTCTGCCAACTTTATAAAACATCAATCTGTAGTTCACAGATGTCCTTTTGATAATTGGTGTTTTCTTCACTTCTGACTCCGGGGCTGAAGGCAGTTTTCTCTCTCAGTCATGTGTAGTGAGAAACAGGTGGAGCTTGAAGCTCAGGAGAGGTGGGTGATGGTGTCTTGCTGGCTGGACGTTCACTTGTGCATATGGGTAGGCACACCTCCTTTAGGAGGACTGCATGAGACCCTTGTGCAGTGGGTGCCCAAACAAAACACACTTTTCTTCTTCCCCTAAGGGCGAACTAACTTGTTAAAAGCTTCTAAATCAGGGAAAGAACACTTAAAAAGAGTAGCTCTTTAAGGGGCAGTAAGCCCAGGAAAAGGAACTATGACATCAGCATCACCTCATATCACATCTACCCAGAAATTTTGTTTTCTCCCAGTTTAGTTCAAAAATTAATTTTAAGACTTTTTACAGATTTGTTAGAAATATTTGTGTGACACAGGTACAATCAAAGTAAATTTTGTATGATTGGATGTATTCAGAGGCCATGCCTGACATCCTGAAAGTTTCCCCTTCATCAGCCTTTGTGCTTCTCCACCAGGGCTTCCTACAGCAGTTCCTCCCTCTGGTTTATTCACAGACTGCAGATAACTCTGGAGGGGATCGGTGTGTGTCCCTCTTACCCCACTGCCACCCCCACAGGGGTGGTGTGATATTCTGCCTCTCCTAGGCCCTCAGTCTTTGTGGGATTATTGTTAAATTCACTTGGGTATAAGATGAGGCAAGAGATTGTAGAGGAATTGGCAAAAACTCTTCAAAGTGTTCACTTTTAAGTGTTTTTATAGAGCTCTGAATCAGTATCAGTTTTACTGGCCTTTTACAAAAATAAAGACAGGAAGTTATGTTCCTTCGTATGGCAAAATCCTATTATCGTAGGTTTTTACCTATTTTGTTCTGGTGAAAACGTAATATGTGTGTTTAATTGTGAGTACGGTGTGCCCATTTTTACAGTAAGTTAACGTAAGTCACACGTGAATAGCGGTGGAAATCCAAGAATTTTATCTCATTTCCTGTACACGTTACTGAACTGTTCACCTCTGAGTGTAATGCTTTCCTGGTGGCACATGGAGAATATAATCTTCCTAATGCATAATGGGATCTTTTGACAACTCACATTTTTGTTCTCCTTCATTTTTGGCTGTCACATGGCTTTTAATGGTTTCATTAGTAAACAGATGAATGTACTGGGTGTGAATGTTAGTGACAGCTTAATGAAAGGGCAGTCCTCCCTCTTTCTTCTCCTTTCAAAAATGCCTTTGCTCTTAGACCCAAAAACATGTTTTCTCTCCATGTGGTGTTTGCAGACTTGAGCTCATCTTGATTGGCTGCATTAATATTGAGACAAAACATGCAATTATGCTTTCATTTGGCCCTGGGGTAGCCATTCTGAAGACAGCTGTCTGTATCATTGTACCTGCTTTCATAGAAACCAACTTATTCAGGTTTCTCAGGGTTTCGCTTATTTTGCTTTGAATGGGACAGCCATTTCACCTCATATTTTTGGATGATGTTTGAAAGTTATATAGGAATATTTGCCTTGTAATAAGATCAGAATGATTATTTTACTGAAAAACTAAATTGTTATGTTATAATTATGTTTCAAGCATATTTCTTTGGCAGTATTTTCCATTTTCTTGTGAGTAACTTCTGGAAATGGAAGTGTGTATGAATGGGTTGGAATGTTTTCAGTTCTTGCAATTCTGAATCTCCAGTTTTAAAAAAGGAAATTTTATTCTATATCTCTTATTCTTTAACCAGAGTTATGTAGAAGACTCTGCCACTCTAATCTTTAGTACATGGCTGTAGTTGTTGAAGTCAGGGAGCTCCCAGAAATGTGAAAGAGTGTGTGAGATGGGCTTGCCTCTAGAGACTTATCTTTGGAACTTTCCCAGTGATCTGTGGACCACAATGTGATTTTTGTTTTGTTTTGTTCTGATGCAGCTTCCATGAGGCAGGCTGAACCTGCAGATATGCGCCCAGAGATATGGATCGCCCAAGAGTTGCGGCGTATTGGAGACGAGTTTAACGCTTACTATGCAAGGAGGGTAATGATGTTTTCTTTACCCGCTTTTCTGCTCACACCCTCCCCTTCCACACTATATTTTTTTAAAAAGACAGTGACTTCTTGTAACTACATGCTAATTCTGGAAATGATTACTGTTGCCTAGTTGTGACCTTTCATTGTTTCTCCTTTCCCATTTTTCATTTGTTTTATGACTAAGTAATGGCACTTAAATAAAATAATACAGTAGGAGGCAGCAAAGGAATTTTATGAGCACAGACTTTAAAACAATGCTAAAAAAGGGATTATTTATAGACTTTGAGATAGTCTAGAAATACTATTAACATAGGTTTCAATCCATGTAGTGTGTTTCTGTACTCCCCTTGTGCATTTTAGGTCAAAGTTAAAGGTAATTTTTAAACAACATCTTTTGTCACTTAGCGCATGGGAGCGATGCCAGCACTCATGTAAAAGACTCTCCTGCAATTTGCAGGGTGGCCCGAGGAAGCAGGGAGCCATTGCCCTTGCAGAGCCCATTGCTGTCTTTGGACATTTAATTGTTGAAATGTATTAGGAGGCCGCTAATCAATAGCCTGTAATTTGGGCTGTAAAAACTTTATATTATAGATAATTGCCACTTATTTTGAGCTATGTTCTTGATTTTTTAAAAATTTTAGCCTATGTCATCTTCTGTAGTTAGTAGAAGCGGTGTTTTTTGTTTGTTTTACCTGGGGGCAATGTAGGTGACCATTTGGACACCTTTTTCACATGGGACACTTTTGTTTGTTTGTTTGTTTGTTTGTGTGTGTGTTTGTTTTTGAGACGGAGTCTTGCTCTGTCACCAGGCTGAAGTGCAGTGGCGCAATCCCAGCTCACTGCAACCTCCGCCTCCCAGGTTCAAGTGATTCTCCTGCCTCAGCCTCTTGAGTAGCTGGGATTACAGGCGCCTGCAACCACACCCAGCTAGTTTTGTATTTTTAGTTGAGATGGGGTTTCACCATATTGTCCAGGATGATCTCGATTTCCTGACTCTGTGATCTGCCTGCCTCGGCCTCCCAAAGTGCTGGGATTACAGGTGTGAGCCTCTGCGCCTGGCCGCATGGGAGACATTTTTAAATGTGTAGACTTTGACTCCAGGAGTTAGTACCATTGGGAACACCTGTGACTGCTTCCGCTAAAGGGTACACTAGCAAATGTGTGATATAGTGTATTTACTTGTTCACAGAGTTTTAAACACCTCATATAAAGGTATTAATTCAGTTGATTTATCCAAAAGGAAGACACTAATTCTTATTTTGTGGAAAATGTTATAGTTGTTAATATCATTTATTCTTACCCCTTCTCTTTTAGCTCTTTTTTTTCTGAACGTTGTTGTTTTATATAAGTACCTCTTAAAAGTTTTTTTTTAATCTGTTTTCTAGGGGAGGTCATGCTTGGTTAATTGTTGCTAAGTAAATGGATTTTACCTTTGATTATTATTTTTCTGCCTTTATACAATGTGTTTTAGGCTTCTTTTAGACAAATAGACATTTTCCCATTACAAAGGACACTATCAGTTCTTCAGTATGGAATTTCTGTAAGAGTCAAGAAAACACACATCGGATCTTCCTACCTTTCTGTGGGGGTGTTTGAGGAGAGTGCTGTAGTAATGATTCTGTTGTAAAATGGGAAGTGTGACATTGATGGACTTAAGAATTTCTTAAAATACTGTCTTAAGCTGGCAAAACTCCTGGCATCCTCCACCTGACATAAACCAGTTCACAGAACATTCCAGCCTAGATCTGAAATGGTAATTTTTTTGGAACTTTGGTTGGTTTTATAACTTGTCACTGAAGTAACCATTCCCTCCAGTTCCTCTGCCTTGGTTTACCTAAAGGGATTTTGGTGTTCCTGTGTGTGACTGGAAGTGGCTGTCTCTATTGACTAGGAAGAACTGGTGAGAAGTGGGACCACAGTGTATTCAGGATCAAAGTGGGGAGGACATGAGTCCCTTTAAGAGGGTAGGTGAATACACTCAAGTCCCGATTCTGGTATTGTGTCCAGAATCCAACAGGACAGATCATTTCTGATGGGTATGGAGACATCTCTGAACCTAGGCAATGAACTGACCATCCCCTGGGCCTGTCTCCTTCCCGTCTGGAAGGGGCTTTGTAGACACCCTCGGGGCAAGATCTGCCTTAGATGGGGCTGCCTGAGAGAAAGAGGTGGCAGTAGGCCTTGCCTGGTGCCCACAGTGTCTCCCTGCTGCCAAGAGCTCTGGGTACTGAGATAAGCTTGCACATTCTCAAGGATTCTGTTAGAGATTTTGACCGCAGAGCTGGTTGTGTTAAAGGATATTATACAAGTTTCTCTTTAAAGCATGCAATATGAATGCATGACTCCACAAGGCTTTCCTGTGGGCCTGCCCAGATGGACCTGGTGGATGCACCTCCATGGCTGCCATGAGTGGTCAGTGACAAGACATAGGCTAAGGCTGGCATGGGGACTGGAGTGCATCCCAGTCCCCGGCCATCCTCTTGTGAAGGCTGTCAAGGTGGGGAATAGTTTGAGTCATATGCAGATGAAACCTAGGCTGCTGGGTTGTCTTTGTTACCTTGCCTCTCTGTTGAGGATGTGATAGCAGCACCTAACAGGTTCATAGCCTGCCTCCCCTCCTCTTCTCCCAATGTCATTTCACAGTTTAATGTTTAAGCGTATGTTTAAGATGGTCATGTCTGTGTTTCCAATAAGATGCAACCTATTGTTCCCATGCTTTTGGTAAATTAAATTTGTCTGATTGCAGTATTTACAAGGTTTTGTCATTGTGCATCTTTTGCATATCTTAAAAATAATTCAGTGCAAAAATACAGTCACAAATCATTAAAGGACTTTAGCTTTGTTAGTAGGCTGGGATATTAGGGGGAAGGAGTAGGGATAGATTCTAGGTTATAACCCAATTTTTCTAAAACAAAGGTAAATATATTCAGATTTTATAAATAGCGCAAAACACAAGGCTGGGTACGGTGGCTCACACCTGTAATCCCAGCACTTTGGGAGGCTGAGGCGGGTGGATCACCAGAGGTCACGAGTTTAAGACCAGCCTGGCTAAGATGGTGAAGCCCCGTCTCTACTAAAAGTACAAAAAATTAGCTGGGTGTGGTGGTGGGTGCCTGTAATCCCAGCTACTCGGGAGGCTGAGGCAGGAGAATTGCTTGAACCTGGAAGGCGCAGGTTGCAGTGAACTGAGATTGCACCATTGCACTCTAGCCTCCACAAGAGCGAAACTCCATCTAAAAAAAAAAATAGTTCAAAACACTGGATGATGCTGTGGATAGTGACACCGTGATCTTCAAAGCCACAGACACCCGTCTTGATACTTGTTAGATTAAAAACAGTCCATTGTCTGGAATCACACTTAATGGTCCATTGTTAAATATTGGGGGCAGAAATCTGGGAAGGTAATGGGAGGCCGTTTTGGGAAATAATGAATTCAAATTACCTGCTGTCTTCACAAGGGAATTATCCTCTCTTGGCAAGCGAGTGTATCTCACTGTGCTGCTTTAGGATGGATATTAACCTTTTAAATGTTGAGTGTCTTTATTTGCTTAATGCTATTACAATGCCTTGTCTAAAGTGTTAGTCTTTTATTGCCACGAGCCTTGCAAAGCCTGACAGGATATTTTCCCGTTTTTCCAGTTAGAGAAATAGAGGAAGTTGTCGTGTAGTTGTCATGTATTCAGTCCACTTAAGGGCAGTGGGGAAGCGTTTGAGACGGAGCTGTGGAGGCTGAATCCTTGAAGGAGGAGGTGAGAGAGGCACAGGTGAGCGCAAAGTCCCAGTGCATGTCCCCTCTTCTCTCCCGATGCAGTGTCATTCCCAGGTGAACCTGCCGGGCTGAACGGCCTGGCCCCTCTATTCAGTCGGAGTTTTACTACTCCAGTGGATTTTGGTAACTTCATTTGGAAATAATTTCAGACTTACAAAAATGTTGCAAGAATGACACAAAGAACCACCCTTTTATATCTGCCCCACTTGTTTTCATGTTTTCCCTCTTTGCACACATGTACAATTTATTTCAGAAAAAACTACAGACATGATACTGCTTTTCCTACACTAAAAATACTTCAGTGTATATTTCCCAAAAATAGGAGTAATCCCTTATGTAACCACAGTGTAATTATCAAAATTCACAAATAGTGTTACAAAACTATTATCTGATCTATGGACCTTATTCAGATTTTACCACTTGTCCCAACAATGCCCTTCTCAGAAAAAAAAAAAAAAAAGAAAAAATGTATTTTCTGGCCTAAGAGCCAATGTAGGATAATGCATTGAATTCACGTGTTTTACCTCTGGTTCCGTTAATTTGGAACCGTTCCTCTGTCTTTGTCTTTTATGACAGTGACATTTTTGAAGGATCAGGGCAGTTGTAATTTGCAGACTCCCTGAGTTTGATTTATCTGATATTTCTGCATGATGAGACTCAGGTTTTGCATTTCTGATGGGAGCACTCCAGAGGTGATGTGTCAGTGTGGCACAGCAGGAAGCACATGATGTCCATTTGTCCTGTTACTGATGAGGTTCACTTTGATCCAAGGTGGATCTTGGATCAAAGATCTTCCACAGTCTTCCACTGTGAAGTTAGTACTTTTCCATTTGTAATAGGACAGAGATTATAAAGGACAAAGAGCTTTCCTTTCTCTCTTATATAGTTATTTAGTATAACAACTTGGATTCATAGATTCCTGTTTTATTCAATGGGCTGCAATGCGTTACTGTCAATATTTATTTTGATGCTCAGATTCTTAATGATTTGGCGGGAGGCACCAGTAGTGCAGGCACAGGGAGAACCAGTTGTGGGACAAAGCCCAGGGGCTGTGAAGGTCACGGAGCTCTTAAAAGTCATTTGTTGCGGAATGAACTTTGGCCAGAGGGCTACTGACCCTCACAGCTCTTCCTATGCAGGTCTGCTGTGCAGGGCACTCTTAAAAGACTCCAAGCTTGTGAGACTCCTTAGTGGCGAGTAGGGAGGCTATTGGTAAAGGCTAGGTAGCGTAAGGATGTTAGTAGGCATGGAGGGAAGAGAAGTTCTCTGAGAAACTAAATATTTTGGAATTTGTGAGAAAGTGAGCAGCTTGCCTTTACCTGAGTGGTGCAGTGTTTGTATTTCTGCAGCCTGCACCTTCTCTTCCTGGTGAGTGTGTCAGCCCAAGACAGCCAGACTGTTCTTCAGTAGCGGTTGCCAGTTTCTTTCATCACCCAAACTGTGTGAGCGCATGTACCGGTTCATCTGCTGGACGCAGTGCCAGCAAGTGTAGATTGCGACCCTCTGTAGATGTGGGCCGGAGGTACTGGAAGGATAGTGTCTACTTGGGTGGGAGTCTTGACCATGGGCTGGGGCTGCAGTCAGAAGCCCTTAGAATGTAAAAATGCTTACTCTTGGAATAACTGGACCCATTCTGCAACCAACATGCCTCCCTCTTTCCCCTCCATAACCCCTAATACTGAAGCTGGAGTTGTTTACCTTCTGTGGCTTCTAGGTTCTTCACAGTCAGGTTGTCCAGCTCAAGTCACTCCATGTGCAGGAACACTGCTCTTGGCTAACTGTGACCTGGGCATGTCCTGGTGGTGGGCTGCAGTGGACAGCAGCACATGAAGCTGCTCTCCAGATGAGGCCAGCAGTGAATAAAAACCCTTTCATTGTTTGATCACAAGAAACAGTGATCTTTTGTTTACACTGCCTACTTCCTACTCTGTCCAGGGCATGTGCAGACAGGAATTGATTGAAGTGCATGTAGACCAAAATCTAGCCCTGAATGAGACAAAGTAGAGTTGAGAAGGTGACTTGCAGACTGATTTTGATGGAAAGAATTTAACGTGTCATTACATTAGCATTTTCCTGTGCTCTGTATGAATTTGAAATACTTATATGCTCTCCTTCTTGAGAAGTGAAATCCCCAGTGCTATCTCATTCTTGTTTTTATAAATGGTAGTCACTCTTCTGTGAATAATGTACAAAGGCAAGGACTAAAGTTTAGCCTGCTTGGTAATTGCACAAACTGAACACAAACCCAAACGTGTGTTCTCAGCGTACTTTGGAGGTCTTCATTAATTGAATGTTGGAGTTTAGTAAAAGAAGTTGCTTTCTGTTACTGGCTGTGAAAAGAGTCGTGGAAATCTGCACATCAGATATTAAATTCAAATTAGACCTAACTCATGCAATGATAGGTTGCCCCACACTTCACTCACATGAGTTGATAGAATGTCAGTTTTCATAACAAAAGCAGTCATGAGGAGCTTAGATAAATTGGTACCTGCCATTGATCAGTGGCACGGTTTTCATTCAGGTTCAGCAAGAGTTTTCCTTAAAGCTGGAGGAGGCAGCTCAGTGTTTGGGTTTAGGAGCCTTTCTTTCCTGTCTTAGACTACCCCGTTTCCGTCCCAGAAGTACAATGGCCAGAGGTGATGAGCTCCTTGGTTCTTCCCCTCAGACTTTTGGGAGAACATGTGGCTGGGATTATGTGGACTATGGATTGCTGGTTTTCCAAACAAGCGCGTTCTGTTACTCGTTGAAGCCAGAGTGTGATCTCGTAGGAAAACACGACTCACAGAGAAGTGTGGGGACTTTGGGGTCAGACCTAGAGCCCTGACTCTACCCTTAACCTTTAGGAGGCCAATTGTCTGGTCTATCCCTTAGGCATGTAGTGGAGATTAAGTAAGAACATTTAGAGATGGAGCTAGAAAATTCTTATTATCATCTGTTATCGTAATTCTGTTTCCTCTCACTTTGAACTGTAATTGAAACATTTTTCAATGGGTCTTCGGCGTTTAGAAAGGGAGATGCCAGGAACTCTGTTCACCTGTCTATCTTTTAAATACTCTGGAACTGCTTTTTAAACAAGTTGTGTGTTTGACCCTACTGCACATGCTGTGTCTGGGTGTAGGCAAATATGAGATGAGGCTGAGGCACTGGTGTGTGTTTAAATGGCTGGATGGGCATCGGGCTAAAGGACTTGTGCTTGTTTGCACCACGTGTGAGTGCTCATCTGTTTGGCAGGTGCCTACACCTGCAGGGCTGCCTTGCAGCTCTGGATCAAGGCCATTAACACATAACCATGAGGAAGGAGATGCAGGTGCCTGGAAGGGGACTTCAGGAGGTCTAACTGGGGTTTTTTTTAAATCTCTTGAGGAGGAAATGAAGATGCACACAAACTAAGGCTTGGCCCTGCTGCAGACGTTCAAAAATAATAAGCTTCTCATATCATCCTTCACTAGACTTCTACCACCTGAAACAAAGTGGAGAGGTTTTAGTTGTGGTTAAACTATGTTACGTCTCACTTAGCTTTTTTCTGAGGCTGAAACATTTTGGAACAGTGTGTTTCTTCTCTGAATCTAATATTCCAACTACTGGTGCCTCACACAGATGTCAGAACAATCTGTCTCTTCTCTGTGGTTGGCCATAGAACAGTGACGATTTCAGAAGTGGCAGGTGGGAGTTGTTCCCCAGTTTAGCCAGCACCAGGTCTGGAGTCTGACAGGCTAGAGACCTACCAAGTGGAGGGCTGTGCTGTGCTGCCTGAAGAGCCTCAGTGCACAGCCTCACCTGGACATTCACTGGAGAAGAGATTTGTGTCACAATAAGCCTTAACTATCATAATTTCTTTGAAATAGTGTGTCAAAAATAGGATAAAAGTTTGGTTTATGCAAATGTAGTTTTTATCTGACTTCTGAAGACCACATTGTCACCATAGCAGATCAGCTGCAGCACCCATAGCTTTGCAACGCTAGGGGAGAGTGCTCTCCTGGTTTGGGGTGAAGGTACCATGCATCTGGGAGGGAACTTCCTAGTGCCCTTTCCCCAGCTGTGGTGACATCAAAGTGCAGCAGGCACAAGCTATGCAAATATCCATGTTGCCTTGGTGATGAATAGAAAGTGGATTTGGTGTTGGGCAGTATTGTAGCAATCTCCTCTGACACCTGAAAACAGCATGCATATGGAACCAGTGCTGAAATACCAGCTCAGCTGCCGTTTGACTGTGGTTGTTGGTCTGAAAGTGGAGAGAGACCAGATCTTCCTGAAGAGCTCCACATCATGCTCAACTGTGTGCTGGGCCTTTTTCTCTCTGACTTCTGTGTCACTTAGTTGCCAGTTAAAATGCTGTTTAGACTGCTGGGTTATGAACGAGTCGTGGAGTGGTAGTTCTAACAGAATCAGGGGGGTGACTCCTAGTTCCATGTCCCACCCTGCCACCTCAGTGTCCCTAAAGATGCCGTGACAGCCCCTGGGTATTCTCAGGCTCCTGGATGTCCATCCCAGGCCCTCTCTTCTGCAGCCTGTGGGGATCAGACACCAACCAGAGAGACTGCTTCCTCAGTTGCCTGAGCCTGGAGCAGAGATTCCCTCTGTCCTTCCTGGTCTCACAGTCCAAAATTCAGCCTCCTATTATATATAATGTATAATAATTTATAGTATATATATAAACACTTAAATATATATAAAAAATAAGTTTCAGGACATCCTATACATTTACTGTTGAAATTCTGTAAGAAACAAGTTTTTGAGTAAGTTAAATTCCTCTGCATCTCAGAGTTCTATAGGTATACCTTGTTTTTGAATGCCTCTTAGAATTAGGAATTGAGCTTGCTTTGATATGACAATGAAATTGTCGTTTTTCCCTCGTTGCTCTGACTGCCAGGAAACTCTTAACTAAACTGTGGCTCTCTTACAGCACATCTCACCCCTGGTTCCCAGGATAACTCCTTGATGTCATGTCTGATCTCAACCTTTTTTTTTAAATTGTGTTACACACATTTGCGCTTTCTTAATTTAAGTCCCCTTTGAGCCATGCTATGTCTAGGTCTGTGTTGTACTTACCGAGTCCTTGGGCCCAGTGGGTGTCAGCCCTGCCTTTGGAGCATGGATGAGTGGGCTGTATTCTGAGCTGCATTGTAGGAATCACTTAGTGATTCTCAATTCGCACTCCAGAACCTCTGTGGCCTCAGCTCAGCCTGAAACAAGGCCCCTTTCAGGTCTGAGGAGCAACGGGCCCTTCCCAGCAGAGGCACAGGCACAGGCACAGGGTGTGCGAGGAGGGAAGGTGCTGGCCTGAAAGCCCTCGTTTAACTTCTTTCCTGCTTCTGGCATTCCATCTTCATGTGGGCCAAGAGTACCCATCCTGTCCTGCCACTGTCTTCAGCTGCACTTTGAGTCACTTGCTTGACCTCTGTAGTCACTGGCTGCAAAACAGCATAGGGAATGCTACCCTGGCACTCAGGGTTGTTGTGGGGACTGAAAAGCATGGGCTAGGTTATTTCATTTAGTGGTGGCCATGGCAATTCTTCCATCCCCAAGCTTGGGCACACAAAGTCCAAAGGCCTGGAGTGCCCTAGGCAGCTTTTCAAAGGTTCGACTCCTCTCACTGTTGGAGAGTGAAGCTGAATCCAAAGCTGCATTCTATAGTTGTCTGCTGTTCAACCTGACCAGTTCCCTGGGGCCAGGGCCTCTATTGTTTTCCAAGCATCTGCTTCCCTGGACTGAGCAAGAGAGTGGTGTTCTGTGATTATTTTGGCATTAGAATGTCATTAAATTCCCTGACACTTAATTGGTCGTCCCAAGTGTAAATTGAAGATGCTTCTGCCCTGCACTTAATGTTCCTCGCTGCAGTGGCAGCTCCAGCCCCTGGCAAGGCAGCAGGAACCCCACGCTAGGGCATTCCTGTGGTACAGCTCCTCCCAGGTTGCCACCCAGATGAGCTTGTGCCATCTGGTGTCATGGGGACATGTGAAGAACTATTTAGGAATTCCCTGTTGAATGCTCGACACCGTCTCAAAGGGCATTGTTCATATCTTCAGAGAAAGACTGCTTAAGTCTATGCTGAGGAACTTGTAGACACATAATCCTATGCCTTTACACTTAGAGGGCACAGTCTGTGGGGGAGCAATCCTGCAACTTGGCATAATCTTTCCTTCTGGTTTATGATAAATACTTATCCACTACTGAGATTATCTTTACTGAACTGCTGGCCCCTTCTGCCTGTTGGCCTTGCTGCCTCTGCCCAGCTTCTCTCTCCACCTGCACTGCCCATTCTCCTCTTGTCCTTCCAAGAAATTCTCCTCTTCCTTTGGGGCTTGATGTGGGGATTCACCCTGGTGCCTTCCTGCCCTGGCTCCCCCACTTCCTCTCTGGCCAGTGGTTTTTTTCCCTCTCATTTTATTTGCCTCTGTATTGTCCTTACTTTATTATCTTGTTTACTGTTTTGTGCTGGCGACACAGCTATTACCATCAGACCTAGTGGGTACACAGACACGTGCCTTGAAGTCAGGCCCCCCACCTGATGCTGGTCAGCAACAGGGCCACTGGAGCCCCTTACCCTGAGAGGGGCAGGGGCTGTCAGGAACTGGTTCCTGGAGGGACACACAAGGTTGTGAATGTTGAAGGAGTCATCTTCTGGACACATGGGATGGCCACAAAAGGCAGTTACCTCCAGGTAACCCAGTCCTCATATAGCTCTTGATTTAGGCTATGGAGATTACAGTACCCAACTGGGTGGGGCCCTCCTCTTTGTGCACTTGTGATTGTGTGTATGTGTGTCTGCGTAGAGAAAGTGAGAGAGGAGAGAACTGTAGTATATGGTCACTTCAGTTGTAACTTACTAGCAAATTTGGTCTTTAAAAATAATCTCCTTCACCCAAATGAGTTGTTATACCTTTCTAAAGTATTTTTGCAATTTAGACTAAAACAGAGTTACCCAACTCTGTAAGAAGGATTGTTTTCACTTAAAGAGTGACAGACTGAGAGCATCAGTGAAAGTGTGTATTAGTCAGCTAGGGCTGCTGTGCAGAGTTCCAGAGACTGGGTGGCTCACACAACAGGAATTTATTTTTCTTAGTTCTGGAGGCTGGAAGTCTGTGATCATGGTGCAGACTTAGCCTCCAGACCTGTAGATGCTGTCATCCCCTGTGTCTTCACGTGGTCTCCCTCCGTGGGTTTCTGTGTCCTGATTGTCTCTTACCAGAACACCGTGGATTAGAGCCCACCCCACAGTGACCTCATTTTAACTTAATCACCTTATTGATGACCCTGTCTCCACTTACAGTCACAGCCTGAGGTCCGGGGGGTTAGGACTGCAACAGATGAATTGAGGGGACACAGTGTACAGTTCAGCCCATAAAGAGGAAGATACCCAGAAGTTTCAGGAGGGAGTGGAGCATCTTCCCTGATTGTATTTATTTTAATAGTTTTTTAAAAAACGCTTGTAATCAGGAAAGACAGTCTGTCTTTTTTATATTACCCAGTTTGGGAGTGGCAGAACTTAAATGCACTTTTGATTCACAGATGCCTCTTCCACCTGATTAAGAACCACTGTAGCAGACGCAGACTTATTGGACACTAGGCGGGAGGCCAGCTCTGCAGACAGCAGGTCTCAGGAAGACGGTCAAGGCATGGCTGCTGATGATCCGCTTATGGGTGTGTTTATTGTCTTAGCCCATGTTAGATGCGAGGAACCACTCACACTGCAAATGACAGCTCCTGGCTCAGTCTTAGTGTCATACTTGCCTTTAACTGGCAACTCCCCTGCAATACAGGGATTGTCATCTTTAGTCCTGACTTTCCAATTCCATCTTGGATGTGCTACCCTGGCCAGAAGCCACTGGGTGTGCCCTTACTTTGACCTTTCACCAGTAAATTCCATCTTAGGGGGCTTTCTCTAATTGCTTCAGACTCCCTCCTGACCCTTTATACCACCCCAAAACCAAAGGCCCTGGTTTAGGAGCTGAATTGTAGCAGCCGTTCCTCAGTATCTAGATCGCAGGGAGATTTCACTGGAGCTGGCTGAAGCTGTTGGCGCTTTGAGCAGCGTTGAGCCATCAGTCCTAGTTCTGCGTCTTTGCCCCACTGCAGCTTTTGGCCACTTGCCCCAGTTTAGTGTCACCAGGCCCCGACTATAAGCCACAGTAATTTTTATGGCTGCAGGTATTAGAGGGCAGCCAGTCTACAGAGGTAGGGGCTGCCCATCCTCCAGCTGTCTTTTGCAATACGGGCATACACTTCGAGCCAACAGCAGCTCCAGCCGGCCGTGCCAGCTGTCAAATGCTTTCTGGGCTGGCACGGCTCTTTGAATCCGTGGTAATGGCTTCCTCTGTTGAATGTCGTCCAAAAGCAATTGCTTGTCAGCTTAAAAGCGTGTGCCATGTTGTCATGCCCGCCGTCTGAGAGGGCAGGCATCCCCGCACACTTGCAGACTGGGATGCTGTAGCATCTTCTCATGAGTCAGGGATTGGGTGTAACTTTTGCCAAAATTTCCTGCATTTTCCCCACCCTCTCCAACATGTCTTTGAATACCCCATATCCTTTACATTTGAGATGAAAGTGGAACTCTAAAAACCTTGGAAAGATTCTCTTGTGAGGTGACTTCTACTTAAGCTTGGTCACAGCCTCCTGCTGTCCTCAAAGAGTGGGCAGGAGATTTCTTCCCTTGGACGCTGCCAGTGCTGGAATATGAAACTTACCAAGTGTCAGCAGTTGGGGTCTGTCCTTCACGTTGACCCAGCCCCCTCATTGGTGTCCTGATGATTGTGGACACCCAGTCAGCCCCATTTTCTGGCCACACCAAGCATGGCAATGACACCAGGTTGGCACAAAACAACTCTGCCTGGATTGATTACTTAGCCCATCATAGCGTACACTTTCTTCATTTTAGTAAGTTGTGGTTTTATTTTGAATAAGTCTCTTTCAACCTATTAATATTAGTCTACACTAAAATTAACCTTCCCCTAAATTATTCTCACACAGAGGCAGCAAAGTAATTTTGAAAGTTAAATCAAAACAAAGCAATCTTGTGTGTAAAACAGATAAAAATCACAGACTGTGGTTACAGAGTGCCTCTACAGGAATCGCTTACATAAAGCTGATTTCCTCCAATCTTGTTATGGAAGGAAAAGGGGAAATGCCCTGGCCTTATCACAATCCCATTCTGTCAAACAAGCGCGGCAGAGCTTGTGTAAACAGTGGAGCTGCAGCTGCGGCTGGTGTCTGTGGGGGCCATTCGGGGTCTGAGGGGACAGTTGTCTCAGCCTGATGCATGGCAGGTGGTTCCCGCGACGGTGTGTTGGAGGTATCCCCCACCCAATGAGAAGGGGGTTTGTGGAGAGACAGTCATGTAGCCCGGTCTCGTGTGGATTAGTCATTAAGAAATGTCCAGGGCAGATTTCAGACTTGAACAGTGAACCAGGTTGTAGCTCATGGCGTCGAGGTTGAGGTGTTGTGTTGCCGCTGCCTTTGGTGACTGTGAATTTATACCTTGCACATACTCACAAAATGGATTAGAACCTGAAAGTGGGCGCTGTGGAAGACCTGAGGACCCTGAAAGCATTGGATAAGCTGGTGATTTCCTTTTGAACAGTTTCTCAGTTTGTAACAAACATATGCTGGTCACTGACACAGAGACTTTTTTATGTTCTGGATTGCTCTTTCCTTCCCATACCGAGAAGGTGGGAGGATGGGGGTTGACATTGCCTGTGTCTGTGACCATGGGCACCCCTCTGGGTCACGGTGTTTATCATAGCCAAGCAGCCAGAGGCACAATGGCGCATCACTGCGAGACTTTATTTAGCTTCTTAGGGCAGATTACTCCAAATCACTGGTTTTTCAAATAAATTACAGCTACCAGAAATTCACCCCTGGGGGAATCTGCAGCATATTTGAATGTCAGTTAACTTGGGTGGTAAGATAGTTGCTTTACATCCTCTTTGAGTTTTTCAAACATTTTTTTGAGTGCTTTTTTTTTTTTTTTTTTTTTTCCTATTTTAAGGAGTAAATCATTGGTATGCCTGCCCTTTTTGTAGGGATGTCTTCCCCTTTGCAGGGAAATGAAAACAAGTTTTCTTCACAATCTCTGGGAGGCATCGTGCTTTGTGACACAGTGCTCTTGAAGAGGTGCCTTTCATGGTGATTAAGATGGGATTGGTTGTTCACTTAAATATGGGCTCCCACCCCTCCCCACCCCCAAATTAGGGAGAAACTAAGAAGCTTTCCTTTTGTTGTTTCAGGTATTTTTGAATAATTACCAAGCAGCCGAAGACCACCCACGAATGGTTATCTTACGACTGTTACGTTACATTGTCCGCCTGGTGTGGAGAATGCATTGACAGGTTCTTTGCGGAGCCGAGATACCATGCAGACATTTTGCTTGTTCAAACCAACAAGACCCAGCACCGCGGTCTCCTGGTGCCATTATTATGCAGCCAGCGGTTCTCTTGTGGAGGGGGCAGGTGACGTTTCAGAAGACACCGAGCTGGATGGGACTACCTTTCTGTTCATCACCACACAGCAGAATTTCTAATGGAAGTTTGTTGTGAATGTAAAGGAGGGAGCATTCTTTGCTTTTTAATATACAAACCATGGTTTTTTGGAGCAGGATTTTGTGTAAGAATGGTGTTTACATGCAGTGTGTTTTCCCCCTCACCTTCAATAAGGTTTTTCAAAAAGGAAATGGAAACTTTTTAACCAATTTGTGAATAACTTTTGTATTAAAATTTTAAGAACCTACGGCCTATTCTCAGAGGATTATGTAACCCCTGCAGTGGAAACTGAGCCAGCTAACTTAAAAAGCTGCCTTAGTTTATTTTTAGAGATTACAGAATTTTTAAACAGGGAGACGTGTGATATACTCCCTCCCTTCCCTACTATTGCCTCTCTGACCTTTTTAAATTATTTTTAATACCAAAAGAGTTCTTTTGAAATGGAACTGATTAAAAGGGCAGAGGGTCTGTTGCCAGCCTGCATTGATATACCAGTCCCATTTGTAAATATTTACGTACCTTTATAAATTCAGTTGCATCTGTGGCAAAATTTCAGACTATTTTTGCGTCTTTCCTCATCACTTTTTGTGATGCAACTCCAGTCTGGACTCAGATGCATAGATTTGGTCCAGTGTATTTTCATGATAAAGTGAAATTGAGTCAGAACAAGAGTTAATATCTGCCTGTATCTTGCACAGTTCGAGCGATCTGTTATTAACTGGGAAGCATTTGGTGTTGGTTTTCATTCCATTTCGACGAGCATGTTATTGGGAAGTATTCTGAAGAGGCAATAGCAGTAATAACAACAGACTTAAGTGCTACGCCCCTTTGTGCTGCTGGCTTTTCTGGTTGCAGGCTTTCCCATGGTCACAGGATGCACTGTCAGCATCAGGTCCCAGAGGGCCACCGTGTCCATTACAGCAGAGTCCAGCTGCAGCATCCAGCTCACGCCCTCATGGGAATTGGCACAGGCCTGGGGCAGGGCTTCTGATGGCCATTTGCTTGGCCTCCTGCATTTTAGTCCAACTCACAGTCCACTAGCTTCACTCCTTTAAATTCACTTTGAAACAGGCCTCATCCCACTTCCACCAGCACCATAGAAGAATAATTCTGGGCAGAAGTCTGTTTTTTTTCATTTTTCCAGGACAGTTGGATATTGTCAGGCCACTTGTGACCCCAGCCATGTAGTGAGGGTGCTCTTTCTCTGTGCCTGCTCCTTATGAGTGCAGTGGAAGGAAGCCACACACTGGTCAGTCATTTCAGAGGCAGCAGATGCCCAGGGAGACCCAAGAAAGAGTCAGGTTAGGGAGCAGTGAAAGTGAGGAGGGAAGACAATTCTGTGAACTCTGTAACTCTTAAAATTTTTGAAAACTCCATCGTTAAACAACTTTTAAAAGAAATAACTAAATTTTCAAATGAGTAAGCAGTGCCACCAACTAGTGTTTTGCCCGATAGAAGAGCCAGCATGTTCACGTTATTTAAATTAGGTGGAAAAATCTAAACATTTTTATCTTCATAATTTAAAAAATATATATGTATATATTGCATATTCACTTTTTCCTTTAGGTAGAGATGATTTCAATCCAAATACTCTTACTTTAAAAAATTTCCTTTCCCCAAGAATCTCCTTGGGACTTTGACTTATTTTTAAAGCTGTGTTGGAGCTCATCTTGTTCCCTGATGTGTCTCGAGCCCATTGGTAGGGTCATACAAAGCCCACGGTTACAAGCAGTGGTAGGATTGCAGCCGTGGGCCTGCTGGACACACACATACACCAAAGATGTATTTGGATCTGGGCACCCCCTCCCAGGATCCCTGTACTCACGTGCCAGTCTCCTGACTAGAGCACTTTACTCTGTTTCCTCAGCCCTGCAGCCCCTGGGAGCACACACTGGGTGCAGCCCTGGGCCAGGCACGGGAGGCCCTGCCCTGTGCTGCCCAGGGGCTGTGTGCACCACATGAGCACATTTCCCTCTGGCCTGGCGGCCTCCAGGCTGGCTGTGGAAACAGTTCCTGAGGAAATTAGAGATTCTATGAATTGTAGGAGTATTAAAGACCAGGCTGTTGGCACCAGAACTTAAAGCGATGACTGGATGTCTCTGTACTGTATGTATCTGGTTATCAAGATGCCTCTGTGCAGAAAGTATGCCTCCCGTGGGTATACGTTTTTACCTTTTTTAAAAAACATTTTTGTAGAAAAAATAATTAAATCCCCTTTTTGGAAACTTACTGCAGGTTTTGTGCCTTGACAACCTCTCCCTATGTGAGGTTTGTAAAAAGTGTCCTGTGACTTAACACAGAAACGCAATAAACACACACAAAATAGTTTCATGAGTGATTCTTCAGATGCCCTTCCCAACTGGTTAGTTGATCAAGAATTTTGGGGGTGGGGGTTGCGGAGAAATCAAGTTTAAAATTCCTTCTGATTAAAAAAATATAGTGGAATACAATTGTCTGCCGTTTCCCCTTCTTAATGTATATATTGTGAGTATTTATTAGATTCGTAGGTCATATTACTTATCAACTGAGCCAAATGTCTGTGTGCAATTGTGTTTCCTTTACCTTGTAAAATTTTGTACAGCATAAATAAGTAAAAAAATCACTGTTTTTCTCAACTTTTTCAAAATCAAGGATTGTAAATATTGTAGATTCTTTTTCTGTGTGATGTGTCCTACTGTTTCATAATGCTGTAACTTGTAGAAATATTGTATATTTATTTTCTGCTTATTTAATGTCTTAATTTCTGAAAAGTATTAACATCCCTGTCTCCCACTCCCCTGCCGTCCCATGAAGTTAACTCCTGAGAGTTGTCGGGGGTGACTGGAGAGCTCATTGCAGACCACGTGGTCCTCCAGGGTGGCTCTCCACCTTCGGGTCCTGGTATTTCCAGTCAAGTGGGTTTCAATTCTTGGGCTTTGCCGCCCTTATGATGAAGTGTGTGTTTGATGCCAGTGAGAAACTCAGTCTGGCAGGCTACAAAATTCTACTCCAAGAAATACCCAGCAACCTTCTGTTTGTTCCAAAGCAACTAGCTTATCATGCAAGCAAATTTTGCTGACTCCAGGCTTTATCTTTAGGAAAACAAAAAAACCAAAGTATTATCAGCAGGTGGGAAAGATTTTTCTATTGAAAATTTATCCCTGACAACTCAGCGTTTAGAAAAGAAATAAAATGTGCCACTTCCAGAGGTGCTGCATTGCAGTTGTTCAGGGCTAGGGCCAGGCAGGACAAGTGAATGGGTGGGACAGGTGGCTCCTGCCTAAGGACCACCTCAGGCCACTAACCCCTTGTGGACAACTGTGAGTAGCTGGGTTTTCCCCCACCTGCTGTGCAACTTCCTGTGCTTTGAGGTTGGACTAACTTGTCTTCAGGAGCTAATTAACTGTACAGCCCTCCCCACGCCCCACCCATACGGTCACTGCATTTGGTCAGCCTGCTTCTTCAGGTCGATGCCCTCCTTCTGATACTCCATCTCCTTCAGGGGAGGTTGGGGCCCCACTGGACTGGGTGTCAAGATGTGAAAGCTTATGGGAGCTTTAAGGAGACTTCATGGTGGTTCCATGCAGGTGGTTCTGCCATCCCTGCTGATTTAGCCTGGTGCCTGTGTGTGTCCACTCACGTACACGTGGGGTGGGGGAAACGTGTCTACAGATGACGCTAAATCAGTTGGGGTCTACTCTAAACAGCATTGTGTGTAAGAAGCATCCTCAAGCTCCCAGTTAAGTAACTTGACTACTTTTATTTGGGAATTTCAGACTATAGAAGCTCTCTTATGTTTTATGTCCAGATTCTGTGACCACTAGTTACTGTATCAGAACTCATCAGGTACCCACTTATAAATAGCACTGATCTGGCTGTATACTGATCCATCACTAACCTGTTTTCTAGGACCCAGCGTATGTAGCATTTGTATTGCAGTTTCCCTGGCTTACTTGTGTTTTGCACTGATGAATTTTGACAGGGTAATTGCCACTTTACTTGTGCAATACTGCTGTAAATAACTGCAGATTTTTAAACAATCTTTTATGTTAATTTTATAAAAATAAAACTTTCAACTAGTTTTGGTGAGCGTTTGATTTGTTTGCACAAAATGTCAGAGAAACAGCTGAAATTATATATGAACATGTACACGCCCACACATCTGCTATTATCAGTCATAAAATGTAGCTGTGTGTAGCTCATATATTTTTGCTTGAAGACGAATCCGTGCAGTACACTTAAAAGTAAACGAGTCTTTAAAGTTTTGATGTGGCTGGTGCGAAAAGTATTCTGCCTGCACAGTCAGATATGACTCAGCACTTGGGTGGGGAGTTGTGGGGGCAGGGAAGTGTACTAGGAGCCGGCTCTGTACTGTGTTGATGAGTGATATGGCAGGTGCCCAGCCATCTTACCCCATCAACCCCATAATAGAAAGGGCTTGTCTGCAGCACCTGCTCAGGGTCAAAGGGGTCACCCAAACGTGCCTAGACCCTGTGTGTGAAATGATGACCAGGAACCGCCAAGTTCCCAGCTCCCGTCATGTAGGGTGGATGGGAATTGCCTTAGGAATGAGTGAAAGAAATTAAAGCCTGGTTTGGGGATACAGGTGATAAAATCCTAATAAGTATTTAATTTGGCACTTTCACCCTAAGTGCTGGGAAAGTGAAAGACAGACTCAGCTTTCTTTTAGACTAACAATCTGTTAATGCTTTCAATCGGGTGAGTAATACATGAATATGGTCTTGTAAATTTATTTCAAATTGTATTTGTTTCAAATCAAATTGTTCTGTCTTAATCCTACCTCCTCACTGAGGTAGGAGTTTGCATTCTCCTGGACTCTTAATCTGCAGTGTGTGTGTGTGTGTGTGTTGTGTGTACTCACACAGCAGTTTTGCTTTTCTGTAAGTGCCATAGCTCTGTATATGGTTCTGACTTAGCAATAGGTCACATATCTTTCCATAGCGACTCCACTTCATGCTAACTACTGCAGCAAGTGCCAGAGCACAGGCATAGAATTTGCTCATAGGTATCCCACTCTTGTGGTACAGGGAGGTGGAAGATCAGCCTCAACAGACTCTGGAAGACACTGTCAAAGTGGCAGCTCCACTTCACACGGGCCCTGGCAGCACATAAGAACACCCACTTACCCCCAGTGCTGTCAGACATGAGTGAGCTGGTGTCTGCCTGCTGGGTGAGGAGCAAGTGGTGCTCATTTGAATTTTTCTATCAATGCAGTAGGATGATCTTTTCAGGCACTGGTGGCATTTGCCTTTTTTTCTGAAAGTTTTTGCTAATTTTTGGTTGAGTATTTTTTCTATTGATGATTAGCTCTTTATACATTCTGGACAAAAAAATCTCTTATATGTTGGAAATACTTTTCCTTCAATCTGTTGCCTTTTTTTCCCAACATTTTATTGTGAAAACTTCCAAACATTCAGAAAAGTCAAAAGAGTTTTACAGAGAATACCCATGCACTCACTACCTAGCTTCTACCTTTAACTTTTACTACCTTTGCATTATCATGTATTCATTTATTAATCCGGCTTATTTTTTGGTGCATTTCAAAACAAGTTGTCACCAATACTCTTATCCCCAAATACTTCAGCATCATTTAGAGTTCATCAATTTTTTATAATTTTTTTCTCCAAAGATAAAATTTACATAAAGTAAAACATACAAATCCTATGTGTGCATTTGCTAAATTTTGACCAAGGATACAGCTGTCTCTCAAACCCTTGTCAAGATAAAGAATACTACCGTAACTCCCAGAAAGTTATCTGCTTTCCAGGTAATCCCTCCTCTCCTGCCCCCATTGGTAACCTCTGTTCTGAGATTCTTTTCCGTCATAAATTAGTCTTACCTCTTCCTGAACTTCATATTAATGGAACCATAACAGTATATGGTCTTTTGTGTCGTGTCTGGTTTCTTTTGCTCAGAATATGAGATCCATGTTACAATTATCAGTAATTTCTTCCTTTTTATTACTAAGTAGTAGTCTATTGTGTGAACAAACCATGCTTTGTCTATTGTCTTATTAATGAACACCTGAGTTCTTACCAGTTTGGGGCTATGATGAATAAATCTGCTATGAATACTCTCATACAAAGCATATGAGTCTCTTTTGTGAACATATGTTTTTATTCTGCAGCATGTTTTTTAATTGCTTGTGGTGTATTTTATGTAGAAGTTGTCATCTTAGGTGGTGGGTGCCTATAGTCCCAGCTACTCGGGAGGCTGAGGCAGGAGAATGGCGTGAACCCCGGGGGGCGAAGCCTGCAGCGAGCCAAGATCGCGCCACTGCACTCCAGCCTGGGCGACAGAGTGAGACTCCGTCTCAAAAAAAAAAAAAAAAAAAAAAAAAAAGAAGTCAGATTTGTCAGTCTGTCAGTCTTGCTTAGGTTTCTGTATTTTGTATCTCGTTTAAGACAACTTATCTATGACAAAGTTTTAAATATATTTTCTTATGTTTTATTCATATAACCAGTACAGTTTGGGGTTTTTTTTTCACCTTAATCCACCTGGAATTTATTTTTTTAGTGATCCACAGTATTTAGTTTTTACCCCACAGAAAGCCAGCACTGTTGTCTTTTTGTCCACCAGCCTAAATTGATCCTTTGACAATATACCAAAGTCTAATACATACGGTTCTGTATCTCAGCTCTTGCCTTTTTCATTGATCCTTTTGTTTAATCTACATTATTTTAATTACTTGAGTTTTATCTGTTTTGAGTTTCTTGTCTTTATTTTTCAAAATCATCGTGGCTCTTTTTACATTGTCTTTTTATGTGCATCTTAGAATTAGTTGAAGCTTTTCAGAAAGTTCTTTGGAGGTCTCATTTAGGATTACAGTAACTCTTGATTTAGGGAAGAATTGCCATTTTTCCAGATGTTTTCCAAGATGTATAATATTTTTATCCATCGATTGTGTTTGGTTTTGGATGCTTTTAGTACACTTGATTTTTCTTCCTTCAAATCCCGCACATTTCCTATTTGCTTTTTCTGGGAAAGAGGGGAGGATGCCTTGCATCCAGCCCTTATCTCCACCACAGTTTCCCTTTGTGTGCCTGCCTCCCACTGCCCCTTTCTTTCCCTGCCTGAGGTATCGCTGAGGGCAGGCCCATGGCCTAATGTTTGACTGATAAAACACTCTTCCCAGCACTTTGACTCTGGAGCGAGCAAGGCAAGGAGGGGCCATTTGGAGGGCAGCATCCTTGAAGCTGCAGGGCATGTTTGTGTTCTTGGCCACAGTAACCGGCCCCCCAGCCACCAGCACCCCGGGGTCCCGTCTCTGAGCTGCCTGCTGGACTATGCAACAGGCGCCCACCCTCCAGCATGTTCTCCTTGTGCTAAATTAGCCAGGGCTGGTTTCTGTCGCTGGCAGCCAAAGCAGTGACTCATTCCTACCTGTCAGAAGGACCGAATACAAAAGTTGCATGAAGTCTCTTTAAACAAGATGAATTAGAAGGTGTGGGGTGATGGACTGATTGTGAAAATCTCCCCTGTCGAGACCAGAATGGGGCTGTGAGGAGATGGGAAATAGCAAGGCAAAAGGTGGTCTCTAATCTTTTTGGGTAACTTCTACCACTTGCTGTTTTTGTTTTTTTTTTTTCCTGGAAACTCTATCTTTCCTGAGGCAACCCCTAAGTCCTTAGAAGACTGTATGACCGAGGAGAAGATATATTAGAATGTTGAAGGCTTTTTTTCTGGGCATGTTATAGAATGATTACAGGTATTACAGAAAAGGACCCAGGAAGGCATGATTATAATAACCACTCAGGCTCCATAAAGTAGATTTGGGAAGAGTTAGTTCTTACAATAACCACTTACCTAATAGCTAAACAAGATCAAACTTGGCCTACCACTCTTAAAAGACACCATCAAGATGTCGTGTTTCATTGCCGATATCAGAGAGCTTATGCAACCCCATTAAAAATATATTTTAGATGGTCATTTTCCTAAAATCTTAATCTGAGTATTAAGGTCCTACCATGTACTAGACACACATGAGAATATCAAAATGCTTAAAACCAGGGCATGGTAAACAGGCCATGTTCTTAAAGGTCTCACAATCAGTAAGCGGAAAGACCACAGTAAAATTCTCTAGTGTAGTTCCCAGGGAAAGAGCTGTTTCAGGAGCTTAGGTGAGAGTAGTGGGCCTACAGCTCCATGGGGTGTCTCACCCACTTCCCCCTCATCTCGGGGTCCCCTCTAATGATGCCTATAATGACAGCTAACCGTTAGGCACTTGCTACGTGTGAGGCACGGTTCAAAGCATCTCATAGTTCATTTTCATCTCAGAACAACAGCCCTTTGAAGCAGCTGCTATTACCACCCCAAGTGTCCAGACAGGAAAACCAAGTCATGAGGTGGTTAAGCCACTTGCCCAGGGACATCAGGCTCCTCAATGGCAGAGCGAGGATGTGAGGCCAGGCAGTGTGGCTCTGCCAGAGAATGGACGTCTGACCACGCACCTGCTGCCTTGCAGGGCCCGTCGGACCAGGAGCAGGAACAGGGGGCTGAGACCAGCCAGCCAGGGTCTGCCCCAGACAGGATGCCTGTCCTGCAGCCTTGCTTCTGCATAGCTGCCAGCATTCTGGGGACTCATGACTCCATGACCTGGTCCAGATCTGCCATGAGAATGTGCATGCACAGGCCCAGGTCTCACTTGCATCTCCAGCCACCAGGGCATTTCAGCTTTGCCAGTGGCTCTTCTTGCTGTGGGGCCCTAGTCCTGCATGGACTCTTTTGACCTAACTGGAGGGCCTCCTGTGGACGTGTGGGCTGTCCCAAGAGTCCTTGGTTTTCCTGAGCCTGCTAATTGCCACGCAGACCCCTGACAGGTGTGGCCTCTGTGTGATGGAGGGTGTGGGCCCCCCTCCTGCCCACTGCCCCATCCTCACTCTGCCATTAGGGCAGAGCAGCTCCCCAGGTATTTGTTGGGATTTAAGTCCATTTTAATGGGGGCATCGCAGTGCTAGAGTGATGGAGCAAAGGGGTCAGAAGACCCCCGGGAGTGGGCTCCCCAGCCAGGAGCCTAGAGTGAGATTGGGTGGGAAGGAGCTAGTCAGTACCCATCAGGAGCAGAACCCTCCCACACTCATTCGTGTCTGGTTCTTGAAATCTTTTCTCTCCAGACCTGGAGCAGGGAATTGTTCTGAACCCAGAGCCTCCCGAGCCCTCAACATCTTACCCCCACCTGCCAGGCACGTACTGCCTGTGCCCCTACACTGCGCCTGAGCTGCAGCCCCAGCTGGGTGCACGTGTTCCTTTTGCTTGTTTCAATCTGGTGCACACCTTCCCTAGGGTGCCAGTGGAGAGCAGGGCTGGGGGTTCAGATCTTTGAGTTCCGCATGGACCCCACTTTGCAGCAAAACCTATAGAGAGCAGGCAGGACTGGACTCCACAGGGACTCAGGCAGGCCATCATCCCCAGCAGCTGCTGTTTGCTTTTGAAGAGCTGGAGCTCCTCCGATTTTCTTTTTTCCTTTATAAAAAAAGTATTGAGGTACAAGTACACACAGGGAAGCACACAGCTTGCACAGCCAACTTTACACATTTCTACAGCCAAGGATTGATTTGCCTCCCCAGTGAAGATGCAGAACCTTCCCAATTTTAAGTGAGAGCACCTCGGTGCTGCCTGCCCAGGCTCGCCCCTGACCTCCTGGCTCACCCTTGCTCTGGGGGCCTGAGCCTGGAACCCCTTCGGGGACAGACTGGGGATCCAGGCCTCTAACCTCATCCTGGGTAGGTCCCCCAAGGGTGCTCAGAGGTCCCTCAAGGCCCTTCTAACAGGAAAGGGGGCTATCTCCGCTCATGGAGTAGGTTCCGATGAGTCTCTAACTCAGTCAGAAACTCTTCCCAGTGTTACTCGACCATGACCTTCAGGCCAATATGTGTCACTTATTTCTGCCAAGACGCCTGCTACAAAAATCCTTGACTGTAGAAGATCTGGTATATTTTCTTAAAAAGTAAATCAATTCTATTACTTTGAATTCTGGACCCTTGAAAGGGGAAAGTGGTGAGTCAAAGCTTCCTCAGGCATTGGATGACACTTTGAAAGGCTTTCTGAGGGGAAAAAAAATTGCATTTTGTCTTCAATCAGTGCCTATAGAATCTCTTTCTCATTTAAGTGTTGGTGAAAGGATTCTATTGTCTCTAACCCAAATAGTCTAAAAGACTTGCATTCATTCATGTATTTACTCGCTCAGCAAAGGTTCGTTGAGCCTCTATTATGTATCAGGCACAATTCATTCTACATGCTTGGGAATTAGCAAGGACAACCCCCTGCGCTCATGGAGCTGATGTTCAGTGGAGGTGGGAGGCATAAGATAACACGTAGGGGAACCAGTGACCAAGACAGTGAAAGGTGCAGGAAATAAACAAGGCAGAGTGTAGTGGACCAGGTGCGGTGGTGGGACCAGAGAAAGGAAGGCCTCTCCTCTGAGACCTCAGGGTGATCAGGAGCAACCAGAGAAGAGCGGTCCAGACAGAGCCACTAGAGATGTGAAGCCCAGCACAGCAAATGGGGAGGAAGGGGCTGCATCGGGGACATGCGAGGGAGGGAGCCATGGATGGGGGAGATGGGCTTGAGAATTAGGCCAGGCTGCAGGGTGAGGGGGCATGCCCGAGACAGGGCTGGCCCTACATTCCCAGGACAGTGGAGGGCTCTTGTCACAGGAGTAACATAATCTGATAGAAACTCCAGATTACAGGAGACCAAGGGGACATGGTGACTGAATGCAATATACTATCTGGAATTTTCCATTGCTATAAAAGACATGATTGGGGCAGGTGGTCAAATCTGAAGAAAATATGTAGATGTTAATATTGCATCCATGTTAATTTCCTGATTTTGATCGCTGAACTCTGGTTAGGTAAGAGGATGTCCTCATTTTTAGGAGATACACACTGAAGTATTTAGGGGCAAGGGGCAACAGGTAATTTACTCTCAATGTTCAGGAGAAAAATGTGATGTGCTTACATGCATGTGGGGCAGGATGGAATGGTGGCAGTTGGAAGGGAGAAGGATAAAGCAAAATGTGGCAAAATGGTAACATCTGGGTACTCTGGGTAAAGGCTATAAGAAAAGTGTCTCTACTATTTTGCAAACTTTTTGTGTGTCTGAAATTATTTCAAATAAAAAGTTAAAAAATTAAGAGCTGTGCCTGGATTGTGGCTGTGCCTGGATTGTGGCTGTGCCTGGATTTTGGTCAGGAGTAGAAGTCAGGAGTCCACCCCGGGAGACCTGGGATGTGGACAGAGGGCAGACAGGCTTTGGAGGAAGAGGAGGGAGGACTTCCTGATGTGGAAGGTGAGGGAACAGAAGGAATCAAGGATTCTAAAGGATGATTTGGGTCAGAGCAATTAGCGGGGATGGCGCTTCCTGAGAATAGAAGCAGGAGTGGGAAGTGAGATCGGTTGGGGAGGGGCTGGGGTGGAGGAAGAGTGAATGGAGAGTTCTGTTTTGCTGGACCACGAACTCAACTCAGGGGTTATCTAGAAACAAAGGGCTGTCAATTCATTTTAAAGGGCTTTTTTTTAAGTTGAGTTTCTGGAAAGAAACTCCAGGAAGGTGGACTGTACCCACTGGCTGCTTAGAGAAAGCCTGGAGCATGAATATTTAGACATTTGCTTTAATGAAGCACTCTCATAAGCCGGGGAAACAGGGCCTTGAGCATCTGTTCATGAGAGGTGGATGATGGCCCAGTGGCGCCTATGGAGCATCTATGAACACAGGCCAGACAGGGCACAGGAGGGAGGTCCTCAAGCCTAGAGGATGTTAGACTCCCCCAGGGGCTTTTACAAAATACCCATACCAGAGGCCCACCTCTCTGAGTCTGTGGTGGGGGTGCAGTGTCATATTTTTAAAGGGTCCCTAAATGACTCCAGTGTGCAGCTGGGCTTGGGAGCTGCTGAATGACAGCTTGCTCAAAACTGCCAGGGATGACTCCAGCAGTGGTGGGGCAGCCACAGCAGCATCGGGTCCAGCAATGCTCCCCAGGGACAATGCTCTGAAGGACAGCAATCAGCAAGGTGCTTTCTGTCTGTTTAAATTTCTGTTGTAGTTGCAAAATGATCAATTCTCTTTTCTGTTTCCCTTTGCCAGTTTGCCCTGGCACAGGCATCCATGCCTCCAGCCAAATTCAAGGTGAGTGGAGGACAGAGTGTGCTGTAGGGCCCAAGGCCAAGGCCAAGGCCACGGCAGGGTGGAGGTGAGGTGGCCCCGGGTTGTGAGCCTGGGGAGAGCCCAGTCATCATCAGGTGAGTCAGAGCCTTCAACTGACAAACCCAAAGAACTCAGCGAGCTCAGAGACGGGAGGCGGAGCCATAGTGTGGACCCCAGAAGGGCTAGAGGTAGAACCGAATCTGTGTGTGGCACAGGCAGTGAACGTGGGTGGATCATGCTGTGCTTGAGCCTGGCCTTCCATAGCTCAGGAGAGTGTAGAGTGTGAGGGGAATCTCATAATCATGGGAAAAGTGTCATCATCGTCCCCTGAAAAACAAGGACAGGAGGACACACAGGGGCAGGCTCTGAGAGAGCACATTCAGGTGTGAGCACTTAGAAGGGAAAATGATGATTTGTGTTGGGGAACAGACCACAATGCACATTGCACCCGGTTAGACACCAAGCTCTTCCAGGGGAACTTCTACTTCTGATTGCTCAATACTATGCAGAAATGGCCTCCGTGGGAGCCTCCACAGGCACACCCTTGCCCGCTCCAAGTCCCTCCCAGGACCAGACTCTCTGTCCCTGCCCCAGCCAGCAAGGCTCAGAACAGTGGCTGCTCCCAGGTAACTCCCAGCCTGATTCCGGGTCCAGTCACCAAGCTCTGGGGATGGCCTTCTGATGGCTTATAGGTAAATGCTCTCATCCCTGCTGGAAGATCCTAATAACATTTTAAATTGTGTCTCTCTGTCTGTGGGGCTGCTAGCATTAGCCAGTGTGCCTCTGACTCAGCGGGATCTCGCCGTACCTGGCACCTAGTAGGCACTCAACACACCGTTGTTGGATGGGTGTGTGGCAACTAAATGTCTGACGAGGACTCAGGTAAATCATCTTCTATGAAAGCCCAGTCTTTTCTTGGCCTCTTGACCTTCATCATATGTATGTACTGTTTGCACTTTCTTTTTTTTCTTTTTTCTTTTTTTTTTGAGACAGAGTCTTGCTCTGTCACCCAGGCTGGAGTGCAGTGGTGCGATCTCGGCTCACTGCAATCTCCACTTCTCAGGTTCAAGCAATTCTCCTGCCTCAGCCTCCTGAGTAGCTAGGATTACAGGCGTGCGCCAGCACACCTGACTAATTTTTGTATTTTTAGTAGAGACTGGGTTTCATCATGTTGGTCAGGCTTGAACTCCTGACCTCATGATCTGCCCACCTTGGCCTCCCAAAGTGCTGGGATTACAGATGTGAACCACCGCGCCTGGCCTGTTTGCCACTTTCAAAAGAGTAGTGAGAACATGGAGCCTATTCAAATGACAGAACTTTTTTAAACAGCAGGTCCAGCCAGCCCTTTGGCAAAACGGCTCTCCCTTTTAGACGCCCCTTTTTGCCTCCTGGTAGCCCCCTCCTCCTTCCTCATCTCACCTGTTTGGGCCCTGGGGCCACTATTTCTCCTCTCCTTTTTAAAAGCTGCTGTCCAGGGCCATAGCGCTGCCAGGATTCTGATAAATAAGTTCACCTGAAGAAAATGACTGATCATGTCTTGATGAACTCACTGTCACTGGCTGCTCTGGGTGGCATGTGCATTTCGGACAATTTAGTTGCTTCTAAACTTGGTGGCTGGTATAAAACAGAAGTCTTCATGAGTCATAAAAAAAGGACACGTTGGAGAAATAAATGTCAATATTATGGGCTCTTTTATGGAGTATGCCCTATGCCGTTGCTTAGAACAACCCAAGCTCACTCCCGCCTAAGGCTGCAGCTGCCCGCTTTTTCTAAATCGCTCTTCTCTCTATAGCTACAGGGCTGGCCTCTTCAGCAGTCAGGGCTGCTTGAATGTTACTTTCCAGTGGCACCTTCCCTGGTCACCCACTCATTCCCACCTTCAGTCTTACTATCTGGGCAGCAGGCTTTGCGAACACTCTGGGAGCGCCAGCTTTAATGTGTGCTAGAACCTAGGATTACTAGACCTGGGAGTGGCTGTGGAATGATAGGGAAGGACTCAGGTCCTAATCTCTGGGGGCCTGGACTATGTGCTCCATGAGAACAAGGGCTGTGTGAATGCCATCCTCGCATCCCTAGCACTGACACATAGTAGGTGCTCAGGGAATGTCTGTGGGATGATGTAGCTCTTGCTTCTGGAAGAATGTGGCTACCCTACAAGCCTGGACAAGGTAAAGAAGTACTAAGTTGGGTGGGAATGAGAGAAGCTTCCCATCTCCCTCCAGACCCCTGATAGCATCCCTCTGTGGGACCCCGTCATATATGGCCTTTCACAGTACACCAATGGGCAGCACCCAGATGGAGGCTGCTCAAAACTTCCCTCCAGAGGAAATCAGGCGTAAAGTCCTTGCCTACCAGCAGGCCAGGGCAGCCCTGGGTCACAGTGGCTGTTTTGCAATGGTGTCTGGGAAGAGGCCTCTGGGAGCTCTTTCTCAATGGAACCAGGCTCTCACAGGCATCACAGGTCATATCCCTGTTGCCTCAACCTGGTCCAACTCACAGAACTGACCTACCTAGTGGGGCTGGGAAGGTTTAGGCAGACAGACAGACAGACAGACTGCCTGAGGTGTGAGGGAGTACACTTACCCCCTGTGACCAAAACCCCATGTGTGGCCAGCGTGGCCGATTACTCATGGTCTGGGGAGGGAGGACAGCCGGATCCAGAGGTAAAGTCTAACCCATGGAGTCCTAAGCAATGGGAAAGGAGCCCCATGTGGATTAAATAAACATATTCCTGCCTGCAGATCCCCTTTTCTAAATGCATAAGGCAGATGTACTATCTGAAGGACTTTGGACTCAGTGAGTTGTGACTTATGTAAACAATACCACACTGACTTAAAAATAATCCACAAGGCAGGAAAAAAAACCTCTTTCATTGTTATAAAACTGAACCAAGATTACATTTTTTTCTCCTGTAATTGCTTCTCAGGGTCCGTAAATAGACCTTATTATAAAGAGCTGGGGAGGGGAACAGCAAATCAAGATAAAGTACAACCTTTTTTTAGATTATTTATGGGTTTTTTTTTTTTGGTCTGATTCTGAACCCTTTGAAGAACTGAAGGAATATATAAAGTAAGTTAACTGGTTTCATTCCAAGGAATGTCAAATAAAACTCCAGTTTCAGAGAGACAGAACTCTACCAGTGTTCCCAAATGCCAAGAACCTTCTATGTCATGTTTTCTGGGACCTAACGTTATTCTCCTTAAACCTGCCATGATTTTCAGTTGAAAAATACCCAAAGTGGATGCGAGCCTTGCCCAGGGAGGGCATCCTGAATGTGTGATTCCCATTTCCCACAACTCAGCGAGGGAGGAAGACCCTGACCAAGAGGAGAGCAGTGATCACTGCTTAGCAGAGAGTAGCTTCTCAGGGACTTAGCATTTGAAACTGACAAGACATTGACCTCAGTTGATCAGCCTGAGCCACCTACTTTTCTTGGCTGCCTCTTCCCCATTCCAGCCACTCTCTGTGTTTAGTTCTTTTTTTTTTTTTTTTTTTTGAGACAGGGTCTCGCTCTATCACCCAGGCTGGAGTGCAGTGGTGTGATCTCAACTCACTGCAGCTTCTGCCTCTCCAGCTCATGCAATACTCCCACCTCAGCCTCCCAAGTATATTGGACTACAGGCATGTGCCACCATGCACAGATAATTTAAAAAAAAATTTTGTAGAGATGGGGTCTCACCGTATTGCCCAGGCTAGTCCTAGAACTCTTGTGCTCAAGCAATCCTCCCGCCTCAACCTCCCAGAGTGCTTGTCTGTGAGTTTAGTTCTGATGACTGAGTCTAGCTGTCCAAAGACGCTGAACTGCTGAGCTCCAAAGAGGGCTGGCCTCTCCCCCGCACCTCTGTGCTGGACTTCTTCAGCACCTGTGAAGGGCCCAGCTGAGGCTGTGGCCAGCAGAGGAAGGGGAACCTTATCCCTCACCTGGTCCCACAAGAGACCACAGGAGGTCTGAAGACATGCCGCCCAATTCTCTGACATTATTATGTCTGATGTTGGTGGCCACTCTGGACACTTGCCCTCTCACATTTCATATACACCCATGTATTTGTGCCATCCGCATATCTCTGATGGCTGGTGGCAGTGTCTGACTGCATCCCAACTCTGCTGAGCAAGAGGTACACGTAAGACAATAGTAGCCAGCACCCAAAGCAACATTTAGGCCAAAAGAATGCACATGTGTGTGAAGGTCTGTGTGTACTTATGCCCGTGTGTTGGAGGTTGGGAGGGATGCCTGATGATATTTATTAGTCACCTTCTTGTACATGCAGTTTTCACGCAGCTTGTTCCTTAGTGCTCATGTCAGTCTCCAAAGGTGAAGATTATTGAGGCCCAGGCACATGAGGGCTATTTCAGTTTACTAGAGCTGCCATCACAAGTTATCACAAATTTAGTGGCTTAAGACGACAAAAATTTATTTGCTCACAGTTTTAGAGACTTGAAATTCACAGTCAAGGTGTTGGCAGGCCATACTCACTCCAAAGGCTGCTTTGTGGCAAGTCCTTCTTTGCCACTTCCAGCTTCTGGTGGGTCCAGGAATTCCTTGGCTTGTGGCTGCATCACTCCAATCTCTTCCTCCATTCTCCCATGGCATTCTCTCCTGTGGCGTGTGTTTGCACGAGTGTGTATGGGGTCATTTTGTTTCTGTGTCCTCTCCTGTTTCTTACAAGGACACTTGTCATTGAATTTAAGCCCACTAAGACAATCCAAGATGATGTCACCTTAAGATCCTTAACCCAGCACTTGGGGAGGCCGAGGTGGGTGGATCACTTGAGGTCAGAAGTTCGAGACCAGCCTGGCCAACATGGTGAAACCCCATCTCTACTAAAACGACAAAAATTCGCTGAGTGTGATGGTGCATGACTGTAATCCCAGCTACTCAGGAGGCTGAAGCACAGGAATCACTTCAACCCAGGAGGTGGAGGTTGCAATGAGCTAAGATCGCACCACTAGACTCTAGCCTGGGGGACAAAGTGAGACTCTATATGAAAAAAAAAAAAATCCTTAACCCCCAAAATGTCACATTTATAGGTTCAGGGTGTTGGATGTGGGGCAGTCTTTCAGGGTGCCACAGTTTAACTCACTACAAAAGGAGACATTTAACACTTATGGCACTGTTTTGGGTGCTTTGCCTGAATTATTTCCATTAGTCTTCAAACAACTTTAAGAGGCATGTGTAAATTATTCCCCCATTTTTACAAGTAAAGATATCAAAGTGCAGAGAGGGGAAGTAAGCCTCCATAGTCACACATCTAGAAAGTGGCAGAACCTGGGCAGGGGTGCTCCAGAGCCTGCTGTGGCCACAGGGTGACTTGCCTGGCTCATAGAGCTGGTCAAAGGCAGCATTGTCACCTCCTGGTCAGAGTCTTCACCTCCACCTCCTGATGTCATCATCATCCCTGGTAGCATTCACATCCAGTCAGACAGACCATGCAGCACCATAGAGGCCACTCCCTCCTGGGCTCCTCAGGTGCCCATTCCTGCAGTCACACCTGTACCATCCCATCCTCAAATCTGGATTCCAAACACCTCTCCCAATCCTCCCAGCCCTGCAGGTCAAGATTCTCCACTGCCTCAGTTTCTTGGCTTCCTTGAGAATTTCAATGCAGTGACTCCCCCTCCTCCCTCTTGAGCCTCCTTCCCAGCTCCTCTTCCTTCCTTCTTTGTCCAGCCTCTGCTACATGGTTCCTCATCATTATTCCAGTGTGAATTTTCTCAGCAACTCTGCCTTTCTATCCTTTGTCACAGCCCCTTGGCAAAGTCCCAACCCTGAATGAAACCTCCCATCCGCTGTCTCCACGCCTGCTCCAGAGCAGTTGCCTGTTCTTGGAGATAATCACACAATAGGGCTGGCTGATTTTGCTCTAAATTCATGATCTTGGCCCATGCACTTGCCCTCAAGACTGCCAGGCAACCCCACCACTCTCTCTAGTAGGCCACTGCCCACTCCCAGATGACAATTTTACTTCTCTTTTTCCTCTCACCTTCCCTTCCACCCTGCTCTCTCCCTCTGGTTCCAAGGGACCCTTCCCCTTCATTACTTCACTCAACTCTCATCTTCCCAATACCAGACTAGGACCCATCCTGGCTGCTTCTCTCTTCTGCTTCTTCCTGTGCTGATGGAGAAAGTCCCTCCACCTGTGCTCTGAATTCATCCTCTCCAGCTCCTTGGGAACTTATTGCTCTCATTGTCCCTCTCTGGCTCTCTCACTAGTCTCTTGGTTTTTCTAGGCAAGTCCAATCAGCACCCAGACATGCTCCTCCCACCTGCAGTTCATCTATCTCCAGCCCCTCCCGTTGACAACTACTTCCCAATCCCTCTATTTTCTTTTAGAGTCAGATTTCTCCAAAGAATATAATTTGTTTGCAGTCTCCATCTCTTAACTCCCATGCACTCCTGGACCCACTGAAGGCTAGCTCTGCTCCCCAGTACTGAGACTGCTTGGTCAAGGTCACCAATGACTCCAACTGGCCAGGCCCAGCCCCACTCTTGGACTTCATCTTAGTCCTGTGACAATATTGACCCCTTTTTCTGCAAACTCTTGCCTCTCTGTTTCTACCACATTCTGCTCTCCAGGCTCTCCTCGTTCTTCACTGGCTGGTCCTCCTTTGCAGGTCCTCCTCCTTTTTCTGACTCCTCCTTGGTCTCCCTTAGGCCCTCTTGGGTCCTCTTTCTTCACTTCACAGGTGAGTTCGTGAAATTCCATGGATTTAAATACTATTCTTATGCCGATCATTCTAAATCTATATCCCCAACCTGGACTTCTTTGAGCTTCCTTCTGACTTGCAGATTCTATTGCCTGCTGACATTTCCACTTGGAGATCTCAGATATCTCCAAACTAGCACATTCAGAGCAGACTTTCCATCCTCCCAACTCCACCTTTGCCATTCCTGTAAAGGGCACGGTATCCCCACCCCAGGTGACTTGACTCTCTCTTCTTGAATGGGTCCTCTTCTCCCTTTACCTAAACCATCAGTAAGTCTTGCTGGTTTGTGCTATAAAATGCACCTTGAATCTATCTCCTAAAATAGCCTGGAAAGCACAGCTCTACCCTCCACCCTTACCTCAGGGTACTCTCCAGAGACACTCCTCTTCCTTCAGTTCCAACCTTGCCCCACCCAAGCCCTTTCCTACCTTTCCCACTTAACGGTCTTGTACCTGTCGTTTTTCTCTTGCCAAGAATGCTCCTCTGTTTTATTTATATAGTAACTATTCTTCCTCCTTGTACATTGCAATTTTAAATGCTGCCCATTCAAAGAGGAAGTCATTCATTAACCTCATCTAAAGTAGGTCCTTTTGGTATTCTTTATCTCAGCCCCTTGGTTATTTTCTTAATTTCCAACATCACAACTTTTTTTCTTTTTGCATGTTTGGCTTTGTTATTGTTGTTATTGACTGTCTCTCTCTCCCTCATTTGCATACAGGATCCAAGAACACCCAGCTCTTGAACATGAACACATTTCCAGGATGTAGAACAGTGCCTGGCATGCTACAGATGTTGAATTAATGGTCAGATGATTGAACACAAGAAACCAATATTTAAACCACATCGGTCTGACTTCAGAGCCCTGCTGTCTTCTCACACTCCACATGCCTTCTTTCAGCAGACAGAATTCTGGAGGAGTTCAGGGTAGGAGAGGGCCCTATGGGTGGGAGGGTCAGAGAAGGCTTCCTGGATGAAGAAAGCTGGATTTAGAAAGGGGCAATCCAGCTGTCCGCCGTGTCCTGCCTTCTGATCCCACCAGGCCCGGTGCCACTCTGCCCCAATCATGGTGAAATGACATTGAGTCTGACTTGAACTTGCTCCTCACATGCATCTAGACTATGGAAGAAGAAAACTGATATCAGCTCCTCGGCTGGCACCTTCTTTTCAGGCATTCAGAAGTCTTTTGAGGCACCTGTGCCTTCCACTCACTCCCCACCTCTGGCTATCTCCATTCCTTACCACCCTCCAAATCCTGCTGGCTTCAAGGCCCAGCCCCAGCCCTCCTCCAGGAGCTCTTACCCAGCCCTTCTGCAGACCCTCCGCTCCTTATCATCTTGTGTCTCAGGATTCTGCTTTTCTCCTCTGCACTGGCATTGCCTTGCTGGCTTCTTAGGGTGAGTTAGGTTGCACTGCAGGAACAAACCAACCCAGCTCTCAGTGGCCAAGTGATGGGCATGATCAGGGCAAGGGGCAAAGCCTCGTACCACAAGCTGACCCTGGTTTGGTGGGAGTCTCTTCTCCCCATCATCCTCTTTCAAAGATATTGGCTGACAGAGCCTCTGCCATCTGGAGCATTGCCAGGCATCAGGGCAGGAAGAAGGGAATGTGGGAAATTCTGCATCAGCTCTTAGAAGCACTCACCAAGTGCTTCATGCCTCTTCTGCTCATGTTTTACAGGCTAGAGCAATCACATGGCCATGCCTAACCTGAAAAGTGAGGAGAGGTGGGAAGCAGTGAGTGCAATCCTATGATGTGGTCAGAAGAAGCAGCAATGGAAACATTGGTGGATAAGCCTTGTGGCTACCATACCACATTGAAGTTCCAAAAAGTTGGAGGCTGTGTTACTTGTTATGCTTTCTCTTCACTGCAGTACTTAGCCTGTAGCTTGGGCAAAGATGCCAAGTGAACTAGGACCACCTCCAAGCCTGGCAAAGACTTCCTTTCCTCTAAGAGAGGCTATGATGCAAGAGGTAGTTGAGAATTTTTGAGAATGTTGGCTGAAGCTATCAAAACGCTGGCAGGGCTTTGTATAAAATTTATGGGAGCTGACCTCTCCTTGATCTTTAGTTTCGAGTCTCAAACCCCTTTTCTTTTTCTGTTAGTATTCAACCCCCTCCACCTTCACCCCCATCTTCTAGGTCTCTCTAGAACTGTCCCTGGCTCGACTGTTCAGGTTGAACAATCTTCTGCCTGACCCGGAGAACACAAAGCAACTCCCTTCTGTTGGCTGTAATGTGTGAACGCTGAGCACTTCTCAAAGGCCAAGCACTGAGTTCAATGCTCTCTCAGATCATTGGATTAATTATTGTCACAAATTAGCTGGTGGAAGCTCCACTGTTCAGGGGATTTCACAGAGGAGGACTCTAAGGTTTAACAACTGACCCGAGGCACTTGGCTGGTGGGCAGTGTCTCTGGGCACCTCCCTAGCTGACTCTCCTATGCCACCTGCCTCGTGACCGGGCACATGGCCGAAGGGGTGAGTGGGTGCCAAAGGTCGACCTTGAAGCGTGTCACCCGCTCCCTGGGGAACTAAGTGTTCTGTGTGGGGGCTGAAGTGCAGAGATAATAGTGGAATTTACCTCTCAAGACTGCAGGGCTAAGTGTGACTTTTGTTTGATAAGCTTGGGTTTTATGTCTTTAGGAGCAAACAAACAAACCATAAAGTGGCAGTCTGTTGGAGTGAGTCCCAGCTGAGCTTGCAGGAAGGGAGAGGCTCTGGGCTCTGCCCCTGGGGAAGAGCGAGAGAGGCAGGCACAGTGCGGGTGGGGGAGACTCATAGAGCTTCCCTTTCCTCATGTGAAAAGTAAATCGGATTCTATGGTAATAACCCAAAGCTCACTTAAAAGGCTCATTAATGAGGAAAACAATAGCAGTAAGAACAATGGCTATATTACACTGATGCCGTGTGCCAGACAAGATACTGAGAACTTTCTATGTATCATCTTTTTGAATTACCCCATTTTAGATATGAGGAAAGTGGGGATTAGGCATTTAAAATGTGCCCAAGCTCATACAGTCAGTGAGTGACAGAGCTAGGTTAGAAGCCCAGCAAGACGTCCAGGCCCCACGCCCAGCCACTAAGCTTTACTGTGGAATGTTGACAGTGATGATGTAAGAGGGGGTGGCGCGGATAAAGATGGCCATGATGATGATGATCATGACTCCAAACTCTTTGCTAGTTACTCCATTCTTAGCCTCTTCTAGAAGTGCAAGCCTCCCCTGGCTGCCCAGCCATAGGGGATAAGTAGCTTTGCTTGTAGGGAAGAGGTACCAGGTGAGCATGAGCACTCCTTTACCTGTTCAGTTCCATTTCCAGGGAACACTGTGCAGCGCCAGCCTGGGAGGCCACCCGTGCAGACGTGCTGAAGGAAGACACTTCCCAGGGCCGTGTTGATGCAAACTCTGTGGAGCACAGCTCCCCGTGCCCTGAGGTGTTTTCCTGGCTCTAGGCTCTGGCCAGCCCTTTTCCCTCCAACCTAGCATGGTTCCCTCTGCTTCATCTCATCTGCCCAGCCTGGAACGCGCTGCCTTGACTTTTCCACGTGCTTAAAGCCTACTCATCCATTAGGGCCCAGCTCAAGAACATGTGGTTGGTTGCTTTGTTCTTCCATTCGTTCATTCATCCATTCGTATTTTTCGATCATGTTTACGAATCTCCTGCAATGTGTCAAGTATGTGTGGTGTAGAGGGATGAGCATGGGTTGGGGGTGCCAGGCATAGGTTCGATCCTGTCCCTTCTCAGCCATGTGACTGAGCAAGTTGCTCCCTGAGCTTCAGTTTTCCCATCTTTAAAATGTGGATTATCAGTGAGACTCTGTGAGCCCAGAGAACCATAAGCACTAACTTTCCCCTACAAGTCCCCTCTGTCACCCCCTCTCACACCCTCTCTGCATCGCTAGCTCCCCCTGGCCACTGTTCGAGTGGGAGCACGCTAATTCAGCAAGTCAATCAATGGTCACAAGGAAGATGCCAGGGCCGAGGGCTGGTCTTCTCTTAACTGTAGCATTAAGACCATGACTAGATTCAAGGCAAAGTCTCAACAAGAGCTGGTTGGCTCCCCAGGCCACTGTGCAGTTCCGTGGAACACAGGCCTTCCTGGGTGTCCAGATCAGAGTCAGGGGAGGTATGCAGGCCTTCAGGTCTTAAGGGCCATCCTGCTGAAGACTTGTCAAGAGAAGGGAGCACAGCTCCCTCCTGCTCCCATCTGAGCCAGCCTAGGCAGGGCCAGCACTTGGTGATGATGACATGTCCCAGTCAGGTGCCTGACTGGTGAGGGTGCCTGGTCTCCCTCTATGTTCCAGTAGAGACTCCATGTTCATCCTGATGGAGGCCGGCCCTCTGAGGGGAGGGGAGGCCACCTTGAAGGCCCTGCCCTTGGCCTGGCAGAGCCTTTTCCTCCTTAGGGGCTGACTCAACCTCATGAGGATGGACGAGCTTCTCAGGAAGGGACCCCAACCACCAAGACTGAAACCCTCCTTTCTCCCGTATTGGCAGTCATTCTCGTTTACATTGGATGCAGTGGTCACCCATTGCCCAGTCTTTCTAATGTGCCTGGCCTCTTCTCTGTCTTAGCCATGCAGGACAAATGCAAAGGGCAGCTAAGAACCTAATTTAAAAAGCCCGCAGGCAAAAGGGCACTGGGTCGAGACACCAATGCCTGGTCCCTCTGGGGATGCACTTACATCATCTGAGAATTTCTTCCCAAATGAGAGAGGAAGAGACAGAGCTACAAAGGAAGAGAGGAAGAAAAAGGAAAGCTCATGACAGGGAGAGACTGAGAAAGGGACAAAGTAGGCCCTGTGGGTGCAGCCCAAACCGGCCCACATGGGCTTTGATGACAGAGCCGAGGATTTGCCTTTTGCTCAGAGGAAGGGAGGGGGCTTCAGGGCGGCTCTGGGGCTGCAGAGTCAGAGCCCAAGCCCCTAGCAGGTCCCCCAGCCCGGGAGGCAGAGTGTGCAGCCAGGGCAGCCTCTGGACACCATCAAATTGCACACAAAAACCTGGGGCCTCCATGGGAACTGCAGATTATACAGAGTGAGTGGGGAGGAGGGCAGGGGATTGAAATTTTATTCTTTCTTCCTCCTTCCTTGAAAATTCCGATCACTAAAAGTAAAAACATACACACACATACTCACTCACACACTCACTCACCCATGCACATACCATCTTCAACGCCTGGGCTATTCCATCTTTGCCAAAAAGAACCAAGATGTTATCTGTGAGGTATGTCTGCATGAGCTTAGACAAGACCAAACCTACATCCTCTCTCCTTGCAAAAAAAAAAAAATGCATTTACTTTTCTTCCAAATCCAACAAAAATAAATTTAAAATGTTAGAAATAGTTACTGAGCTTCTAGAAATTGTTATAGTACCGAAAGTGAGGAAATTAATTGTTACCTGGCCCAGGCACTTCACTTTCGCCTAAGCCCCAAATAAAATGGATTTTTCCTCTTCTAGTGATCTATTGATGTATAATGAGCCATCTACAACTTAGTAGCTTAAACCATAGCACCAATCCTTTTTTATTAGCTCTCATAGTTCTGGTGGCTGACTGAGCTCAGAAGGGCCACTCACGGTCCTTTTTGTAGATGCGGTCAGGCTAGGCTGGAGTCACCTGAAGGCTTCTGGACTGACAGGGATGGTGGTGGATGGTGGTTGACGTTGTCTGTTGGTGGGATCTCAGCTGGTGCTGTTGGCTGGAACACCTCTATATGGTCTCTCCATGTGGCCTGAGCTACCCCACAGCATGGTGTCTGGGTTCCAAATGGGAGTGTCCCAATAAGACCAGGAGGAAGCTGCATTGCCTTTCATAACCTGGCTTCAGAAGTCACAGAATGTCACTTCTGCCATAGTTGCAGGTCCACCCAGATTCAAGGATGGACAATAAACCCCACCTCTTTTTGGGAGGAGTGAGAAGACCATTTGGGATAGGAGATCTTATTGCAGTCATCTTGGCTAATGCATTTTCTCCATGTTTTTAAGTATGGAGGTGGTATTCTTTTTAAAAATTATCGTCCTCGTTATCACCATTGCACCAATGTACATGGGTCATGGGCTCCCCAGGCCAGCCCTACCCTTTGCAAACCTGTTCAGACTTCCAGCTCACTAACTTCTCCCCCTCCAGCCCAGGCCCCAGGGCATTCAACCCAGATCTCAGAGGCCTGTGCCCTCCTGCCTTGGGTCCCACAGTGCAGGCCTCCAATATTGTCACTGTTGTCCTCATTCCACTCTTCCACTTTGATCATCACAGTGAAAATTGCTTACAGTCTGCAGAGCTGGGTAGCAATCTCAGCTCTGCATTTACTCCTTAGCATCCTTCATTGAATGGAGATGAAAATCTCTTCCCCTCAGGACCTCCAGGTAGGTGAAATGAGTGGTGGCAAATCACTCAGCATATGGAGAGTGTCTAATGTTGATGGCCAAACTGGCCAATCTCCCTCCCACTTTGTAAAGCAGACCAGGCAGCCTTTATTATTATCATCACATGCATTTTATGCATGAGGCGAATAGGGTTTGCGGGTCTGCCAGACTTCCCGCCAGGCTTGTCCTAGGTGTTCTTTCTACCCAGTCAGCAGCCTGGCTGCTCTGCTCCGTCCCACGGGCTGGGCATTGTGCTGGGAGCTCCATGCACAACCAGAGAGCTGCCTGTCTTCTGCGTGTTGAGCACACACCATGCCAGTTTCCCTAACCCGTAGAAAAGGCTCAATACAAGCTGGGTGTGGTGGCTCATGCCTGTAATCCCAGCACTTTGGGAGGCCGAGGTGGGCGGATTACCTGAGTTTAGGAGTTTGAGACCAACCTGGCCAATATGGTGAAACTCCATCTCTACTAAAAATACAAAAATTAGCCGGGCATGGTGGCGCATGCCTGTAATCCCAGAAAGCTGAGGCAGGAGAATCGCTTGAACCCAGGAAGCAGAAGTTGCAGTGAGCTGAGATTGCATCATTGCACTCCAGCCTGGGTGACAGAGTAAGACTCTGTCTCAAAAAAAAAAAAAAAAAAAAAGAAAGAAAAAGAAAAGAAAGGCTTGATTCAAGTGTGTTGGATGGAAGAGCTAAGTGGTTTGAGGCAAAGATGCCTCTTGGGGAGCCCTTGGGCTCTGTAAACAGCTGTTGGAGAGATCTTTCCAGAACTGGCTCCCCTAGTAGCTTTGGGCTTTGATTCACAGGCCACAATTGCTATATACCCAGGTCTTTTCAGGAACATGTCTGTATCCAGGCAGGTCCATGCAGAAACTATAATCTAGTTTTAGTCCTAAGGATGCTAGTAACCTTTGTGTGGCCTGCCACACTGAATCAGCTAGAGATTCCTAGGCCTCAAGTCTCCTCAGATCCTGATTCAGCAGGGGTGTGTGTGGACATCTGCATGTCAAATCTCCCAGGGAATGCTGGGCCAGCCAGGCTAGTGACCCCCAGAAACCCTGCCCCGTGTAGGAGCACAGCAGCCTGGTAGAGTGATTATAACTGTGGGCTCAGGTGCTGATGGCCAGGGTTTATATCCTGGGTCCTGCAGTTTTAGTAACTGTGGCACCTTGGCTTGTTACTTAGACACCCTGTGCCTCAGTTTCCCCATCTTTAAAATGGAGATAATGGTGGTGGGGAAATCAGGATGCTGTGACAAGGATTAAATGAGTTGCTGCACCAGAACCTCAGCTCACACTTTACAAAGCTGGGTGGATGGGTGGGGTGCCTAGTTTTTGGCTACCTCTTGTATGTTCCTTGAGCCTTGGCTCTAACGAAGCCAGAGCCTTGGCCCCGCTTGCAGGGGGAAGGCAGAAGTCTCTCTCAGACTCCCCTCCAAGACACAGATCCCTTCCCCCCAGGAGCCCACAATTCAGTGGAGACAACATAAGCCAGACACACACACAGGAGGGACTTTTTTCCAAAACGCAAATGAGTGCAAAAGACAGTTTCTATGGTTACTACACACACCTTTAAAAAAAGAGAAGGGTGCGTGTGTGTGTACGTGTGTGTTTAACACGAGACAGAACCCAAAGACCACCTTGAGATTGCTTGCAGTAGACAGCCAGAAGGGAGGATAGGCAGAGGGGTGGACTGCCCACCACATGCCCTTGGCGTGGCCTTGACCTACAGCTACTTCCATGGCTGAACCAGGAAGCAAGAAGCCTCCTCCAGTGGTTGTCAGCCACACAATGCCAAGGGCCAGTCCCTTCCAGGCCAAACCAGAGACAGGGATGTGATTCTCCAGTTCATTTTAGTCAGCTATGAAACCTCAGCCCTGCTGCAGGGGTAGGGGAAGAAATCAGTATGTGTATGGCCAGCAATTATCACACATTTCCTAAAATGTAATGTGTTCACTGCTTAGCTCTTCAGCTTAAGTGACCGAATGAAGATTCCTTTTCCCTGGAATCACTCTGTGACTGTCAGGGCCATCAGGGAGTGAGAAACTCACTTGAGGATGCTGAGTATTTGTGAATTTATCTCCTCTTTAAGATACAGGCCCCAGATTCTGGCCCCTGGCAGTTTCCCTGCATTGTCTTGAGTCTGGAGCTTTCTGCTTGGGTGGGTCTCAGAAATCTTACTGATTTCTGCTTTTTTGCCCACTAAAGGAGATAATTTCACTGCTAAACGGGTCAAATTCTCTTCTGAGGATGGGTCTAAATTCTTGCTAAATATACCTGAATTAACTCTGTCACTGTCTAAATATTTGTGTGTCCCCATAAATTCCTATGTTGAAATCCTAACCCCCCAGGTGATGGTATTGGAGGTGGGGCCTTTGGGAGGTGAAGACGTCATGAGGGTGGAGCCCTTATGAATGGGATTAATGCCCTGATCAAAGAGGCCCAGAGCTCACTCTTGCCTCTTCTGCCATGTGAGGACACAGTGAGAAGACGGCTGACCACGAACCAGGAAGAGGACCCCCACGGCTGCTAGCACATTGATCTCAGACTCCTCAGCTTTCAGAACTGTGAGAAATAAATGTTTGTTGCTTAAGTCACTCAGTCTATGATTTTTTTTTATAGCATCCCAAACTGACTAAGACAAAGCCCTTCCGTGGAGATCTTGGGAGAATTTCACATCATCTGCCCTATTTCCATTTCCTCCATTTCCTATTTTCTGCAAATTGCAGACCCACTAATTCACTGGGTATCTAGGTTGCTTAATAGATAAGCCAGGTGTGTAGCTCTCCATCAGGTCTATGAAGAGTACTGGGGGTGTAGACAAGGCTCTGTGAATTCAAAGTGCTGGTATTCTTTCAAGATGCCCAGACAATCCATGAGAACAGCTGTGTGCTCACCTCCTGAGGTGCCCACCTCCTTTGGCACTGTCTCATTATATTCTGAACAGCCCTGTGAGGTTGGCAAGGTGGTCACCATCCCCACTTTTTAGATGGGGAAGTAGAGGCTCAGAAGGAGTATGCAACTGGGCCAAGGTTGCAGTGCCAGTGAGTGATGGAGAGCCACACTGCACCCAGCCTCTCAGTCTCCGTAAGCCCTAACCTCTGGGCCTCTTACCCTTGTGGCTCTGCACCGAGATTATGACCACCTATGGGCTCAATCTGAGTGTGCTCAATAGAGATCTCTGCTGCTGATACCATAAGACAGTAGATCATCCTTAGCTGCTCATATAAACCATCTGGGGAGCTTTAAAAATTTCCAATGCCCTGGACTGTTCAGCAAGCCATTTAACACAGAGTCCCTGGGAGGGGGAGTCAGAGATCAATGATTTTTAAAGCTTCCCAGGTGATTTCAGCAAGATTAAGAACCACATCTTTGTGCTGAATCAGCAAGAATCAGAGGCTGTCTGCAGGGGGCTGTCCTTAAATTTTAAGAAGCTGATACCCCTTATAGGTAAACTGGATACTGCCCTCCTGCAGGTGGAAGGAAGTGTGTCTTGATGCATTCCTGGTTTCACCATCCAAAGCCAGTCAAAGTGCTTACTGGACCACAATCAGAGATTGTTCAATCAATACCTGCTGTGCCAAAGTCCAAAGAATTATTTCTGGCAATATTATCCCATCTGTGGTCAGATCGTGCTAAGTGATGTTGGCCCTACAGCTGTAATTGATACTCAAGGATGGTGGCCCCATGGCCAAGTCTGTCTTAAAACTGCCCTGTCCAGTGGCATGAAACCTGGAGGCTGAGGATCCTCCCAGAGCTGGGAGGGTGGGTGGTGATGGTAGATCCCTCCCTGGGGAACCATGTACATGCTCTAGTGCCTTGTACAGCTGCCATACCTGTGCCTACAGGAGAAGATGTGTGTGAATTATTATTTATGTAAGACAAAAGAAAAAAGATGAAATATTGAAGGAGCCAAGATTCCTAGGGCAATAAGCCAGCTAGCACATCTACCCTACTGTGATTTGAAAACCTAGCTTCTCAAGTAGGCATGGCCTGATGTATGCCAGTCTGATTTGGTTGAGTTCTTTTTGGTTAAAAAGAGTGTGATGACAAAAATTAGAGGAAAAAAATACATAAACTCTCTATCCTTCCAGGCTTTTCCCAAAAATATATTTTACGGTTGGACTCCTTATATACTGACACTTCCACTTCCTGCTTTTTTTACTCACTGCTTTGCCACCCTGCTACACAGGCCTCAATAAACACAAGTTATTCGCCTATCCACTAGGACTGCATTCATTTCTTCATTATTATTTTTCAGTGAACATTTTCTGCATGTGATGTTTTCCTTTTTCTGGACTGTTTGGTTAACATAAAGTTACAGAACTAGAATTACTGAGTAGGAACTTTTAAATGACTGTATTACTAAATTGCTTTCCAAAAGAGTTACATTGATATATGTTGCCCTCAATAGTAGACACCTGGCAGATCCCATCAAACTTCACCAGGATTTTTTGTATTTTGTAAGTACAAAACACCGCTTACTGCAAAAAATCAGTAAGCTGGTTTTTTTTTTTTTTTTTTTTTTGGCGGCTTAAAATACAAAATGAAAACATGGTGGTGTTGTTATGTGGGCTTCTTTGATTTCTAGCAATTTTCATTCCTTCCTTCATTCATTCATGCACTCACTGATGGATATGTTTATTGGATGCTTATTCTGTGTCAGGCACCATTCTAGGCACTAGGACGCAGTGAGCAAAACATAAAAATCCCCACCCCTGAGGAAATTACCAAATATATGTATTTTTTCTGTACTCTAGCAACCACATGGCTTGATAATAGTGGGGACAGGGCACTCAGGCAATTTCCATGCACACGTTTAATTCATACAGCTGAGTGCTACAGAGGCTCCACAAGACCCTTTTTGCAGGTGATGAAGTGCAGGCTTGCATTGCCTGACATCCCTCATGGGACCCAGAACCCTGGGTCCCCAGTCCCTGATTATTGGGCACTGTCCACCCTCCCTGTGTACAGGAAAGTCAGGCAGAGCTTTGGCAGGGTTGGGCTGGGCACTGACCGAGGTGCCAGGGTGTGAGGGGCACCATACAAACCCTGTCAGTCCCCAGAAAGCCACATCTAGGCCTTCCCAGGAACAAACTCTCCTCCAGATAAAAGCTAAATGGTGAAAGATGTCTGTTTTCAGGGCCACTAAGGGCTAGCTTGCCAGGGTGGCCAGTTCTGTCCTGCCTGGATGCAAGTCGGAGGATTCTTGATCTCCTAGCCTGAGTGGACCACTCACTCCAGTGTCCAGTTCTGAACCTGCCAATTCTATAGCTGTGCTTTCTCTCCAGAAACTGAGTCTCAAAAACATCAAGAACATTCTCCATAACTGCAGTTAATCATTACAGCCAGTAGGATGAGTTCTGCCGAATGCTCTCACATCTATGCTTGTGCTGGGCGTGGGAGCAAGTGTCCCTCCCTGCGGTGTGGCCTGCCTGAGAGGCTGCGGTTTCAATTCACAGTAGGGCAGATGTACTAGCTGGTTTATTCCCCTGGGGATCTTAGCTCCTTCAATACCTCTTGTTGTCTTTTTTTTTTAGCCTTACATAAATAAGAATTCACACACCTCTTGAATTGAAAATAAATACAAACAAAAAAAGGAAATAAAACAGAGATCGCCCCTGTGGACATTATGCTGTATCTCTTTGAAGGTATTGTGTATGCATGTTTGTAGGCAGGTCAAAAAATAGGTAGCTAGTGCTATGGTCTGAATGTGTACCCCCAAGATTCACACCTTAAAACTTAATTGCCAATAGGTGAGGAAGCCATGAGGACAGAGCCCTTACAAATGGGATTCATCACTTTCTAAAAGATGTGTGAGGGAGCTAGCTGTTCACACCTTCCACCACGTGAGGAAGCAGCAAGACGTGCCATCTATGAAGCAGAGAGAGCCTTCACCAGACCCTGAATCTGCCGACACCCTGATCTTGGACTTCTCAAGCTCCAGAAGTGTGAGCAATACATTTCTATGGTTTATAAATTCCCCAGTCTGAGGTATTTTGTTATAGCAGCTCAAATGGACTAAGACAGATGGCTAGCTAGCTAGATATGCAAAATGGGATCATTGCACTGCATACTTTTCATAATATACTTCTTTTCCGCTCAGAATTCTACAGTGATCATCTTTCCATGTTCTTGAATATGTTTCTACAATGTTTTCATGAGTGCATGGTATTTATAAAATGGAAAACTAGCATATCCAACCAGGTCACTTCACAGAGACTTATTAAGGAAAGTATACCTGACAGCTGAATCCAAAAAGAGAGATGGATTTCAATCAAGAGCCCTTTAATTTTGTTCCCAAATTTCATGGTACAGAAAAAAAGTGCTGATGATGGTTACTGACTAGTAAATTTGTTTTTTGGAAGGGTCTAATTTTCATACACAGTGGATTTGCCATGGAAACACCGAGTATGTGCACAAGAGTCCTGTTGGATCTGGAAAAGTGAGGAACTTTGAAAATGCATCACACTGCCTGCGTACTGATGCTGTGAGTTTACTAGTGGGGGGGGGGAGATCATGTTGTCACCACAGACAAAATATGCTTGTTCTTTACTAATCTTTTTGAGCAAACCAGTGCCTTGGACTGATGCCCTTTCTCCTTGAGGAAACAGTATCTCTTGATAAGAAAAAAAAATCCTTTTTTTTTCCTGTCCCTCTGCAAAGAACATGACACTCCAACATTGCTACAAAGTATTTGTGTTTTGTTTCAATCTTTCCCCAAATGCAAGTATAGACGGAACACGAATTTGGAATGAAAAGTAAAGTTTGGATTTGTTTTGAAAATATCTTTAAAAAATAAGAGTTTTTGAACAATGAAAGTATTGATAAAATCACACATCTAAGTTAAACACACTCTCAATCACCTCACTCATGTTTCCTGTTTTGGTTAACACATTTTAATTGACTTTGGTCTTTTCACCGTCGCTCTTCCACCTGCAATGCTGGACTGAGTGTCATGCATTGTCCGGGAACCCAGATCCTGGAACTTCCGGCAGAGTCTGGAGTTGTCACCTGTTGTTGTGTAAGAACCATCTCTGCCAGTTCTTATGAGGAGCTGCCTAGCAGAGAATTCAACATTGACCTGAGCCAGCTTAGCGAGCTCGTACAACAGCTGGGCTGGTTATTCCTCTGGGCCACTGGTTCTTACCTCTGGTTGTTCATTAGTCATCAGGGGAATTTTTGAAAAGTATGGGAGCCTGTCCACACCCAGAGATTTGGTTCTAACGGGTCCTCAGTGAGCCAGGACATTGGTTTGGGTCCCACTGGTTTAGTTCCCCTCATTAGGACTTTTGCTCTGGAACATGCTGCATTTTCCCAGGCCCAGGGCAAAGAAGAATGTCCTACATGATCAGAATTTAAGGGACTGTTATGCTGCTTTCCTACCTGACTGTTCACCTAGTCTTTTTTTTTTTTTTCCAAAATGTAACACCATGAAAAGTTTATCTCTCTCAAAAAATAGACACAATGGTATTAATGACAACAGCAGTTGCAGCTCCTGGAGGTGGTTCCATTGGCAGGCCCTGGCTCCCTTCAGACAAGGTTCACAAGTTGGTAAGGCTGGACTTCCATTTTCCAGTAGATACAGGAGCTTGGTGAGCTGGAAACACAATGGCAGAAACTACTTTCATCAAGCTTAAAGATATACTGTGTCTTTCTCCTATCTCTGCATAGCCTTTAATCATTTTTTATTTTGATAGAAACAATACTATTTCTGTAATACCTTCATTAAAAGCTACTACATATCCTCTTGGGAAGTGGACAGAGACTACATTGCAAATTAACACATTTATTCCCAAATTGACGTAAATAACATAATGATGTTTATGTATCACTGGATTTCTCAAGGCAAAAGGGGAAATCTATCTGGTGTGGTGGAGAGTTTCCAAAGATGGTCGCCGTCCCTTCATTCTATCCTCTACGCACTTGCCACCACCCACTGAGAGGTGGAATCTACCCCATGCCCACCCCCACCTCTCGCCTGAGTCTGGACTGGCCCTGGGACTGCTCTGCCCAAGAAAATCCTACAGAATTATACTCTGGGACTTCTGAGCCAAGACCTTAAGTGTTAACTGGCAGCTTCTGCTACCTTCCTTCCCCTGGGCCCCAGTCTCCATGCTAAAAGAAGACGGGGCCACATACAGAGGCATGTGGAAGAGAACCTAGGCTCCGTGGTGACAGCCCCAGCACGAGTCAGGGTCGCAGCCAGCAGGTAGCACCGAATGCCAGCCACATCAGGGGAGACTGCTTGGAGGCTCCAGCCCGGTTGAACTCCAAATGACTGTAGCCCCTGCTAATGTCACCAGTGTCACACGGAAATGGAAACCTACCAAGCAGTCAACCCACAGAAATAATAAAATGACTGGGTTTTTTTTGTTTGTTTTTGTTCTTTTTTTTGAGATGGAGTCTCGCTCTGTCGCCCAGGCTGGAGTGCAGTGGCACGATCTCGGCTCACTGCAAGCTCCGCCTTCCGGGTTCACGCCATTCTCCTGCCTCAGCTTCCTGAGTAGCTGGGACTACAGGCGCCCACCACCACGCCCACCTAATTTGTTTTTGTTTTTGTATTTTTAGTAGGGATGGGGTTTCACCATGTTAGCCAGTATGGTCTCCATCTCCTGACCTCCTGATCCACACACCTAGGCCTCCCAAAGTGCTGGAATTACAGGGGTGAGCCACTGCGCCCGGCCAACTGTTGTTTTTAACCACTACATTTGGGGATGATGGCCATAGATTAAAAACAACGACAATAAAGCTGTGGCTTGCCCCAGGTTATAGCAATTGTATGAATCAGGATTCTTCAGAGAAATAGAACTAATAGGATGGAGAGAGAGAGAGAGAGAACCTGAAAGCTGCAGAGCAGGGTGACAAGCTAGAACATCTGGTAGGAGTTAATGTTGCAGTCTGGGATCCTAAATCTAGAAAACTTGAGCAGGATTTCTATGTTGTAGTCTGGAGGAGAATTCTGACTTCCTTGGGGGACCTCAGTCTTTTCCTTTCAGGCCTTCAACTGATGGAATGAGGCCCACTCATGTTATGACAGGTAATCTGCTTGGCTTTAGTCAAAGTCTGTTGATTTCAATGTTAACGACATCTAAAAAATGCCTTCACAGAAACATGGAGACTGGTGCTTGACCAAACAGCTGGGTAGCACGGCCTAACCAAGCTGACATAAAAATTAGCCACCGCAGCAATGAAACCTGGGAGTTGCCCTGGCTTTCAGGCCTGCACACAAGGCTGTCACTCCTCGGCTACTGCTGGAGACAATACATGAACTCGACACACCCAGGGCCAGCCACGAGCCCGGTGCCGTGGGACAGCCTAGCTTCAATCCCTCGAGTGGAGGAAAGATAACCACAGCCAGCACCATCTCCACTTCCCTCTGGATGAGTTCAGCCCTGAAAAGAGAGAAGGGGTTTTTGCTTGCTTCTACACCCGGAGATATCAGAAAGCCCAGATTCTAAATTCACCCCTCAAAGTGAGGAAAGTGAGGGCCAGGTGGGACTCAAGCCGGCCACTCATCACCAAATGGTCCTTTGTAGCAAATGGACATTTCCACCATTCCAGGTTGCTAGTGATACTGAGCTGCTTCTAGAAGGGGATGCCCAATTTAGTTTTATGTGGAATTCAGTTTCAAGGACAACTAAATAAAAAAGAGCAACTGTGTACAGGGTTTGTAAAAATAGACAACTGATGAACTGCTTTCTCCTCTGGCCTGGCCCTCTTTCAGCCCCTTGATCCCTTCTCTTCGGACTGGTCTTTATAAAGGACAAATCTGATCATATGATTCCCTTGCTGAAAATCCTTTCTTGGCTCCTTGTTGCCTATGGCAGTTTCTCAAAATACGGTGTGTGGCACATCAGGTGGCTTTAGGTGGCATAAAAATTGATGCTGTTTATTTTAATAGTGACTTTTTGGGTTTTGTGGTCATCTTCTATTTAGGACAAGTAACATGGTTTTTCATTTTGGTAGTGGAATTAAATGGATTTACTTCTCCATTGGTCTGAAGAACAGTGTTAGGCTAACAGTGATCTGGATGGTGGGAAATGGCAGAGTCATGGAGATGGACTCAGACGTGGGGAGTAGCAGGGCCCGGGGGCCCTGCCGGGTCTGCCACCTTCCTCGTCTCCTTTCTTCTCTCCACCGGAGGACTCACCTTTATCTCCCAATAAATAGCAAAGAGCCAGCAATTGCCAGGACCACACCTGATGACATTGCTAATCCCACTGTCTGGAATGCTCTGCCCCCAAGGCCCCACTACGTGGAAGACTCCTATTCATCTTTCACATCCCAGCTCAGGAGTCACTGCTTTCATTAGGCTTCCTTCAAATTGTTTCCTTCCACGGTCCCTGTAGCACGGACCCTCCCCTGTGTGTCACTCACCAGGAATAGGGACCGTGTTGGGGATGTCCTTAGAAGCTTGGGCGCTTCTGCAGGACTCAGGATGGGAGGAAAAGACTCTGTCACACTGCGAGACAGGAACTGGCAGCTGATGTCCGAGGGCAGGGTATAAAAGAAAAGGCGGCTACCTGCTTATTGCCATAAGTCCCAGGGCAGCCGGGTGCTGTCTGAAGGGGTCCCCTCCCAGGCCCAATTTCTCAAACCCAGGGAGAACACCTCTCGTCTTCCCCACTCCCCTCCCTGCCCCCTAACTTCTATTTTCCGGAGACTGAAGACAAGCAGAGGCCTGTGTGTGGTGTGTCAGGGCTCCTCTCCCAGTCCCGTGTTTCCCTCACAGCAGGGAAATCCTTCCTGTGCAGCCCCCTCCAGAAGGGAACACCTGCCCCTGATTTTACCAAGAGCCAGATCAGTATCATTGTTTGCACAGAGAGAAACCCTCCTACTGTGATTGCCAGTGATAGCAGTATGGGTTGTGGGAAGTGGGAGGAGTCAGGACTGGGACTCTGTCTGCTCCATGGCTTCCGGCTCGGTGGAGCGAGAGTGCCACAAGCTGTAGAGGACGGGGCTCATCCTCTTATGTGAAAGTGGGAAGCAGACAGGCTTCTGGGGGTTTCCGGTTCCTGCGCCTTGACCCCTGACCGGCAGCTGGTCTCAAAGCTGTCTTACCACTTAGGGCTACAATAGCCGGGCTCTGGCGCTTGGCTACCTGTCTGTGAAGTGGGCGTCTGGATGGACACTGGTAACCTCTCTGCATGCGTGGCTTTGCTTTCTTTTTGACTCTGCTCTTCCCTGGCTGCAGGGAGTGGGACTGTCAGCCAAGGGTGATCCCATCACCTGGTTGGCCAATCAGAGAGTCTGTGCCCCTGCCACAGTGATTGGTCCTGGAGTGGCCCAATTACAGTCCTCTTTGGGCAACTGGTGTGAACCCTGGGAGAGAGAAGTTCAGAAGTTATTCTGAACTCAAGAGTGTAAGGATGAGGCAAGAAATTAATCTAGAGAATAAAGTGAGCACAGGAGAAAGTACAGCTGAAGAGATGGGGGAGAGGACAGAGGAAGAAAGGAGGGATCTGAACGCAGGAACATAGCCCCCTAGCGTGAGTGGCCCCTCCACTTGGGGTGAGAAACCTGACTCACTCTGGGGCTTATGGAATCAGTGGATGGGAAAGAGAGCATTTGATTAGATGTCTGGCCCAGAGTAGCCCAAGAAAGAATGGTCCCAATGCCACTGTCTCCCAGTCTGCCTGGAAAGACCGTCAGGGGCAAGTGGTCCTGGTTCAATGTTCACAGTCTCAAAGAAAGCCTGCCTCTCCACTGAGGGGTCACCCTGGTGCCGTTGAATTATGACTGGGCATGGAGAGTCCCCGGGGCTGTGGTTAGGGTGCTATCAATGCCTTCTGACACCTGTAGAGACTGATGGAGGAAGCCAGCCGCACTGTGAAAGGGGGTGGATGTTCTAGTACTTTCTACAGAGAAGCTGTTTTCACTTGCAGGCTGCCAAGTTGGGGCTGGGCTGCTCTGTCAAGTGGAGAGAGGCCCTCCTCCCAGCTGCTGGAGGGAAGACCAGCCAGAGCTTGGTTCTAAGCTGTCTCTGGACCTGCAGAAGTTCTCTAACCTCCTGTAGCCTCAGCCCCTCCAGAAGTGCTCCTTTCTGGCACCTGGGAGTAAAATGGAAAAAGCACAGCTCCCTGCTCTCCATCTTTATTTTGTTCTGCAGTTTAAAAATTGAGATATAAATTACATAGAATAAAATCTATATGTAAAAAGCAAGTTTTATTTATGTATGACCCCATGCAACCATCACCCACTCCAGGATCCAGAGCATTTCTGCCACCCTAGAGAAGGAGAGAGTCCCCTCCTGTCCCATCTAGTAAACCCCTCTCCTCAGGAGTAACCATGACTCTGATGTCTGTCATCACAGGTTAATTTTACCTGTTCTTAAACATAAAAATGGAATCATACAGTAAACATTCTTTTTGAGTAGTTTCTTTCATCCAGAATGTTTTTGAGATTCATCCAAGTTTGTGTGTCAGCAGTTTATTCTTTTTCATTGCTGAGTAGTTTTTCATTGTATGTATGTCTAGACAGTGACAGTCACAAGGATACATTCTGAGAAATGCGTCATTAGGTAATTTTGTGTTGTGTGAACATCATAGAGTGTACTTACACAATTCTACACTTTGCAGCCTACTGCATACCCAGGCTGTAAGGCCTATTGCTCCTAGGCTACAAACGTTTGCTGCATGTTATTGTACTGAATACTGTTGGCAATTGTAACACAATGGTAAATATTCATGTATCCAAACATACCTAAAAATTAAAAAAGGTATGGTAAAAATATGGTATAAAAGATAAAAATGGCACGCCTGTACAGGGCACTTACCATGAATGGAGCTTGCAGGACTGGAAGTTGCTCTGGTGAGTCAGTGAGTGAGTGGTGAGTGAATGTGAAAGCCTAGGATGTTATTGTACACCGCTGTGGACTTTATAAACAGTGTGCACTTGGGTGATAGGAATTTTTCCTTCCATTATAATTTCATGGGACCATGATTGTGCAGAGCATGACTGTATTACATTTGGATTGTGTCTAGATAAACATTTAATAGGTATTTGAGTTGTGTCTTGTTTTTAGCTATTACAAATAAAATTTATGAGCATTTTGATGGATATTTGCACTTAACTTCTCCTTGAGAAAAACCTAGGAGTAGAATTCCTGGGTGATCTGAGAGGTGAATGTTTAATTTTGCTAGAAAATCCCAAACATTTGTCCAATGTTACTGTATCATTTTGCATTTCTACCAGCAGTGAGAGCTCCAATTGCTTTGTCTACTTGCCAACATTTGGTATGGTCAGTCTCTTTAGACACTTAAGTGGGTGTGTTATGGTATCTTGTTGTGGTTTTAATTTGCATTTCCTTGATAAATAATGGTTTGAGAACATTTTCATGTGCTTATTGGCCATTTAGATATCCTCTTTTGTGAAGCACTTGGTCAGTCAAGGCTTTTGCTTACTAAAAATTTTTTTCTTGCCAGAATAAATTGGGATGTTTATAACTTTTCTACAGGCAGCAATATGGAAATTACTAGGAGTTATACTTTTATTACTTTCAGATTATTTGCATTAAGACCATAAGTTTTCAAATGAGTGGTACAAAAGATAAGAAACAAAATTGTGTTAAAATATCCTTGAGGCAATCAAGTATAAAAATGACACTAATTTATTTTATTGTGATGAGAAGAAATAAGATAGTTTAAGCATGATCTGAGGTAAGAATTGTAATTCTTTAACCAGGCAAGAATCAAAAGTTAATCCAAACAATTTTCAGATACAGAATACCATTTGTGCTTTTTTTTTTTTTTTTTTTGAGACAGAGTCTCTCTGTTGCCTGGGCTGGAGTGCATTGGTGTGATCTCAGCTCACCTCAGCCTCTGCCTCCCAGGTTCAAGTGATTCTCCTGCTTCAGCATCCTGAGTAGCTGGGATTACAGGTGCCTACCACCAAGTCCGGCTAATTTTTGTAGTTTTAGTAGAGACACAGTTTCTTCATGTTGGCCAGGCTGGTCTCAAACTTCTGACTTCAAGTGATCCACCCACCTCGGCCTCCCAAAATGCTGGGATTACAGGCATGAGCCACAGCACCCGGCCCCATTTGTGCATTTGTAAGGTCCATTATAGTAGTTACATTTCCAGAAAAACTAAAAGAAATTCTGAGATATAATGTGAAATGAAATTTGGCACGCAGCTCTTAATATCACTTTTACTTAGCATGCATTGGACACCTACAGTGCAGGTGAGGAACACTGTTAGGCGTCCAGCAGAGACAGGATGGATGGGCACCATCAGCAAGCATGCATCAGATCCCAAAGTACCCTCTCTATGGGGCTTCTTGAGTTTTCTCTGCAGCTGTTTTTTGTTTGTTTGTTTGTTTGTTTGTTTGTTTTCCTTATTTGCTGGTGTTCTGCTAGAACCAGGTTAAATTGAATTTTTGTTTTCACTATACTTTACTATTCTTTTTCTGAGCTGGCATCACTAGGCTATCCAGTTGTCTTGATTGCAGTACTCTAAATCAATTGGCCCTTCCCTCAATCTACCTAATTCACACAATCTTTCAGCCACGGGAGCACATCTCACAAAATGAGAAGCGTCTTTCCTAGTAGCTGTAATCTGCTTCAATTTGCTGCCTGGTAAAGCTATTGTGAGCTTGCTGAATCACTGCTATGTTGCTCATAGCTGTGTCCAAACTGTGAAAATTGCCCAGTCTCTGATCATGTCTCACCTCAGTGGGTACAGGTCAATAGCACAATTGGTGTGATGGTTCATTTTAAGCGTCACTTTGGCTGGGCTACAGTGTCTAGACATGTGGCCAAACATTATTCCAGATGTTTCTGTAGGTGTTTTTGGATGAGATTTTTACATTGAAATGGATGGGCTTTGAGTAAAGCAGATCACCCTCATAATGAGGATGGGCCTCATCCAATCAGTTGAAAGACTGAATAAAACAGAAGATTAAGCAAGAGGGGATTCTGCAGCCTATGGCCTTCAGACTTGAACTGCAACATTGACTCTTCCTGGGTCTCCAGGTTGCCAGCCCACCCTGCAGATTTTGGACTTGTCAGCCTCCATAATCATGTGAACCGATTCCTTAATATAAATTTCTTCATATACCTATATATACAGTCACACACTGCATAACAATGTTTTGGTCAATAAAGGATCACATATCTGATGGTGGTCTCATGAGATTATAATAGCATAATATATTATATATTCTATATATAAATTATATATTATAATTATAATATATAATATATTATTATAATATAATAAAATTCCTATCACCTAGTGATTTCATAGCCATCACAATATCACAGGACAGCATATTACTCAACAAGGCTGTGGTTGAGACAGCAAACAACGGTTCCTGAGAAACTGACTAATGAGTTGTAGGAACTGGAACCAGAATCCATAGCTGAAGAGAGGCAAGAGAAAAGAAACTGCAGGAGAAGAAAAGAAGAACCCCTGAGAAAATTCACAGTGAAGCATTTGGCAGAAGCTTTTGCAGACCTCAACTTTTTCTTTAAAAAGTTTGAAAGTGACCCCCGACACTGAAAGGTTTTTATTAATAGAGAGGAATGTTCGTGGTGCATTATCTGTTTACAAACAAATCTGTGATGAAAAAAAGAAACAACTAAGCAAGATGCTATGGACATATTTCTGAAAAGAGTGACACCTCCTCAAGAAGATCCTCAGTCAGGTCCTTCAGGCGGTGTTCCAGAAAAAGGCGTTGCTATCATAGGAGATGACAGCTCCGTGCATGTTATCATCCCTGAAGACCCTCCAGTGGGACGAGATGTGGAGGCGGAAGATACTGATACTGATGATCCTGACCCTGTGTAGGCCTATGCTAATGTGTGTTTATGTCTTAGTTTTCAACAAAAAGGTTTAAAATTTAAAAATAAAAAATTTCTAAATAGAAAAAAGCTTATAGAATAGGGATATAGAGAAAGACAATATTTTCGTAGAGCTTTACAGTGTGATTTTGTTTTAAGCTAAGTGTTATTACAAAAGAGTCAAAATGTTAAAAAGAAGTTTAAAGTTTATGAAGTAAAAAAGTTACAGTAAGCTAAGGCTAACTTATATATTTTAAAAAATATTTTTAGAAATTTAGTGTAGCCTAAGCGCACAGTGTAATGTCTTAGTTGCTCACGGACTCGCCCAGAGCAACTTCCAGTTCTACAAGCTCCATTGATTGGAAGTGCCCTATATAAGTGTGCAATTTTCACTTTTTATACTGTATTGTTACTGTACCTTTTCTATGTTAGATATGTCTACATAGACATATATACCTACCATTGTGTTATAATTGCCTACAGTATTCAGTATAGTAGCATGCTGTACAAAGCCTAGGAGTGACAAGCTATACCACATAGTCCAGGTGTGTGGTAGGCTATGCCATCTAGGTGTGTGCAAATACACCCTATGATGTTTGCACAACGATGAAATTGCCTAAGGACACATTTCACAGAATGTATCTTTGTTGTTATGCAACACATGGCTGTATATACACACATCTTTTGATTCTGGCTCTCTGGAGAACCCGCATATACTTGACAAAAATGTCAGGGTAAGCCTGGAGTCCTGCTGGTTGTTCTCCTGTCTGTCATGTTAAAAGAAAAATAAAACTATTAACTGGCTTTCATTTTTAAACATTCCCAGGCCCCAAATTCTATATCCCCCTGGAATCAGCATGGCTGCAGGAACATCTTCTCTCTGCCGGTCAAGGACACTCCTCAGCAGAGTGGCCCTTTCCGAAGCTGAAACAACTTCTGCCTCTACTTGCATGGCTTCCCAAAGGCTGGATCCTTGTGGGAATGCATTTCAAAAGGGAAGAATCAACTGATTTCGGGGCATGCAATCAAGACCCTAGGTATCAGTATGAAGGAGTTCTTCATATAATCTGGATATGAGCCTCAGTTAGGTATATGTATAGTAAAGAGTTTCTCCCAGTCTGTGGCTGCCCTTTTCCCTTTATTCATGATGTCTTTTAATACACATAAATTTTAATTTTGATAAAGCCCCAGTCACCTCTTTACAAATTTTATGCTTATTGCTTTTTTGTGTCTTAAAATATCTTTGCCTACCTGAACATCATGAAGACATTCTCCCATGTTCTCTTCTCAAGAACTTTACTATTAGTTTTCAGACTTAGGTTTATGATCCATCTCAAGTTAATATTAGTGTTTGGTGTGAGGTAGGTGGTCAAGATTTTTTTTCCATATGGATATCTGGTTGCTCCAGCAACATTTATTGAAAATAACTTTCTTTTTCCTATCTAACTGTTTGGCACCTTTGTCAAAAATCATTTGACTATAGGTGTAGTCATTTTTATCCAACAAGTTTTTGGGTGGGTGGCCGCAGACATTTGGTCTGGAGCTATACTACCTGGACAAGAATGTATCAGGGTCATGAACTTGTCCTCATAGTGCAAAGATTTCTGGTCACTTCCATTTCCCAGTCACCTTTGTGAATTACTACTTGGAAGTTTTATGATACCACCAAGCCTTGGTTTTGCTGTCAAATACCCAAGGTGCTTGACCCCTCCCTGCCACAGTTTCCTTATCGGTAAAATGGTATAATGGCAATAACTGATGCATGGGGCTGTTGCAAGATCAATGGGGTCACGAATGCAATGAGAACACTCGCTATTGCCTGTTTCCTCCTTACCACTGTGAGCTCCTTGAGAGCAGAGACCATGTTTTATGAATCTGCATTTCAGTGCTTGAAAGGATACCTGGCATATGGCAGGTGTTTCTTAAATGTATGGAGAATAAACTATATTCTTTTAGATGGTGTAGATAGAACCATTTGTATGGCAGTCTGTTGTTATTTTATTCCTACCCAATCCAGGGGACTTGTCTGTCTTTATCTTATTTGACACACTTGACTGCTCCTTCCTGAAGCCCTTTATTCTCTTTGCTTCTAGAATACCACACATTTTTTGCTCTCCTCCTGCTGTACTGAATGTTCTTTCTTAGTCTTCTTGGTCATGCCTGTTGCCTCTGCTCTAAGGACTTTTCTGCCCAGGGATCGTCTTCCACCCCTTTTCTTCTCTATGCCACACTGTCTCTCTTGGTGATCCCTTCTTCTCTCATGGCTTTAAGTTCTATTTGCTCACAACTCCTGAATGCCTGTATCCATCCTGAGCCCACAGTCATGTACGCCATGACCTACCCCACTTAGGCTTAACAGGCATTTCACTTCAAAGTAGTCCAAAACAAAGCAGGAGATTTTTCCCACATGTGATTTTATTTCACTCTGTCTTGAGTTCTCAAGTTTTTCAAGACAAAATCTTCCGAGTCAGTCATGGCTCTTCTCTTTATCCTCACTCCGCTTCTCTAGTTCTTTATCAGGTCCAGTTTGACTCTATCTCTAAAACCATTTCTGAATGTGTCAATTTCTTTCATTCTAACTGGCTCTACTACAAGTCCAAGTCACCATCCTCTCTTGACTGGGCTACTGCAGTGGACTCTGGCCTGGTCTCTAAGCTTTCTTTCTTGAGGGATCTGGTCATACCACTCCCTATGCAAAACCCTGTTGTAGAGCAAAGTCCAGGCTTGTTGCTTTATCCTAAAAAGCCCCATGGCAAGGGCCTCTGCCTGACTCCTTGACTTTGTGGACAAATGGGTTTATCTATGGGGAAATAAGAATGCAACATTCCTGACATCATGGAGGCCCAGCCTTCTATCTAGAGTTATATAACATCTTGGAAGGTTCCAAAGGCATTAAGTCAAGTCCAGGTTTGTCAGTTTCTCCAAAAGATGTCAATGAAAACTGCATACGTCTTGCAGCTGAATATCTAAAGTATCAATTGCCTGAAAAATACTGATGAGCAAAATCCACTGGTGGCTACAAAGGTGATTATAAAGCAGTAGTGACCTAGTCGTGGGGAGATAGCACACTGAGTTAAGGAAAGCTTGTGGGTGTTCTGGCCAGACTGACCTAGGTTCAAATCCTTGCTGTGCCCTGTCCAGGGAATGTTAGCTGCTGAAGCTCTCTGGGCTTTATCAGTAACAAGGGGTGATTTTGCCCTTTGAAGTTTGCTAGAAGATTTTCTGACAGAGTGTCCTTTTCAGCGAGTGACAGAAATGCAGTAGGTAGTCTCTTTCTCCTTTCCTAGAGATGAAAAGAAACAGGAGCTGATGAGAAGTTCTAGGCCTATTGTTCTAGAATACCCAGGCCTATTGGTGTACTGCCCCTTCTACCCTACCTCAGCATGGTGTGGTTCATTCTGGAAAAGGCTCTGCAGAGGCACGAGATTTTCTGGCAAGAAGCAGATTGCTGCTTTAGATGGCTGTGTCCTGGCAGGACCACCTTAATGACTTGTCTCAGCACATTTAGGGTGTCAAAAATAGCCCTTAAATCTGGGCCCCTTCATAGCTCAGAAGAACCTGGGCATAATGTAGAAATTATTCTCTAGTGAGAACAAGATCTACAGGGTGGAAAAATAGAAACCTTAAAAGTTAGGAAATAACAAGAACAGAAAAACAGTATACCTTGTAGATTATTTTTAAATGACCAAATTGAAGACCATGGGATTTTTTTTTTTAAACAAACAAGCTAGGAGACAGTGGTTAGTTTTGACATTGATGTAGTTGTAGGGAACTCTAGTTTGTGGTCAGCCCAAGGTACTTTCCATGCACATGAATCACCACATGCACTTAACTTGAGCAGAGCTCAATTTCAGATTCTTTAAACCAAAGTGAAAAGCCCCAAGTTAGGTTAACTGGCAGGCACATACTGTAGACAGCCCAGATCTGGGAATTTTAAAAAAAGTGTGTGGAAACAAACATATTTTGGTGGTTTTTGACATAATTATTGTCTCTTTCTCACAGTGATTTGCATAATGTTGCAGAGGTGTTGCCTGGCAAGCTCCAGTTAAAGTTGCAGATTTTGTGTGCACCTGTTTGCAGGCTAGATAGAGAACAGTCATATGCAAGTAAAATCTTGGTACCCTCCATTGCTCGATTTACTTTTTTGAGCAGGCTTATTGCTGTATAAATAACCTACAAAAATTCCACATATTTGAAGTGTAGATATGTTTTTGCATATGTATATATCCATGAAACCATCATAACAATCAATATAGTAAATATTTCTATCACTCCCAAAAGTTGCTTCATGTAATTTATAATTTCCCTCCCAAGCCTCTCTTCCTCACTACTAGTTTGTTTTATATCACCAAAGATTTTCATTTTCTATAGTTTTATTAAAATGGAATAAAGAGTATATGGTCTTTTTTGACTGGTTTGTTTTACTTAATATAATTATTTTTGAGATTTATGCATGTTGTGATTATCCATTACTATTATTTTCTTTTTTTTCTTTTTTACTGAGTAATAGTCCATTGTATGGATATATCACAATTTGTTTATCCATTCATCTGTTGATGAACTTTTGAGTTGTCTCCAGTTTGGGGCTATTTACCAATAAATGTACCATGAACATTGGTGTACAAATCTCTGTATGGATATCTGCTTTCTTTTCTGGTAGAACTGAGAGGCTGGGACATGTGGTAGGTGCATGTTTAACTTTTCACGAAACTTTAATCTGTTTTCCAAAGTGGTAGTTTGATTTTACATTACCAATAGCATTGTATGAGAATTTCATTTCCTCCATATCCTCACCCCATATGGTCAGTCTTCTTAATTTTAGCAATTCTAAAATACATGTAGTGGTATCACATGGTGGTTTTAATTTGAACTTCCCTAATGATGCTGACATCTTCTCATGTGCTTATTACCATCCATATATCTTCTTTGGGGAAATGTCTGTTGAAATCCTTTGCCTATTTTATTTTTAATGGGGCTATTTTCTTATTATTGAGTTTTAAGAATTCTTCATATATTCTGGATATAAGTGCATTATCAGATGTGTATTCTTGGCAAACATTTTCTCCCAATCTGTGGCTTATTTTTTCAATCTCTTCAGAGTATCTTTCAAAGAATGAAAATTTTAAATTTTGATAAAGTCTAATTTATCAATTTATTTTTTATGGACTGTGTGTTTGGTGTCATACCTAAAAACTCTGCCTAACCCAAGGTCATGAAGATTTTCTTTTATGTTTTCTTCTAAAGGTTTATAGTTTTAGATTTTACATTGAGATCTGCAATCCATTTGAATCACTTCTTTTTATATAATGCACGTTTGCATCCAAGTTCATTGTTTTTGTCTGTTTCTGCATACAGGAATCTAACTCTTCCAGTACTGTTTGTTGAAAAGGCTATCCTTTCTTCATTGAATTGCTTTTGCAATATTGTCCAAAATCAGTTGTCCATATTTTTGAGTGTGTCTATTTCTGGACTTTCTATTTGGTTCATTGATCTTTTCCTCTATCTTGCTGCTAGTACTAGAATATTTTGATCACTTGTAGCTTTATAATAAATCTTGAAAGCAGATAGTTTTAGAACTTCATCTTTTCTCTTTTTTAAAGTTATATTGGCTCTTTTGGTTTTGTTCGCACTTCCATATGAATTTCAAATCTGCTTTTCAATTTCTACAAAAAGCCTGCTAGAAATTTGATTAGCACTGCATTGGGAAGAGTTCTCATTTTAGCAATACTGAGACTTCTGACCTTTAAACAAAGTATATCTCTCCGATTATTTAGGTCTTCTTTAATTTATTTCAGCAATGTTTTGTAGTTTTTAGTGTACAGGTCTTACACTTATTTTGTCAGATTTACCCATAAGTATTTCTTTCTTTTTTTTTGAGACAGAGTCTCAGTTTGTTCCCCAGGCTGGAGTACAGTGGTTCAATCTCAGCTCCCTGCAACCTCTGCATCCCAGGTTCAAGTGATTGTTGTGTCTCAGCCTCCCAAGTAGCTGGGATTATAGGTACAGGCCACCATGCCCAGCTAATTTTTTGTATTTTTAGTAGAGACAAGGTTTTGCCCTGTTGCTCAGGATGGTCTTGAACTCCTGGCCTCAAAGGTATCCACCCGCCTCAGCCTTCCAAAGCAATGGGAGTACAGGCAAGAGCCATAACGCCTGGCCAGTATTTCATATTTTTGATGCCATTCTAAGCAATTGAATTTTAACATCTGACAGTTCACTACTAGTACATAGAAATACAGTGATATTTTACATTTTTTCTGTGTTCTGACATGTTGCTGATGTGGTTTGGCTCTGTGTCCCCACCCAAATCTCATCTTGTAGCTCCCATAATTCCCATGTGGTATGGGAGGGGCCTTGTGGGAGACAATTGAATCATGGGGGTGGGTCTTTCCCATGCTGTTCTCCTGACAGTGAATGGGTGTCATGAGATCTGGTGGTTTTAAAAACAGGAGTTTCCCTGCACAAGCTCTCTCTTTGCCTGTTGCCATCCACATAAGATGTGACTTGCCCCTCCTTGCCTGCCGCCATGATTGTGAGGCCTCCCCAGACATGTGGAACTATAGGTCCAATAAACCTTTCTTTTGTAAATTGTCCAGTCTCAGGTATGTCTTTATCAGCAGCATGAAAACGAACTAACACAGTTGCTAAACTTACTTTTAAATTCTAGTATGTAAAGTGTACATTCCTGAGGATTTTATATATACATAATTGTGCCAACTATGAATCTTTCCAGTCTATGCCATTTATTTATTTTTCTTTATCTGTTTTGCTGGCTAATATTTCCAGCACTGTTAAATAGAGTGGTGAGAGCAGACACTTTTCCCTGATTCTTGAATTTAGAGTAAGAAAACTCCATCTTTTATCATGAAATATGATATTAGCTGTAGGTTTTTCATAGCTACCCTTCAATTGTTCAATTGGTTGAGAAAATGCTTTTCTATTCCTAGTTTTCTAATAGTTTTTAATCAGGAATGGGTGTTGGGTTTTTTTCAGATTTTTTTTCTACATCTATTTAGATGATCATATTGCTTTTATTTTGTAGTTAATAGTGATTTACATTGATTGGGTTTTGAACATCAAAACCCAATCAATGTATTCCCGGGATAAACCCTTCTTGTTCACCATGTTTTATCCTTTTTACATATTGTTGGATTAGATTTGCTAAATTTCTTTAGAAATGTTGCATTTATGTTCATGAGAGTTAGTTATTCATCTATAGTTTTCTTTGTTTCACTTTAAAATCAGAGCAATAATAGGCTCATAAAATAATTTGGAATTATTCTCATCTCTTCAATTTTCAGAAAACGTTTGTAAGGATTGTTATTTTTCCTTCTCTTAATGTTTGGTAGAGTTCACTAGTGAAGCCATGTCAACCGGGAATTTTCTTCATGCATACATTTTAAACTAAACATTCAATTTATTCCGTAAATAGAGGATTGTCTGGGTTCTTTCTTTCTTTTTGAGTGGGCTCTGGTAGATTGTGCCTTGCCAGGAATTTATCCATTTTATCTAAGTTTTAAAATTTATAGGCATAAAAGTTTACAATACTTCCTTATTATCCTTTTAATATCTGTAGAATCTGAGTGATCCCACCTTTATAAATCCTAATATTGATGAATTTGTGTCTTAAGTAATTTTTTAAATCAATACACCTAGAGGTTTTTAAATTTTATTGATCTATTCAAAGAACTAGCTTTTGGTTTTATTGATTTTTTCTATTTTTTTCTGTCTGCTATTTTATTGATTTTTCATTCTGATCTTTATTATTTCCCTTTTAATGCTTACTTTGGCTTAATTTGCTCTTCTTTTCTAATTTTTAAAGTGGAAGATGAGGTCATTGGCTTGAGATGTTTTCTTTTTTCTAAAGTAGAAATCCAGTGCTGTATATTTCCTTCTACATATTGCTGAAGTGGCATTCCACTATTGTTGATATATTGTGTTCTCATTTGATTATTTTTCAAGATATTTTCTAATTTTCCTTTTGATTTCTTATTTTACCCCTGGTTATTGACAAACACATTACTTTGTTTCCAAACCTTTGGGAATTTTCCAGATAGATTTCTGCTAAAGAATTCTATTTTAATTACAGATTGCTCCGAAAACATACTTTGTTTGACTTGAATCCTTTTAAATGTATTATGCATTGTTTATGGCTCAGAATATAGAATATATCTTGAAAAATGTTTCACGTGCCCTTGTAAACAATGTGTATTCTGCTATTTCTGCATGACGTGTTCTATAAATGCCAAGTAGGTATATTTTATTAGTAGTGTTGTTCAAGTCATCTATATCCTTGGTGATCTTTTTCTTTACTCATTCTATCAATTATTGAGAGAGAGGTATTAAAATATCTAATTTATATCTGTATTTGTTAATTTCTCCTTATAGTTTTATTGATTTCTGTTTTATGTACTTTGGAGCTCTGTTATTAGGTGCATAAACATTTAGGATTATTATGGTCTCTTGACAAGTTGATCCCTTTAACATTTTTAAATGTTCTTCTTTATGCTTGATAATATTCTTTGCTTGAAATCCACTTTTATATTAATATAGCCACTCTAGATTCTTTGTTAGTCTTTACATTGTATCTTTTTCCCATCCTTTTTCTTTAACATAGTTATGTCTTTACATTTAAAGTGCCTTTTTGTGTTGGTAAAAAGCACATAGTTGGATTAGCATTTTAAAAAATCTAATTTGACAAATTGCCTTTTACTGGTGTTGTTTAGGCCATTTACATTTAATGTAATTATTCATATAGTTAGGTTTAATTCCTGTCATCTCACTGTTTTTCTCAATTTATCCCATATGTTTTTGCTCTTTTTTCTGTTTTTCCCTGACTTTTTTCAAATTGATTATTTTTATGATCCAACTTTATCTCTTTTGTTGTCTTATTTGCTGTAACTCTTTGTTATTGTGTTATTTTCATATTTCTTAGGATTAACAGAACACATCTTTAACTTATTATAGCCTACCTTCAAATGATATTATACCAGTTCGCGTATAGCATAAGAAACTTACAACAGGATACTTCCATTTCTCCCCTTCTGACCTTTATATTATTGTTGTCATTCATTTTACTTACATACATGTTAACATCACGCTACATTGTTATTACTTTTGTTTAAATAATTGATTACATTTTATGGTCATATCCACTTTTCTTTCTTTCTTCCTGAGGTCCTGAAGTCTTTTGTTATTATTTCCTTTCTGTTCTGAGCACTTGCTTTAGTCATTCCTTAAGGGCAAGTCTTCTGGTGACATATTCTTTTAGTATCCTGTCATCTGAAAATGACTTTACTTCCCCTTCATTTCTAAGGAATAGTTTGACTTCTGGTTTGCAATCCAGTACGTAAGGAGCTTGGAAGTTGTCACTACATCCTAACAACAAATAAAAGGCTGAACAAACTGATTAATTAACAACTCTTAGATCCATCAGAGAAGTGAGGTTTACTGCCCCTTAAATTGGAAAGACTGACAAGAAAATACTTAGAATCACAAATTACTGCAGCAGAAACCCTTGAGCAGAAACCTTTGTGGGAACCAGTATGGGGTAGAAAAACCTGAACTGTAATTGATGAATTGCTGGGCATTCACAGTAAATAAGTATGAGAGTTAAACAGTCCAGGGGGACCCATTCAAAGGAGGGCCTCCCACTTTTGTGAGTTCTGGTTTCAGGAGTTCAACTAGGTTCTCACAGTGAATATCAGAAAAAAAAAAAAAAGATCTTGTTCTTCTGGTGAGGAGAGGGAGGAGGAACTATTTGAAGTAAGTCAGATCATTCTCTTCTAGTCAAAAAGGCCTGGCCTCAGGAGAAACTATTTTATCAGAGCCTAAACTATTGGGATTTTATCAGAGCCTAACCAACCTGGAAGAAAGGAAATAGCATGCTCCAGCATGCCTTAGCCTTCTACATAGGGGAAGAGAAATACTCAACTTCAGTTCATTCTAGCCATCTTGTCCTGCCTAAGGGGAGTGTTGGGGGGGTCGAGAAGCTCTGTTTGAAGTTCACAGTTTAGAGACACAGGCTCACTAAAAGACTGAGATATAAAACTATAGAACACTTTTCTCCTTCTTGCACTGTTACAGGATCTTTGGGGTATTGATTTTCTGGCCAGAAACCTCTGTGGCTGGTGGCATCTTTGCCTTAGTTCCTGTCTTGCCTCTAGAAGAATGAGGTATGCAAACAAGTGAAGGGTGAACAAGACAAAGAAAGCTTTACTAAGTGTTAGAACAGCTCAGAGGAAACCCTTAGTGCATAGCTCCTCTCTGTAGGCAGATCATCTTCTCTGTAAGCAGATCTTCCCATTGAGTGCTCAGCTCTCAAGCAGAGAGGAGGCCCTGGAGAGGGTAGCTCCTCTCTGCTATTGGTCATCATCCTGACATCTGCTGCTCTCACCAGAAAGGAGGCCCTCGAGAAAGTTACTTCTCTCTGCAGCTGGTAGTCCCTATGTCTCTGCAGGTCTCTGAAGCTCTCAGAAGAGAGAGTAGTTCCTCACTGCAGCAGGCCATCTGTCCTCCGTCATCTGTCCTCTGCCCTGCTCTGGCTGAGCCTGGGGCTTTTTTGGACCTTAGAGGGAAGAAGTCCCTGTTGATCAGTTCATGGAGGGCCATGGGCAGTCCAGAAAAGGCACCACAAGTCCCCACTCCATTCTGCTGGTCTGGCAGCCTGGCTCCCAGCCTTCAGGCCCTCCTTGGCCTGAAGGTGGGGTCTTACTGGCAACCCACCCACTTCCACCCAGGAGCCTGCCTGCCTTCTTGCACTGTTACAGGATCTTTGGGGTATTGATTTTCTGGCCAGAAACCTCTGTGGCTGGTGGCATCTTTGCCTTAGTTCCTGTCTTGCCTCTAGAAGAATGAGGTATGCAAACAAGTGAAGGGTGAACAAGACAAAGAAAGCTTTACTAAGTGTTAGAACAGCTCAGAGGAAACCCTTAGTGCATAGCTCCTCTCTGTAGGCAGATCATCTTCTCTGTAAGCAGATCTTCCCATTGAGTGCTCAGCTCTCAAGCAGAGAGGAGGCCCTGGAGAGGGTAGCTCCTCTCTGCTATTGGTCATCATCCTGACATCTGCTGCTCTCACCAGAAAGGAGGCCCTCGAGAAAGTTACTTCTCTCTGCAGCTGGTAGTCCCTATGTCTCTGCAGGTCTCTGAAGCTCTCAGAAGAGAGAGTAGTTCCTCACTGCAGCAGGCCATCTGTCCTCTGTCATCTGTCCTCTGCCCTGCTCTGGCTGAGCCTGGGGCTTTTTTGGACCTTAGAGGGAAGAAGTCCCTGTTGATCAGTTCATGGAGGGCCATGGGCAGTCCAGAAAAGGCACCACAAGTCCCCACTCCATTCTGCTGGTCTGGCAGCCTGGCTCCCAGCCTTCAGGCCCTCCTTGGCCTGAAGGTGGGGTCTTACTGGCAACCCACCCACTTCCACCCAGGAGCCTGCCTGCCTTCTGCTGTCCCTGTCCCCCTGGCTGCTGGCACCAAGAGGCACCTGCAGGCCAGCACTGAGCAATCCTCAGAGCTCCCCTCTGCTTCCCCTCCTACTCTCATTGGTACCCAAATTCTGGAGGGGGCTGGGGCAGCAGGGCACTGGCTTGCCAGCACTGATCCAAGTGTGTGCAGACCATGCCAAACTGTGATAGCACCCGGCCTTGGCTCCAACCCTGCTCTGATATGGGAGCCTGTGCCCGGAGCAGTGAGAAGCCAGGCAACTGGAGAAGACACCCCTGGGCTTATGGGTACCGGGGTCGGGGGGCCTTCCCTGGCCCCTAAGGGTGTAGGTTGCAGAGACACCTAGGTCTTGTACCTGGGAAGGTGGCTGCAGCTGCACCCAGGGAGCTCCCACCCTGCCAACTCAGAAGGGGTGGGGTTCCTGCTTGTCCTTGGCTCCTGCCGGCTTGGTGGAGCAGAGGCCCAGGTCTGCACTTGTGGATCTGGTGGTTGCACCTGCACCAGGGAGGGCAGAGATCCTCCCTGCTCCTGGCACCTGCAAGAGCACAGGGAGGCTCTGATCGGCAGCCACAGCTTGAGCAGCTGCAGCCTTACTCAGGAAGGCAGGACTCCTCCCTGCTCCATGGAGCAGGAGGCCTGGGTCTGCAGCTGCAGCTGCACCCAGGAGGGCAGGGACCCTGCCTGCTCCATAAAGTGGGAGGCCTGGGTTGCCAGCTGTGGTTTGGGTGGGTGCATTGGCACCTGGGGAGCTGCTGCCCCAACTCAGAAGGGCAAGTCTCCAGCTTGTCCTGGCTTCCAGTCTCCTAGGAATGTGGAGCCCCAGCTGTGCCTCCCTGCTGCAGCTGGCATGATGGCAGCGCTGCTGCCATCAACACCTCACTACCACATTAGTAAAGACCAACTTTCTGCAGTTCCTTTTATCCAGTATCTCATATCTGACTATTAAAAAACAATTACAAGGCATGCTAAAAGACAAAAAAAAAATAGTTTGAAGACACAGAACAAGCATCAGAATTAAACTGATATACCTAGAATAGTCTTACTAGGTAGAGCATTCAGAATTGCCGATTTTTTTAAATCACTATTTATAAAATGCTGTGCCACTTCTTTCTGGCTTAAGTTTTACAAGTAATGTATTGTTTCCCCTTAACCTCTCTTAAGACCTTTTTCCATCTTTAATTTCCAGAAATTTGAATATGATTTGTCTTGGTATGGATTTCTTTGGATTTATCCTATTTGGGGTTTGTTCTACTTTATTCTTTTTGAATCAGTGGGTTTAATGTCTTTTGTCAAATTTGGGGAAATTTTAGCCATTATTTATTAGATTATTTTTTTCAGTTGAACAGTTTTTCTCCTTACTTCTAGGACCCTGATGATACAAAAGCTAGATTTTTTGTTATCATCCATAGATCTCTCAAACCATTTATTTTTTTTCTAGGCTATTTTCTCTATATTGTTTACACTGAGTAATTTCTAATTATCTGTCTTCAAGTTTGCGGATTCATTCTTTGTTGTCTCCAAACTACTTTTGAGGCTATCTGTTGAGTATTTCAGTTATTGTATTTTTTTAGGTTTATAATTTCTAGCTCATTACTTATTCAATATCTTATATTCCTTTACATAGATTCTTTTATTTTTAATTTTGTTTCAAAAGTGTTTTTAATTGCTCATTTAATAATTTTTTACACTTGATCTTAGCCAAAAGGCCAAGAGGCAATCATTTAATAATTTCTGCTAACTTTGTATGTGTTTGAAACTTCACAATAAAAAGGGAAAACAGATGCAGTTTTTCTGATCTAGGGAAGATGCTGACCACTTTCTTCATCTGTAGGAAAAACCAAAACAAGAAGGAAATGAGACTAAATGATTATAGAGGAGAGTATAAACAGCTTAATTAAGAAGATATTTCACCACTAGGAAAACTTCCCATGCAAAGTGCATCCTAGTGCCTGGTCATCTCTCAAATTTAATGTTTACTAGTTTTAATCGCAAGAGTAATAAATAAAAACTAATGATTCATTTTGCAGAATAATAGGTATACTGTAATCCCAGTTCTCATACATTGGAGAAAAACAAAATTTAGAAAATGAGATTCCTCTATAGTCACAGCCCTTATATCACCGCTCTCAATGGTTTTGTAAACCATTCAGATTTCTTTATGTGTGATTAGAACTGGGATTATATTAGACCTATTATTCTGCAATTTCTTTTTCTTCTTTTTTGCCTAAATATTCTGCTAAGAGAGTTTGTGAAACAGAATAAACAGCTGTTTAGACAGAAAAGCTAAAAACAGTTGAAAACAGCTAAAAGCAGCTTCTTTTCTGTTCAGATTCCAAGATCATGCCAATTTTATCCATATTTTAATATCTGGCATGATCCAGGATCTTTTTAACCTAAGGACATAATTTTCCACAATTATTATCCTTTTTACCTAAGGACAAAAAAATTACAGTAGTGAAAATAACCCGAAAAGCAAGATCCTGAAGTTCCGTGCTTGCAGTTGGCTGGCCCTCTGTGCCTCTGTGGGCAGGTGGCCGCCGGGCTTTGTGTCTGAGGGGCTGCATAGTAGAATGACTCAGCAAAGCAGTGGCCTGGGGAGCATAGAAGAGGCTGACTAAGATTATGAGCTTTCAGGGGAGCATTCTTTTTAGCTGGCAAATTTCTCTTTTAAGGTAATGAAAGTGTTTCAGGTTCCTCTTTGTCCATTTGCAAATAAACTGGTGAGTTAACGTCACTCCCAGTGCAAATGAGAGTGTAGTGCACACGTCATGAAGATGAAGTGGTTTCCCCTTAATTTTGCATATTTTCTTGTCTGCTTTTAACTCTAGAAGATATTTGCCTTCACCTGATTTACAGTCAGGTTCGTTTCTCGCATCGTAAATGGACTCTTCTCGGTTGTCCTCACAAATTATTCATTGCTCTCATTTCATGTATGATGCCCCTGATTTTGTAGCATTGGCCCTAATAGAATATTAGACAAAACTCAAGGAGGAGAAACTTGTGTGGGGATAGGGGAATAGATGGGTGCCCTTTGTAGAACAGAACTCTGTCTTGGGCTTCTTTTTTTTATCCTGTAAGGCTTAACTGTAAGAAGCTCACAGTATCTCCATATAAGCCTTCTGGTTGATTGACAAATATTCTCAGCAGGGATTATTTAAGAAAACGGATCTCAATATTTCTAAGAGCTAGCTGCAGTGACTCATGGTGAACAGAGAATTATGATTGGACAGTGTTAGAGCCATTGAGACCACGTTATTGCACCTCAATGCTTAGCATAACGCCTCATGCATCTACTTGTTCATCCATCCATTTTTCAGCTAGCTTTTACTACATGAAATCCTGATATGAAGCTCTATGCCACGTGTTTACTCCATATACCTATCCCAGTGACTCTTTCAACTCAAGCTTGCTCTCTGAGGACAAAATCATGAACACATCCACAGACCCACACTCTACCTCTCTCCCACTAGAAGACCAGAATCCGTTTTCCAGTTCCCCCAAGCCCAAGCACTGTGACTCTCACCTGTCCATGGAAGCCTCTAAGCCACTCCCCCCAGCCCCCATCCTGTTCCTTGGTCTCCTTCCTCCTCAGCACCTTGGAGCCTCCAGAGTTGATCTTACTTCTTCTCAGGTCCCCCTGGCATCCTCATGGGCCCTGACAGACTCATTTAGAGAGCCAAAGAGCCCTCTATGAGGTTTCCAAATTTTTCCCAATTAAGATTAGCTTGTCTCTTCTGGCGGGGCATGGTGGCTCATGCCTGTAATTCCAGCACTTTGGGAGGCCGAGGTGGGCAGATCACCTGAGGTCAGGAGTTCAAGACCAGCCTGACCAACATGGTGAAACCCTGTCTCTACTAAAAACACAAAAATTAGCTGGGTGTGGTGGTGGGTGCCTGTAATCCCAGCTACTCAGGAGGCTGAGGCAGGAGAATCACTTGAACCTGGGAGGCAGAGATTGCAGTGAGCCGTGATCGCACCACTGCACTCCAGCTTGGGTGACAAGAGCGAAACTATTTCAAAAAAAAATTAACTTGTCTCTTCCATGCTGGGGAGTAAAAGCCTCTCTGCTTCCATGCCCAGCTTCTACCCTTGCCCTGTCCAAAATAAAGCAAAGTCCAATCCCAGCTGGCTCCTCCCTGCTACCTGGGGAGTATTCTCACTTGCGCTTTACATCTCTGCTTGGCACCCTCAAGCCTCAAAAAGAGGTTTTTATTGTAATATCATATTACACTAAATTTGAAAAAGAAAAAGTAACACCCTCTCACCCCCACACCCAAATACAGCCACAGTTATCATTTTGGTGGGTTTGACTGGGCTCCTCTTTCTTGTGAATGTTGTCATGGTTATATGCACACAATGTTGTGCCCTGCTCCTGTCAAAAGCATGCCTCCATGTTGCTACATGAACAATAGTCACCATGTACATGCATAACAACATTAAAACATTTATAATGAACTGTAATTTTAGCACTGCATACACCTATCAAAATGACAATTAACACTCAAGTGATACTTTGCTCCATATTTTGGATTTTTTTTTTTTTTTTTGTAGAGAGGGTTAAGAACACTCTTGCAATTCTTAACACATCATGATAAATTGATCTCCATGGGAGACTGTACAAATGCATACTGTCAAGAGCAATCTGAGAAGATAGCAGTTTTACCATATCCCTGTCAGCACTGGAAATTGCAATGGAAATGTTAATTTTCGTTAATGTATCAGGGCAAAAGGTAGCTCTTCATTGATATTTATTTCAATTTGATTACTAATATGGTTGTTGAATAGTTTTTCATGGGCCAGTTATACCAGAACGGGTCTAAGCCAGCTAAGTGCTCTGCTGTCTTTCCCTTTGGTGTCTATACTGTGGAAAGTTATTGTTCATAGAGCTTTTGCGAGCTTGCCACCTCTGCCATTGATACCAGGCACGCCATATTTTGTAGAGCCAGCTTTATTTTTATTTTGAAGTGGCTTCCCCCTTTCTGAAAAGGGACTTGGCAAGAGTTCCGTTCTGTCACAGTGAATTAGACACCAACTTCCCTTGTCAACAGAAGTTGGCCTGTTGGGCTAGACTTGGGCACCAGGTGCCACCTCCTGCTTGGCTGCCCTCTCAGTGACATCATCTATACCTGGAATGCCCAGTGGGTATTGCACTAGGAAAGAATCTGGCCTGCTTGGACTGTGTCTGGTCACAGGTCAGTGGAATTTGAGGAGCAACACAGTGGCAAAGCCCCACAAGGACTGGCAGCCTGACTCAAGAAGGCTCTAAACCATTCATCCCCTTCAACTGCCACACCACCATATCTGGCCCATCAGTGCTGAGAAGGTGAGCCAGGTGGGGACCACAGTGTCACTAAGTCAAACATGATGAGGCAGAAGGAAAGGTCTCGGCATAGAAAATGTGCCCTCTGTCTTGAGGCAGAGACATCCATTTTATATGCTCAATCAACATATATGTAGCATTTTTATGCTGTTCAATCACCCTCCTGAAAATGTTCATGACAAAACAGACCCTCCCCACAGGCCTACCTTCCCTTGCCCTGGCAGCAGCCTCCTTGAACAGAGTCCCAGGGAGACAGAATAATAAAAATTACAACTTCCTCTATCAGGAGGAAGGCTGCACCCTCACACTGATTGCCTTTGCCTGAAAAGTTTCTTGGCCACACCGTGGCTTCCTTGGGCTTTTGGGGCTCACTGTGGGGCTGCCTATCTCTCTCCACACCACACACACATTTAAGCTCTTCACTGGGACATCATGAGCTAAGAAGTCTGAGATTTTGCTTTTCTCTCTATCAAAACTTTATTGAATGTCCATCATGTGCTAGACTTTGCAACAAAGCCAAGTCAGACTTGGCCTGCCCTCTGGGAACTCACAGGCAACAAAGTTCATGATCAAAGTAATGTCAGCTAAGAATTTTGCTAGCTAGGCACAGAACGCATAGGAAAGATGAGGTCAAGGCAAGTTTCTTAGAAGCCATGAAGGCTGAGCTGAATTTGGGGACTCCAGAAAACAGAAGACGTAAAATTGCAAAAGGTCCTTGTTCTCAAAATGTTGTCTTAAAAGCTCTGAGCTTCCTGAAAGATTTCAGGCAAGCCAGGGGAGGGAGGGCAGGCATGGCTAACTTTGCATTTAGGACAGATCCCCTTGGCAGCCATGTTGGGCATAGATGGGAAGATAGGAAGGCCAGGGGAATGGTCATACCCCAGCGAAGAAGTGATGAGTGCCTGGGTTCAAGCAGGATCCATGGGGTGTGGGGGGACAGTGCGGTTTTCAGAGGCAGTAAAGAAGAGGGGCTCCCCAGCTTGGATTTGGTGGTGGTGGGAAAGGGAGGATTTAAGATGATATCCAGTTTCCTGGTTCAAGCAGTGGACACACATTTGGGGGAAAGAGGACAAGTTCTGTTTTGCAGATGGCGTATTCTGGACATCCGGGAGATACATTCGGGGGAAACAGGACGAGTTCAGTTTTGCCGATGGCGTATTCTGGACATCCGGGAGATACATTCGGGGGAAAGAGGACGAGTTCAGTTTTGCAGATGGCATATTCTGGACATCCGGGAGATACATTCTGGGGAAAGAGGACGAGTTCAGTTTTGCCGATGGCGTATTCTGGACATCCGGGAGATACATTCGGGGGAAAGAGGACGAGTTCAGTTTTGCAGATGGCGTATTCTGGACATCCGGGAGATACATTCGGGGGAAAGAGGACGAGTTCAGTTTTGCAGATGGCGTATTCTGGACATCCGGGAGATACATTCGGGAGAAAGAGGACGAGTTCAGTTTTGCAGATGGCGTATTCTGGACATCCGGGAGATACATTCTGGGGAAAGAGGACGAGTTCAGTTTTGCAGATGGAGTATTCTGGACATCCGGGAGATACATTCGGGGGAAAGAGGACGAGTTCAGTTTTGCAGATGGAGTATTCTGGACATCCGGGAGATACATTCTGGGGAAAGAGGACGAGTTCAGTTTTGCAGATGGCGTATTCTGGACATCCGGGAGATACATTCGGGGGAAACAGGACGAGTTCAGTTTTGCAGATGGCGTATTCTGGACATCCGGGAGATACATTCGGGGGAAAGAGGACGAGTTCAGTTTTGCAGATGGCGTATTCTGGACATCCGGGAGATACATTCGGGGGAAAGAGGACGAGTTCAGTTTTGCAGATGGCGTATTCTGGACATCCGGGAGATACATTCTGGGGAAAGAGGACGAGTTCAGTTTTGCAGATGGCGTATTCTGGACATCCGGGAGATACATTCGGGGGAAAGAGGACGAGTTCAGTTTTGCAGATGGCGTATTCTGTACATCCGGGAGATACATTCGGGGGAAAGAGGACGAGTTCAGTTTTGCAGATGGCGTATTCTGGACATCCGGGAGATACATTCGGGGGAAAGAGGATGAGTTCAGTTTTGCAGATGGAGTATTCTGGACATCCGGGAGATACATTCTGGGGAAAGAGGACGAGTTCAGTTTTGCAGATGGCGTATTCTGGACATCCGGGAGATACATTCGGGGGAAACAGGACGAGTTCAGTTTTGCAGATGGCGTATTCTGGACATCCGGGAGATACATTCGGGGGAAAGAGGACGAGTTCAGTTTTGCAGATGGCGTATTCTGGACATCCGGGAGATACATTCGGGGGAAAGAGGACGAGTTCAGTTTTGCAGATGGCGTATTCTGGACATCCGGGAGATACATTCGGGGGAAAGAGGACGAGTTCAGTTTTGCAGATGGTGTATTCTGGACATCCGGGAGATACATTCGGGGGAAAGAGGACGAGTTCAGTTTTGCAGATGGCGTATTCTGGACATCCGGGAGATACATTCTGGGGAAAGAGGACGAGTTCAGTTTTGCAGATGGCGTATTCTGGACATCCGGGAGATACATTCGGGGGAAAGAGGACGAGTTCAGTTTTGCAGATGGCGTATTCTGGACATCCGCGAGATACATTCTGGGGAAAGAGGATGAGTTCAGTTTTGCAGATGGCGTATTCTGGACATCTGGGAGATGATACATTCGGGGGAAAGAGGACGAGTTCAGTTTTGCAGATGGCGTATTCTGGACATCTGGGAGATACATTCGGGGGAAAGAGGACGAGTTCAGTTTTGCAGATGGCGTATTCTCGACATCCGGGAGATACATTCTGGGGAAAGAGGATGAGTTCAGTTTTGCAGATGGCGTATTCTGGACATCTGGGAGATACATTCGGGGGAAAGAGGACGAGTTCAGTTTTGCAGATGGCGTATTCTGGACATCTGGGAGATGATACATTCGGGGGAAAGAGGACGAGTTCAGTTTTGCAGATGGCGTATTCTGGACATCCGGGAGATACATTCTGGGGAAAGAGGACGAGTTCAGTTTTGCAGATGGCGTATTCTGGACATCCGGGAGATACATTCTGGGGAAAGAGGACGAGTTCAGTTTTGCAGATGGCGTATTCTGGACATCTGGGAGATACATTCGGGGGAAAGAGGACGAGTTCAGTTTTGCAGATGGCGTATTCTGGACATCCGGGAGATATTCGGGTGTGTCCTCAGTGGCTCAAGCCCAGGACAAGGACCCAAGACTCCAAGGCAACATGTGGTGAAATCCACGGCTGAGTCTATCGCTGAGTGGGACCACGTAGGTCCTGCTATAGAAGAGGTGAGTCCCAAGGCCAAAGCTGGGTTCCCTGACCTCTAAGATGGTAACAGCAGAGAAGGACGGTACAAAGAAGATTGAGAAATCCTGGCCAGAGCAGGTGGACAACAAAAGGGTTTCTGGAAGAAGTGTCTACTGTGTCAAACATTAAAAGAAGGTTAAGTAAGAAAAAGGTCGGAAGTGTCCACTGGTTGGGACAAAGAAGAGGCAGCGAGTATCAGTAGCTGGTTCAGGAAGATTGGTTGTGAAAGGAAGGTGGGATGAGAGGGGAAAATGTGGTCAAGAGAGAGGTTTTTGTCAGGATGGGGGACTTTAGCGCATGTAAAGCATGGAGGATTGCTTTAAATTGCAGTTTACAGAAATGCAGCAGACTTTTCTGTCTCAGGGGAGTGGCACAGTTTCTTTTGCACCTTCTTAAGCTTGCATGGCTCTGGAAAGTGAGCTTTCTCTATCAACATGTGGAAATAGAGGGTAGGACAGAGTAAGAGGCGTTGTACAAGAAAACAACAGGAGGATTGAAGGGGAACCAGTGGGAGGGAGGAGGAGTGAGCAGAAAGGAGGTGGAGCTCAAAAGAGAGAGGAGAGGAGCTGAGTATGTGTGGAAGAAGAGAGGTCATGCGAAGAACTTCTCAGGGCAGCCAGGCATGGCTTGGCAGACTGGGGATGACTAAGATTCCACTTGCAGTTACCTGCTTAACCAGGTAACCTCAAAGCCCAGTAAACGTCACTCATGCCCAATCACTTTTGTGTCAGTAGAGTTTGGAGGTCTTTATTAGGGACAAAGGTTTAGATCAATATGTGGAAAAAAGAAGAAAATAGCCATAAGAATTAGAATATGAATGAGAAACATAATTCTGCTTGAGTCAGTGCAGGGGTAGACAAGTGTCTATTTCCCCCTGACTGTGAGGAGGGTCTGTCCATTTCATTGGTTATATCAGGAGGGAGGCTGGCAGGTTTGGGGCTGCAGGTTCCTGATTGTTGGTTTACAGAGGTTAAAAACCCAGGAAAAATGGAAAGGTTGAAGAAATGGGTCAGTTTCTTCTGTCTTTGTGCTGCTCCTTCCATCTTTCCTCCCACACATGGAGGACAGCATCCTCCACCCCACAACTCAAGTTCCTTTCCAGCTTTCAGATGCTCCCCGTCTGCCCTGGAGGCAGCATCAAACCCTGCAGGTGACTGGGTGCAGGTGATTTGGTAATTTTGCCAAATTACCAATCACTATTTCCCAAAAGTCAATTAATTGAAAAACAATTTGCTGAAAATTAATTTTCCAAACGATCAATTTCCATGAGAAGTGATCTCTGGAATTCACCCAAAAGTTGCTTTGGTTAATTACTTTTAAAATTATAACAATTTGTGTGCTCTGGTTTCTAAAACACTGAGGATTTCCCCCCAGCTTTGGTTTTCTATTTCACTTATATTTAGCAGTTTAGTTTGCAAGTGTCAGGTATGTTTTTATCAGCCGTTTTGCTGTGGATTTCTCAGTCCCTCCCTGGTAAATGTCAATTTCATGTGGGTTTCCATATTTCAGGAGTGGGACACTTCTCAAACACACAATATTTTTTTGGTGTCAATAGACGGGTTTTCCCTCAACCACATTTATTGTCAATTCCAATTTTAGACTTGTGTCTAAATTGGACTACAGTTCCCACTTTTGGATTTTGTCATTGGGGAAGTTGTCATGGATATGTGAAAATTAACATGCAGAAAAAACTTTTATTTGGCTGACTGCCAAACCACTTTGAAAAAAAGAAGATGACGAAAATTGGTGTAAAATTGCACTTGAAGGGCAAGATCATCTTTTCTGAAAACCAAAGGTTAGAATATAAAAAGCCTCATGAATTGCCAAAACCTTTATAGTAACTACTGAGGAGTAGTCAGCTTCTGAAATATGAACCACATGCCTATAAATCTGATAGAAAACAGTGGTAGAGAAACTAAAAATGCAACATCTCAACTAAATACAACCAAAGGCCAAAATGTTGGGAAAAAATCATTACCAGATTTCGAAACTTTCTGTGAAACACATATGATTACACATTTTGTAAATAATTACTACAAAGAAGTTTTTAGTGATTTGGGAATCTGTGAAACTGGTCGTTTTGCAAATTGATTTTTAACATAGTGGCTTTTAGGCAATTGGTGTGACTTTTGGCAAATGTTCTTGAGGTCAGGAGTTTGAGACCAGCCTGGCCAACATGATGAAACCCCGTCTCTACCAAAAAATACAAAAAGTAGCTGAGCGTGATGGTGCTTGCTTGTAGTCCCAGTTACTGGGGAGGCTGAGGCATAAGAATCGCTTGAACCCAGGAGGCGGAGGTTGCAGTGAGCCAAGATCGTGCCACTGTACTCCAGTCTGGGCAACAGAGTGAGACCCTTTCTCAAAAAAAAAAAAAAAAAAAAATTGCTAACACAGAAGCATTAAGCCAGCACCACACATTCCACACATTCCACACATTTAATTCCTGTGGCTTCCTCCTGCCTTGAGCAGTCTGGGGATGCAACTGGGGCCAACCCAGTGGGCAGTGCATTGAATGCAGTGACATTACTAACATCTGTTTCTGACCCGTACTTCTGCTGTGACCCATATGTGGCCTCCTCTGCTCTCAGGCTGAAGTCCAGGCACCTCGTGGGACCTTCCAGGCCTCACGGATCTGGCTCCTCTACCCCATGAGCCCAGTGAACACCTCTCGTGTGCAGGGCCTGGCGTCCGACCTGCCCTTGAGATGCACCCCGCCACACTGCAGTCGGTGTCTTGTGCACTCCTCTCTAGTGTGCCACCTCTGAAAGGTGGGCACCAGCCAACCCTGGTCACCATTCACAGTAGCACAGCTAAACGGGATCAATTAGTGATTTTTAAAGTTCAGTGCTTTGAGACTTCTGCTTCTGGAAAGATGGAGTAGATATATTTTTCCTTATTCTTCTCACTAAGTACAACTAAGGCATTGTATAAAACAAACATAAGAAGACTGAAAGATACAGAGAAGAAGGCAGCCCGACTAGGGACCTCAGCCTCCCAACCCCAGCTCCCCAGGTAGTGTCAGGAAGGCCAGGTGCAGAGTCTGGACAGGACTTCCTGCCTGGAGATAACGAGCTGCTGACCCTCCTCCATGCAGTGTGAATGGAGAACACGCAGGAAGCTTGGGCTGCCCCCCGCCAAGAAGAAGGCACCCAAAAGGTGTGCAGTAAAAGCCAACAGAACTGAGAGGAAAAATAGACAAATTCATAATTATCATTGGGCATTTTGCTACTGTTTCTCTGCCTTTCTCTCCAACTGATATAAAACCAAGCAGAAAATCAGCAAGGATGCAGAAGACCTCAACAACATCTTCAATTAACAGGGTCTAATTGACATTTCTAGAACGCTGTACCCAAAACCTGCAGAATACACATTCTTTTCATGTGCCCAAAGACCATATACCAGGATACATGACATCTTGGGCTGTAAAACAAGCCTTGGCAAATGTAAAATAATCGAAATTATACAGAGTGTGTTCTTGGACCACAATCGAATCAAACAAGAAATCAGTAACAGAAATATAGCAGGAGAATCTCAAATAACTTACAAATTAAACAACACATTTCTAAGTAACCCATGGTTTAAAGAGGAAATTCTTCAAATCAATAAGCTAAGCTCTCGCCTCAAGATACTAGAAAAAGAAGAGCAAAATAAACCCAATGCAAGCAGAAGGAAAAAAAAAGATTGCCCAGAAAACAGTAAAAATGAAAACAAAGAAACAATAGAGAAAATCCATGAAACAAAAGCTAGTCCTTGAAAAGGTCAATGAAGTTGACTAACCTGTAGCAAGACTGACAAAGAAGAAAAGAACACATAAATTGCCAACATCAGGAATCAGGGGATATCACTAAAGACCCTGCAGGCATCAAAAGGTTAATAAGAAAATACTATGAATAATTCCAGATACATAAATTTGACAACTTAGATGAAATGGACCAATTGCTTGAAAAGCACAAACTTCCACAATTTATCTAAAATGAAATAGATCATTTGAATAGCCTTATAACTATTAAGGAAAATTAATTTATAATTTTTAAAAGCCATAGGAAGAAATTTATAGGCTTGGGGGTTTTGCTGGAGAATTATACCAAAAGTTTATAGAACAATTAACACCAATTTTATACAGTGTCATCCAGAAAATAGTAGAGGAAGGAAAGGTCATTTCCTAATTCATTTTATGAGGTCAGTATTACCCTGATGCTAAAACTAGGAAAGGACAGTATAAAAAATGAAAATTATAGTCCAGTGTCCCTCATGAATATAGACATAAAAATCTATAAGAAAAATACTAACAAATAGAATTCTTTAATATAAAAGATCATTATATAACATGACCAAGTGGGGTTTATCCCAGGAATACAAGGCTGGTTTAATATTCTAAAATCAATCAGTGTAATAATCCACCATATTAACAGGCCTAAAGAAGAAAAATCACATGATTATTTCAATTGCTGCAAAAAGGACAAATACAAAATTCAATACTCATTCATGATGAAAACTCTAAAAAATCTGGAGCTGAAGGAAACTTCCTCAACTTGATAAAAACATCTACAACATCATACTTAGTGATGAAAAATGTAATGCTTTCTCCCTAAGATCATAAGGCAAGGCTGTTTAACATAATACTGTAAGTTCTAACCAGTGCAATAAGACAAGAAAGGGAAATAAAAGACCCACAGGACAGAAAAGAAATAAAACTATTGCTATCTGCAGATTACATAAAGGTGTGTGGAAAATCCCAAGGAATCTATCAAAAATCTCCTAGAATTAATAAGCTCAGCAAAGTCATAAGATCAACATAAAATTAGTTGTATTTCTATATGCTAGCGATAAACATGTGGAAACCCAAATTAAAAATGCAATACCATTTGCAATCACACAGAAAAAAAGAAAACAAATACTTAGGTGCAAATCTAGCAAAACATGTACTTGAAGGGTTTATATGCCTAAACTATGCAATGTCGATGAAAGAAATCAAAGGCAATTGAAATAAATAGAGACACCCATCACATTCATGGATTGAAAGACAACAATTCTCCTATATTCATATACAGTTTTAACAAAATTTGCATTAAAATACCAGCAATGTTTTCTGTAGATAAGATTATTCGAAAATTTATAAGAAAGGTCACAAAAACTAAACTAGCCTAAGCAATTCTAAAAAAGAAGAATAAATGGACAAGAACCAGTCTACTCAAGGCTAAGGCTTTCTACTTAGCAACAGTGATCAAGACAGTGTGATATTGGCAGAGGATTAGACACACAGATCAGTGGAACAGACAAAGAATCCAAAAAGAGACCCAGAAAAATATGGCCAAATGATTTTTGATGAAGATCCAAAATGGATAAAGAATGGGCTTTTCAACAAATAGTGCTTGAGTAACTAGGGAAGTGTGGGCTTACAGAAAAAGGTACTTTGTACCTAACACATTATAAAAAAAAAAAAGAGCAAAACAAAACTCAAAATAGATCACAGCCTTAAATGTAAAATGTAAAACTATAAAGCTTTCAGGAAAAAACAGGACAAAATTTCCAGGAGCTCCTAGTTGGCTAGACTTGGCACCAAAACATGTTGTATAAACTGAAAATTGATAAATTGGACTTCATAAAAATTAAAGACATTTGCCAGTAAAATATCATAAGAGAATGCAAAGACAAGGTGCAGATTAGGAGAAAGTATTTCTAAATAATTCTGATATCTGATCGTCAATAAAGGACTCATATCTAGAATTTATTTAAAGAACTGTTAAATCTTATCAATAACAAATAAACAGTCTAATTAGATATTGGGCAAAAGGCATGAAGAGCCATTTTACCAAAGATGGAAAATAAGCATATGAAAAGATGCTCAACACCACTGCCCACTAACAAAATGTAAATTAAGACTCTCATTTTATATCACCACACACCTATCAGAGCAGCAAAAATAAAATTTAAAATAGAATCTATGTCAAATGTTGACCCAGATGCTAAGAAATTAGGTCTACATTACTGGTGAGAATGTAAAATGGCACAACCACTTTGGGAAGTAGTTGGGCAGTTTCTTAAGAGTATCTTACTCCATTTGAGCTGCTATGACAAAATACCATAAACTGGGTGGCTTAAACCAGAAACAATTATTTCTCACAGTTCTGGGGGATAGGGAGTCTAAGATTAGGGCACTGGCAGGGTTAGTATCTGATGAGGGCTGGCTTCCTGGTTCACAGATGGCACCTTCTCACTGTATCCTCACATGGTGAAAGAAGAAAGGCAGCTCTCTAGCGCCTCTTTCTTCAGGGCACTAATCCCATTTGTAAAGGCCCTGCCCCTAAGACCTAATTAACTCTCAAGGGCCCAATCTCCTAACACCATCACATTGGCGATTACGTTTCAACATATAAATTTTTGGGGGCGACACAAAATCCACACTCTAGCACTAGGATACGCTTTTCATACGATCTAGCAATGATATTCTTGGACATTTATTTCAGAGAAATGGAAATATGTGCACATAAAAACTTGTATATGATTCTTCACGGCAGCTTTATATGTAATAACTCAAACCTAGAAACAACCAAAATGTCCTACAATAGAAGAATGGTGAAACAAACTGTGGTATATCCATACCATGGAATACTACTCAATAATAAAGAGAAACAAATTATTGATACATACAACTTGGATGGATCTCAAGGGCACTACACTGAAGGGGAAAAAAAGCCATTCTCAATAGGTCACATATTGTATAATTCCATTTATGTAAAATGCTCACTATTACAAAATTGTAGAACTGGAGACCAGAGTAATGGTTGCCAGGGGTTAGTTATGGGTGGGGTCATGGGGGAGCAGTGGATGTGACTTTAAAGGGACAGCATGAGGGAGAACTTTGTTGTGATGGCACAGTTCTGCATCTTGATTGTGGCTGAACGTGCATCAGTCTACATCTGTGATAAAAATGGCACAGAATGTCATACACATACACACACACACACATTGTACCGATATGGATTTCCTGGTTTTGACATTATACTATAGTTAGGTAAGATGCTAATCACCAGGGAAAATCAGAGAAAGTGAACACGAGACATGAATCTTTAATTTTTTCAAAACAAGGTTTTTTGAAATGTTGTTCAATTGCATTCTGGCTTCTATGCTCTGTCGCCCGGGCTGGAGTGCAGTGGTGTGATCTCGGCTCACTGCAACCTCTGCCTCCCAGGTTCAAGCGATTCTCCTGCCTCAGCCTCCTGAGTAGCGGGGACTACAGACACACACCACTGCGTCTGGCTAAGTTTCTTATTTTTTAGTTGAGACAGGGTTTTGCCCAGGTTTCGCCCAGGCTGGTCCTGAACTCCTGACCTCAAGTGATCTGCCCACCTCGGCCTCCCAAAGTGCTGGGATTACAGCGTGAGCCACAGCGCCCGGCCTGGCCTCTATGGTTTCTGATGAGAAATCTACAACCCTTTAAATAATTGTAATTTTATAAATAATGTCATTTTTCATTGCTGCTTTGAAGATAATTCCTTTGTTCCTAGTTTTCAGTAGTTTCCTTATGATGTCTCTAAGTGAGAATCTCTTTGAGCTTATTCTGTTTGGGATTCTCTGAGCTTCTCAAATCTACAAGTTTATGTGTTTTGCCAAATTCAGAAATATTTTTAGCCATAATTTTTTCAAATATTTTTCAGCTCCTCACTCATTATACTCTCCTCTTGGGACTTTAATGTTACAAATATTAAGCCATCATTTTCTGTCATTATGGGTCCTTCTGAGCGACATGTTTACTTTCCAAGAATTGTCAACTTTTTGTCAAATCTGCATTGTTAATCCCCAACCCGGAGGAACACCTGTACACACTCACCTTCTCTGCATTAATTGTTGGGTTCCCAAACATGGCTAGTAACTGGTCAAAATGGGATTTCCTGGGTGTGTAGCCAGTTATAGTTCTGGGCCTCTATCACTTCCAGTATTGATCTCTTGTTGAAAAAATTTCACATTCCCAACAGTGACTCCTCTATTCAAGGTCTCACATCCCTCTCATGGAGCAATGTGCTCACCCTGTGCTGGTAGCACCCTCAGAAACGCTCCACACGGAGTGGCTAGACACCTTGCCACCTTTTCTTTCCCTCCTGGTCTCCTAATGATCCTCCTTTTCCCAACTAAACTCAGGGTTACTCGCCTTAGGATCTTGTTGCTTCCTTGAGAATCTTGCTCCAAATTTTATCCTCCCCACCTTCTGCTCCAGTGGCTTCTTTTCTTCCACTTGTAGACATCCTCAGGCTCGTCCAAGACTTAAACAACAAGAACAAGAACATCAGCCTCCAGAATCTTCCTTAACCTTGCTCTTTCTTCAAGTTGGAGCTATCTTGTTGAAATTTTTCTGTCAGGACAGAATTTCTCAGTCACCCAATCCAAGAGTCTCTCCACATTGGTCCACCGTGTCTCTCTGTTACTGAAATGCTCTCCCCTGCTTCCCTCAGCTTCTCATATACCTCCTTCTCTTTCTGAGCCTTGGATCCTCCTCCACTGACTCCTCATTGCCTTTATCTATTTTTATAAGGTTTTTATTGAGGTGTAACATGCCATATTAGTCTGTTTTGTTTTCTACACAGGAATACCTGAGAGTGGGCAATTTATAAAGGAAATATGTATATTTGGCTCATGGTTCTGCAGGCTGTACAAAAAGCATGGCACCAGCATCTGCATCTGGTAAAGCCTCAGGAAGCTTCCACTTATGGCAGAAGGTAAAGGGAGAGCAGGCATGTCACGAGGTGAGAGAGGAGGAGGAGGAAGAAGAGCGGTGGGAGGAGTGCCACTCTCTTAAACAACCAGCTCTAGCATGAACTAATAGAGTGAGGACTCACTCATTACTGAGGAGAGGGCACCAAGCCATTCCTGAGGGGTCCGCCTCCATGACCCAAACACCTCCCACTAGGCCCCACCTCCAACACTGGGGGTCACATTTCAGAATGAGATTTGGAGGGGGCAACATCCAAACTACATCACATGCATACAGTAAAGTGCATAAATATTAAGAGCTGGGTGAATTTTTGCACACATACATAGGTGTGACTACCACTGTGAATGAGATACAGGCCACTCCCAGAAGTGCCTCTCTTTCCCTCCCAGGCAATCCACATTCTCCCTTGCTCTTGCTCTTCAATAACCACTATCCTATCCACATGGATTATTTCTGCCTGTTCTAAAACTTCATATAAATGGAACCATGTAGTATGTCTTTTGCGTCTGCTTTTTTTTTTTTTTTTTTTTTTTTTTTTTGAGACAGAGTCTCACTCTGTCACCCAGGCTGGAGTGCAGTGGTGCAATCTTGGCTCACTGCAACCTCCACCTCCTGGGTTCAAGCAATTCTCTTCCTCAGCCTCCCAAGCAGCTGGGATTACAGGCACGCGCCACCACGCCCAGCTAATTTGTGTATTTTTAGTAGAGATGGGGTTTCATCATCTTGGCCAGGCTAGTCTTGAACTCCTGACCTCAAGTGATCCACCTGCCTCAGCCTCCCCAGCGTGCTGAGATTACAGGCGTGAGCCACCACGCCTGGCCAAGTTGGCTTTCTTTTACACAACATGATGCCTAGTGGATTCACCCATGTTTCTGTGTGCATCCGCAGTTCATTCCTTTTTATTGGTAGGTAGCATTCCATTGTGTGAACACGCCATGATTTGTTTACTCATTCCACTCCTGAGGGACATTTGAGTTTTTTCCCCTTAGGCTTTTTGTAAATTCAGCACCCTTCCATATTTTGTCTTCATCTTTCTTCAAGGTATCTCTTTTTTTTTCTCAAAATGATCCAGAACAATAGGCATTCAGCCTTCCCTGGAACCGGCCTTTTCCTGCCGCCAGAGCAGTAGCCAACATAGTTTCTGGCATCAGGAGGTTAAGTCAAAGTTATCAGTCAAAACACACCGGGAGAGAAAGTGGAAATTGGTACACAGCAGCGTATAATTAAGCAATCGCAAGCTTTGGGAGGCATAAAGGGGAATCTCAGGGCCAGCCTCTCAGCTGTGAAGTTCTGCAAGTAGAGTCCATGGCAAGGGGGGCGGCAGGCACAGCGGACACCCCGTCACTGCAGCTCTCTGAGCCCTGCAAGTTCTAGGCTGGGGCTGGGCTCCCTGGCCTTCTGCCTAGAGCCCTTAGGCAACCAAAATGACAGCCCAGGAGAGCCAAGAGCCACAAGGTTATTTTTCTAAGACGTAAAGTGAATTATGTCATCCACCCAGACCTCTTTGTCCAAGAGAACAACCTCGAGTCTCCTCCTTCAGGACCCTCAGATAGATCTTCCCAGAAACAGAGCAGGGGAAAGAGAGAGGAGGAGACGCTGGAGCCACAGGGCTGGAGCAGTTGGATGGGCCTCTGACAGCAGAGGGAGAGGCGACTGCATAGGGAAACAGAGAGGGACAAAGTGAGTTATGCTTGAGAGAGCTTGAGGGCTACAAAGCTCAATGTTTATGTGAATATAATCAAAGGAAAGGGGAAAGATTTGGGAGAGAGACACCCGAGAAAACCCCAAGAAGCCACAAGACCTAGACAACAACTGCCAATCTGGTAATGACTGGGTGTGCTGTGGAGTTGGTGTTTATCCCAGACAAAGCCAGTGCTTTCCCGAGATCTGGTGACAATTTGGGGCACATATATTTAGGGAGGAGGACAAGCCCTGGGAAGAGGTTTTGAGTCAGGAGACCTGTGGTTGGGCCTCAGCCATGTGGTCCGCTGCCCTCCAGCTCTGACAGCAGAGTCCCTTCTGCTGGCAGAGTCTCTGCCTGTGAGTGGCAGCAGGCCAGCCCAGCTCCATTGGCCCTTCTGGATCTAAGAGGTCTGGCTTCTCAGGCCCAGGCTTGCAAAGCCTCTGGCTGAACTTCACAGTGACCTTGCCAGCGCACACCTGAGCCACACCTCATTGCTTTTGAGTATACCTGAACCTCAGGCAAGGTTTGGTTTAATTCCTAACTTCTTACTGCAGAACAGAGGAAGTCAATTTGGAGTCAAATCCTCATGAGGCTTCTCTTATTCCAGGGTATTTATTTGCTTGATGATTTTGAACCATTTATTTGGACACACAAAGTTCTATCTGGCAAAGAACCGTTGGCTCCAACATCCTCAAACAACGCTAGTTTTAGATGCTGATAGGGTCTCTAATAGGAGGCAAAGAAACGTAACACCCAGCCAGGCAATTGCAAAGTTGAATGTGAGAGTCTAGCTTTTTGAGAATCCTTCTAAAAGCCATGTGATAAGGGATTGTCACAGTGAGGATAACAAATTCACATCTAAGGGATGAAGGTAAAACTTACTCCAATGCTCTGCAAATGGCTGTGGGGGGTGGCTCTTCCTGGGAAGCACCCCTCAGACTTGGAGTCACTGCATCCTACTTGATTTAACTGAAGCAAAGGCAATGTATTCATCAACAAACTGTGACATAATTAAAGAGAGATCTTGTGTCGACCAAGATGCTGGTGCTGTAAAGGAGGTGAGTAATGTGGGAAAAAGCAATGTTTCCAAACTCATGTAGCATTTTACTTTATTTTATTTTATTTTATTTTATTTTATTTTATTATTTTATTGTTTGAGACGAAGTCTTGCTCTATCACCCAGGCTGGAGTGCAGTGGCGCAATCTCGGCTCACTGCAACCTCTGCCTCCCAGGTTGAAGCCATTCTCTCCTGCCTCAGCCTCCCAAGTAGCTTGGACTACAGGCATGCATCACCATACCTGGCTAATTTTTTGTATTTAGTATAGATGGGGTTTCACCATGTCGGTCAGGCTGGTCTTGAACTCCTGACCTCAGGTGGTCTGCCCGCCTCAGCTGCCCAAAATGCTGGAATTACAGGCGTGAGCCACGGCACAGGGCCTATTTTATTTTGTTTTATTTTTTGAGATGTAGTCTTGCTCTGTCACCTAGGCTGGAGTGCAGTGACACAATCTCAGGTCACTGCAACCTCTGCCTCTCAGGTTCAGGCAATTCTTGCACCTCAGCTTCCCAAGTAGCCGGGACTACAGGCACGCACCACCACACCTGGCTACATTTTTGTATTTTTATAGAGTCAGGGTTTCACCATGTTGTCCAAAGTGGTCTCAAACTGAACTCAGGCAATATGCTCACCTCGGCCTCCCAGAGTGCTAGGATTACAGGCATGAGCCACTGTGCCAGGCCATACTCATGTAGTATTTTAAATATGCACGAGTAACTATGTTGCTAGTTAAACAGATATTTGACTATTCTGTCTACATGCCAAAAATTGTTTAGAACATCACTTAAAATTTTTCTCACTGAAAAAGTCACATACACAGTTATATTAAAATCAGCGTATGCTATATTCTCTAATCTAGAAATAGAAAATGTCCAAGATATCTGACTAGACCTAGCCTGTGCAGTTCTATGGAATCCCTCTGAATCAGCTGCTACTCTGAAGAAGACCACCACACACAAGATGGACCCAGCCCACCCTTGGCCCAGGCCCTGGTGCACCTAACTCCAGTGCAGACCCACCCCTTCATCAACTGCACTGGAGTGGTTCTTCAATCATGTCCCATGGTCCCTGTGGCAGATGCCATACAGGTTGCAGTGGAAGATCTTCAGATGACTTGGTGACAGGTTCATGACCATCTGGTTTCAAGGTGGGCTGTCAGGCAAGTACCAAACAGGCTCTGTGGGACCAGAGTGTGCGTGTGAGTGTGAAGTTGGAGGTGGTGGAAAGAAGGCAGAGTGACTGTCCCCACGGTGCTGGCAAAAAAGAGTGGCAAACCCGCATTTTGGGTCTTTTCTCTTCTTTTATCTTCCTCACTGGCTACTGTCATCTGTAAAGAGCTCCAAGTCTTCATGTATAGAAAGCATTCAATGGGCAAGGAAGGCCCAGTCCCTACACTGGGGGATCTGCTGGCTCTACACTTCAGAGACCCACAGCTTGAAGGACAAAGTTTGCCCTCAAGTGATTTCTTCAACATCAGCCAGTTTTCCCTGAAATGTGACTGACTCATGTTCAGGGGAGCTGATATTCTAGTTGGAAAGGGGGAAGGGGAGACAGGATTGTGAGAAGGGTTGTTCTCCATTTTCAAAATAAAGAACTTCGACTACTGCACTTCCCCAAATGAGGCTTTCTCTCCAGGCACATCTTCTGGTTCACAAGCTGCTCAAGAAGGGCAGGAAGGGTCACCGCAAATCCCATCCCATTGTTCCTCCAGATCCAGCTTCCCAGAGATTACAGTCAGCTCATCTGGAAAGGAGCCTGTGAGATCGGCGAAGTCCTAGTGTAACACATTCCAAGGAACACCTCTGATTCATTACTCTTTGGAGACTGGCTCCCATTAGCAATTACTGGAAATAATGGCTGTCCACAGAGCATGGCCGGGAGTGTGGCATGCAGGGAGGATATCATAAGGTGGGCCACTGATGTGTGGAAATTAACCCAGGAGCCCACAAAGGCAACAGCTATGGGCCTGGTAGGATCTGAAGATTTCTTCTCCAGTGGCTCCTGGAGGCCTCCCTGCATTGGTTTGTGCATCTATATCCTCAACATTGAGAGTATCCAGCTGGGAATAGTGTCTACCTCAAGTCTTGGGTCCTTGGTCCCTCAAAGGTGCATGGTACCTCCAGCTGCAGAAAACATGGGGGAAGAGCTACATGACAAGTCATAAGAAGCTCTCTGGAAATATCTCCCAGGTGCCCTCTTCTAAACAGAAATGCTTCTCTGTCAAAGCAGGCCTCCCTGTGGGTGCCTGGGCCTTCCTATCTAGGCTAGGCTCTGGATGTCTACACCAGCCTCGTAAGCACACCCCTTCCCAGTGCTGAGAGGCTGTTTACAGCAGGGCCGCGCATCCTTTCTGAGGCCAAAACTGAAACAACAACAGAAACAACATAAAACCCCCTTTCTGAACCACAGCTCTGGCTTGGCGTGTAATTTTTGAGAATATACTTCTCTATTCCTTGAATGGTTACCTTTGTCTTTATGGCCCTGCTATTTATATGCTCTGAGAACTCTCCAGAAACTCCTTTTCCAAGAAATGAGCTAGCCCTTCAGTGGCCATGTTTACAGAATTTCCTGTTTTCATGATATCTGAAGAGGACAAAACTTTGGAACCTTCCAAAATAACCAGGGTTTCTGACAAACCTTGTGGACCAATGTTACTGCATTCCAACTACATGCAAACTACCTGTCACATCCAAACCTCAAAGCCTCCCCCAATTCCTTACTCTTTAGTTATTTCCTCCCCTTTCCCCCAGTCCCATAGCTATGGTGTGAGAATGGGGTTTCCACTCGGCAGCTGAGATCTGGAGTTAGAGTGGAGGAAAGTGGGTCAATTTCCCCTCTCCCCTATAGACATAAGTATACATGTACACATACCCGGGCCCATTTGAGGACAAGCCATCCATTATGCAATGAGGTCATAGGTGGCACTCCAGTCCTGGTGAGTGTTGTGGTACAGTGGGAAAAAAAAGAGGTCTCTGGAGCCATAAGGACAGAATCTTGGCTCCATTAGTTGTGAGAAGTGATCACGTGCTCACTGAGTCTGTTTCTTCATCTGTGAAATGGATTGTTCTGAGGACAGAGATATGATCACATGTTATGGGATCAATAGATGGCAGTAGCTATTGGTAATGATGATGTCATTTTCATCATCATTATTGTCATCATTGTCATGGCTAGTAAGCCTACAGATCTTTAAAAAATAGCTCCTGGGCTATAAACTAATTTCCAGCTAACATTCTTACTGGGCCAAAGTAATGTTAGGTCTAAATTTTTCAGGTTCTGGGTCTGAGCTACAGAGATTTATACACTGCATGCTGTTGTCAGCAAAGATTATAGGCTCTCCCCCATGTGTGAGTGCACATGTGTATGTACACAAGGCCTCCTATAGACAATGCACTTTCCATTGTGCCACAGAGCCAGCTAGGCCTTCTATGGAGAATGAAGTCAATCTCTTCCTGCACCTTCATGGGTTAAAGAAAGCAGGATGAAAACATTTATTCTCTTTTTTCAGGATCTCACCATCAGATTAGCCACCCTTTGACTACTGAGACATTTAAGAGTTTGAAAACACACACACACACACACACACACACACACACACACACACACTTGCACACAGGACAACTATTTGGAGGCAAATAAAGCAGGCAGATTCTGGAGAAGAGTCAACACTTACAAAAAGAGAATGGCAGATGACCCAAATGTTGGAATTAGCAGGTAAGGATTTTAACTATGTTCAGTCATGTAAAGGAAAAGATGCTCCTAATGAATAAAAAGTTGTAAAATTTCATCAGAAAAATACAAACTATAAAAAGCAACCAAATAAAAATTCTAGACTAAAACATAACATATCTGAAATAAAAATTCATCCTCTAGCAGAATAGAGACAACATAGGGAAGAGTCCATGAACTTGAAAAGGGATCAGATGAAAATGATCCAATCTAAAGAAAAGAGAGAAAAATGGCAGAGAAAAAATTGAACAGTCTCAAGGACTGGTTCAAAAATATTAAAATGTCTAACATAGGAGTAATTGGAGTTCTAGTTACTCTAGTAATTGGTACTCTTACTTCTAGGAGGGAAGAGAGTAAATGGAGCAGAAATAAATTCCCAAATATGATGAAAGGTATAAAACTTTTGATTCAAGAAGCTCATGATACTCCAAGCAGAGTAATACCTAGAGATATCATAGTTATACGCTGAATTCATAAATAAGGGAAAAACGATTGAAATCAGCTAAATAAAAATGGCACATCACACGAAACAAAAAAGCAATATTTGCTGATTTCTGATAAACAATGGAGGCCAAAAGAGAGTGAAACAACATCTTTAATGTGCCACAAAAAATTGTCAACCCAGAATTCCATATGTAGCAAAATTATCCTTCAAGAATGAAGGCAAAATAAAGACATTTCAGAAGGCTAAGAGAATTCATCGCCAGTAGATCTGTATTATAAGAAATACTAAAGGAAATTCCTTTAGTATTTCCTGAAGGGAAACGATCCTGTTGGAAATAGTGAATTTCTAGATAAATAGAAAAGACTGGTGCTTTTTCTCTTTATTTATTTAAAATACATATGATTCTTTAAAGCAAAATTTATGTCTTATGGGGTTTGTCACTTAGATGTGATGCATATGAAAATTGCAGTATAAAGAGTGATTAGGGATGGGTAGTTTTATATAACTGCAAGGTTTCTACTTACATAAGTGGCACAATCTTTTTTCTTTTTTTTTTTTTTTTTTTTCCTGAGACGGGGTCTCGCTTTGTCGCCCAGGCTGGGGTGCAGTGGCGCAATCTCAGCTCACTGCAAGCTCTGCCTTCCGGGTTCACGCCATTCTCCTGCCTCAGCCTCCCCAGTAGCTGGGACTACAGGCGCCCACCACCATGCCCGGCTAATTTTTTGTATTTTTTTTTAGTAGAAACAGGGTTTCCCTGTGTTTAGGCTGGTCTTTATCTCCTGACCTTGCGATCTGCCCACCTCAGCCTCCCAAAGTACTGGGATTACAGGCGTGAGCCACCGCCCCCAGCCAAGTGGCACAATCTTTAATAGATTGTGAAAAGTAAGGGAAATGCATTGTAATCTCTACACAATCAATAAAAAAAGCAAAGAAGTGGCTGGGCATGGTGGCCCACGCCTGTAATCCTAGCACTTTGGGAGGCCGAGGCAGGTAGACTGCCTGAGCTCAGGAGTTTGAGACCAGCCTGGGCAACACGGTGAAACTCTGCCTCTACTAAAGTACAAAAAATTAGCCGGGCATGGTGGTGGGCACCTGTAATCCCAGCTACTTGGGAGGCTGAGACAGGAGAATTGCTTGAACCCAGGAGGTGGAGGTTGCAGTGAGCTGAGATCATGCCATTGCATTCCAGCCTGGGTGACAGAGGGAGACTCTGTCTCAAAAAAAAAAAAGTTAAATAAGTATAGCTAGAAAGCCAATAGGTAAATCAAGAAAGAATTCTAAAATATGTTACAATAAGTTTAAAAGAAAGCAGAAAAAGAATAAAGGAACAGAAATCAGAGGGGATGTAGTCAGAAAACAAATGGTAAAATGAAAGATACATATCCAAATGTGTCAATAATTACTTTAAATGCTCATGGACTAAAAACTCCAATTAAAAACAAAGATTGTCAAAATGGATAAAAAAGCTTTCTATAAGAGATGCATTTTAAACAGAAAGAAACAGATATATTAAGAAGAAATAAATAGAAAAAGAAATACCATGAAAAGAGTATAAGAAGAATATAGGACTGTTGAAGTGGCTATATTATTATCAGATGACATTAAATTCAAAATAAGACTACTGCCAGACATAGAGTGGGATATGTTATAATGATAAGAATTAAGAATTAATTCATCAGAAGACATTATAATCATAAACGTATATAGGCCTAGTAACAGAGCTTCAAAATAAATGAAGCAAAAATGACAGAATTAAAAGAAGTAGACAATCCCACAATCATAGTTGGAAATTTTAACATCTCTCAATGACTGTTGATAGAAAAACTAGGCCCAAAATCAGTTCAGATATAGATGATCTATGTAATACCACCATCACCTTGACTTGATTGATATTTATAGAACACTACACCCAACCATTGCAAAATATATCTTCTTTTCAGGTGCACATGGAGCTTTTGTCAAGGTAAAGCATACGTTAATCCATAAAATAAGTCTTGATGAGTTGGAAATAATTGAAATCTACAGAGCATTTTCTCTGACCACAATGGAGTTAAGTTAGAAATCGGTAACAATAAGATATCTAGGAAGACTCCACGTGTTTAGAGTCAAACAACTCACTTATTTTAAAAAAACCCATGAATTAAAGAAGAAATCACAAAGACAATTAGAAAAGCTTTTGAACAGATGAAAATGAAAATGTTACATATGAAAATTTATGAGCTCTAATTAAAGCAATGTTTAGAAGGAAATCTAGAGTTTTACATACTTACATTGGAAAGAGCAAAGGTCTAAAATCCATAACCTAAGTTTGCACCTTAAGAGTCTAAAATGAGAGAAGAAAGAAAGAAGAAAAAAAGTAAGAAAGGAAGGAAAGGAGAAAGGAGGAAAGGAGGGAGAATGGAAGGGAGGGGAAAAATACAAGAAAAGGAAAGAAAAAAAAAGAAAACCCAAAGTAAGTAGAAAGGAAAGAAATTCTATATATAATAACAGAAATAAATGAGATAACAACAAAGAATAGAGAAAATTAACAAAGCCAAAAGTCTGTTCTCTGAAAAGATCAACTCTAGCTATACTAATCAAGAAAAGGAGAGAGAATACGAATGGTCAATATCAGAATGAAAGAGGGGTTATCACTGAAAATGCTACAAGCATTTAAAAAAAGTATAAAAGCATTATGCTAACAAAATAGACAACTTAGATGAAATAGACAAATTCCTTGAAAAACACAATGTACCATAACTCATGTAGGAGAGGAAATTGAATTGAATTGAATTTATTTATTTAGTTTTTGAGACAGGATCTTGCTCTGTTGTCCAAGTGTAAGTGCTAAGGTGTTATTCCAGTCACTGCAGCCTCAACCTCCTGGGCTCAAGTGATTCTCCCACCTCAGCCTCCCAAGTAGCTGGGAGGTGCATGCCACCATGCCCGGCTAATTTCTGCATTTTTTGTAGAGACGGGGTTTTTATTATGTTGCGCCAGGCTGATCTCGAACTCCTGAGCTCAAGAGATCTGCCCACCTCAGCCTCCCAAAGTGCTGGGAATACAGGCATGAGCCACTGTGTCCAGCCAAAATGTATTATTTTTAAAAATCTTCCACAAAGAAAAGTTTGGTCAAGATTGTCTCATTAATCCTGTAAAACATTTAAGGAAGAAATATAATAGTATCATTATTTCACAAACTCTTTCAAAAACAGAGGAGGCAAGAACACTTACCAATTTATTTTAGGTAGTCTTAACTATTGCAATAATGTAAGTAAAAAAAAAAGGCATAAAGATTTTAAAAAGAAGAATTGCAACTCACTCCACACACGATGTGATTGTTTATGTGGAAAATCTTAAGAAATGCAAGAAACAACTATTACAACTAATACATCAATTGAACAAGGTCACAGGATACAAGGTTAATATTAAAATATCAATTATACTTTTATATATCAGCAGCAAGAATTTGGGAAATGAAATTAGAAAAACAATTTTATTTACAGTATCTTCAAAAAGCATAAAATACTCATGAATAAACAACAAAAGATGGACAAGATCTCTATGTTGAAAACTAAACAATTATTGAAAGAAATTAAAGAAGACACACACACACACACACACACACACACACACACACACACACAGTATCATGTTTGCAGATTGGAAGACTCAATGTTGTTGAGATGTCAGTTCTCCACAAATTGATCTGTAGAGTTATTGCAATCCCAGTAATAATGCTAGCAGGAATCTGTTGTAGAAATTTACAAATTGATTCTAAAATTTATATAGACATGCAAAGAATCTAGCGTATCTATAACAATCTTGAATTAGGAAAATAAATCTGGAGTGCTCAAACTACATGACTTTAAAACATTATAATACCGACATTGTTGGTTTTATAATTAAGACAGTATGTTACTGGCATAGGGACTGACAAATAGATCAGTGGATCTGAGAAGAGAGCTGGAAACAGGCCCATGATTACATGGTCATTTGTTTGCCAAAGGTACCAAAGCAATCAATCCATGGGGAAAGAAAAGTCTTTTCAAAAATGGTGCTGTATTAACTAGATGTTCAGAAGTAAACACACAAAGAAAACTTTAACTTATTTCTCACGTCACAAACAAAAATTAATTCTAAATTATTGTAGGGCTAAATATAAAATCATAAAACTTTTAGAGAAAATATAGGAGAGCATCTTCATAACCTGGAGACAGGCAAATGTTTATAGACAAACAGGCCACAGAAAGCAATAAACGTAACAGAAAATGAATAAATGTGTCCCTGTCAAAATTAAAAGCTTCTGCTGATAAGTGATACCATTAAGAAAATAGGCAAGCCATAGATTAGGAGAAAATATTTGCAAAACATCTGAAAAAAGATTGAAATCCTGGGTTTATGAAGAACTCTTTCAACTCAATAATAAAAAGATAATCAATCAGAAATGGATGAAACAGTTGAAGAGACAGTTCACAAAAAAGATACACAAATAGCCATTCGGTATATGAAGAGACACTTATCATTACTCATTTGGGAGATAAAAATTAAAACCACAACGAGATGCCTCTACACTTTTAACTTAAAGAATAGCTATCACCAAATATTAGTAAGGATGTGGTAACTTCTTATAAAGCTATACAAACACCTACCCCCTTGACCCAGCAGTACCACTCCTAGGGTTTTTCCCAAGAGAAATGAAAATTATGTTTACAAGAAGACTCACGGAGAGGAGAACTGCAAACATCAGATGTTCATCAACAGGAGAACGGATAAGCAAACTGAGCTTCATAGAATGGAATATCACTCAGCAATAAAAAGGAGCAGTTCAAGATATTCTCATGCCTCAGCCTCCCGAGTAGCTGGGAGTACAGGGATGCATCACCACGCCTGGCTAATTTTTGTATTTTTAGTAGAGACAGGGTTTTGCCATGTTGGCCAGGCTGGTCTCAAACTCCTGGCCTGAAGTGGTCCGCCCACCTCGGCTTCCCAAAGTGCTGGAATCACAGGCGTGAGCCACCGTGTCCGGCCTACAAATAACTTTTTTAAATTAAAAATGTGGTTCCCAGATGCAAATACAATGCGTGTGCTTTGCCCAAATCACCTAAAAATAATAAGACATTTTTAGAGTATCAGGCATCCTTTGATTTACTAATATTTATTGATTGCCTAAGATATAAGGCACAGTGAAGCTGGCAGATACACATGTATCTCCTCGCCTTCAAGGAACTTAAAATGGGCATGAAAAGTGGTCCACAGGAAATTGAAACCATGAAAGAGGTTTTAAATAATGGACTTGATGAGTGTATATACATATGTTATAGACAAAAACCCAAACAGCCTTCTTTCTTGCTCTCTCTCTCTCTCCTTCCTATCCCATTCCCTCCCACCTGCCAGCATCAACCAGACTCTATACTATTTCTCTAACTCATGATACAGGGAAGTCAGGTGTAGTGAGTGTGGCCAGGGTGAGTGAACATTTGAATGGACTCAGCCTGACTCTGGGAACATTTTAGGATCTTTGAGGAACATTCTGAGCCTTGCGTCCGCATGCAAGGTTGCAACTACAGTGCAGCCTGTGGCTTTCCTGACCCTGCCTGCAGCTGGTGTGAGGAATGGCCCCTGGTAAACATGTTTTTCTTGGTTCCAGGCATGCTTTTCCCCACAGCTGTTCTCTTCTGGCATCCAGGTTCAAAAGCATGACCTTGGTCTTCTCCCTCCCTGGGGGCCCTAATGCAGGGCTGTGTGGTTCTTGGACCCTGGGGCTGCTTTCCACCAGAGGCTCCCTTGCTCTTCCCACCAGGAAGTATATATGTTCACAGGGCCTGCAAGAGTGCACGAGCCACTGAGGGAGCCTCCTCCCAGGGTTCTGTGGTTGAGGGCAGATGAGAAAGCTGAAGGCCAGCGATGAGGGATCCTGGCAGGTCCTCTCCATGAGACATCATCTACTCATCCTTCTCCTCCCATGATGTGGGGAGGCCCACGCTCAGATGCAGTGATTTTGATACTCTGAGATTAAGCTTCCACTGCAAGAAAATGGGACTCAAAGCAGAAATTATGTTGTTACTCACCAAAATGAAGGCTATGGTCTTATACCAGGGAGCCACCAACTCAGATTTCTACACCCTACTCCTACATGATGGAAGCTCCATTTAAAAAAAAAAAAAGTACACAAATAAAAACAAACAAAATACCCAAAACAGAACAGATAGAACCAACAAAAGAACAGGGATAAAAACAAAAATCCCTTCGATTTCCTTTTTGACTGTTTTTTCTTGTCCTATGGGAGACCGACAGCCAGTTGTAGTGGAAAGAGCATTGGACAGGGAGTGTGGAGAGCTCATGCCTGTTTCCCATTGTGGGACCCCAGGCAGATCACAGCCCTTCCTGGGACCTCCATCTCCTCCTCATCTGCTCCAGCTCCCTTGAGATGCCATGATTGATGAAGCTCCCTTGGCCATCACATGGTACACATCTGTGGGGTTAAAGAAGGCATCTCACAGGAAGGGTGAAGAGTCACAGCAGCTGAGCACTTTCTGCATATCAGGCCTTGGCTAACTGCCTGTGTGAGATAGGAAAGCCATTTTACAGATGAGGAAACTGAGGCTTAGAATGTTAAGTACCATGCCTGAGTGAATCAGGATTTGAATCCACATGGACATCGGGCTTTCACATACATTGGCCCAGGCACAGTTTGAGACTGAAATTAAGAAATTGCATTTCACATCATTTTTGTTGGTTTGGTGGTCATAGTTGCTGTTTCTCTGCCATAATTAGAATCCTGCTGGAACCACACCCACCGCTCTTGAAAGATATTACTGTAGTGCGCTTCAGTGTTTGCTCCTGGGGAACGCATTATACCTCTGGGAGGCAAGATGCTTTAACAAAGAAGCACAACTGAAAAAAGAATGTCTGTTGCTTTCTGGATAAAGTATCTGTCATTTGATTCCAGTTTGCTAATCTCAAATGTAGCTTTTAAAATACACTTGTGATTTATTTTCTTTTTGAGAGTCAGGTGGAGTCCCGCATTTGTGGGACTTCATTTTTGTTTGCAAATACAATACCTTGAATAAAAATGTGCTGTGGAGCAGGCACGATGCCTTCACCAGTGTAGCCGAAGACATGTGCTATCCTCCCTGGGTCTGCTTTCTGGCCTGCCTGTGGAGGAAGGGGTGGAGGTCAATGTAGGGATGAGAGCCAGGGCCTGGGTATGGGGACAGTTGATAAGGTAGGGGTCCCATGGACCCAGATCCTGGAAAAGAAACAGGCAAAACTAGAAGGAACTTCTTCTTATCATTCAGTAGAATGTTCCCGGTGAGGATGTGGACTTTATTCAATTATCCAGAATTGAATGAATCAGTTCCCTGCCAGGGTGATCAACTCACCCTTGCTTACCTGGGACTTTCCTGGCTTTAAAACCCAAAGTTTCCTGGGAAATTTCTCTGTTCAGGAAAACTGGGATGGTTAGTCACCTTACCTGGGACCCAGGCTTGGCCACTGAATCTCCCACTACACCTATTCACCTATTTTACAGCAAGGCAATTGAGGGAGCCTTGTGTTGACGTTAGAGTTGTGAACATGGTGACTTGAGCTGTAATTTTGTCTCTGGGGCCATGGGATTGTTTTCAGTCCCTGGACTTGGAACCCTCATGGACCCCATCTCTTTCTAACCCTGTAGATGCTGTCAGCCCCTGCTGTAGGCTTGGGCATGCCCTTTCTGGTTAAACAGTGAGGATGGACAGAGCATAGAATAGCCTCCTGGTCCTGGTAGCCAGTGTGCAGAAGACGGTCCTGAACCTCACGGTGCTCCTGCTTTCTGACCTCAGGCAGAGGCCATCCTACAGACAGGAATTTGGAGCCCCAGCTGGAATAGTGTTGGTGCCCCACCTCTACTCCTTGGTTCTAGAAAAATCAATCCAAGAGTTAGGCATGTTGTATAGCACCCATTCTCCGTATAGTCATATAAGTGTCTGTTTTCAGCACAAGATAGACCCTTTTTCCACTCTGCCCCATGAGGGCCAATTCCCCCATTCTCCAAGCTCCCCTGAGAAAGGCAGAGGACCCTGTGAGAAGCTGAGCTTTGAGGGTGTCCCTTTCCTGGGAGAGCCATTTTGTATCAGTGGAAGCAGAAAACACCAACTGGGGGACAAGACAGATTTAAGTGGGCCTGCCTAATACAGCACATTAATACATGCGGATACAATGGTAATCTAAAAGAGGCCCTGTTCATAGATGACTGTGCAGCACTAAAAGCATCTGAAATTTTAGTCCTAATTTAACTATTTTTTTAAGTTTTTTTTGTTGTTATTATTGTTTTGTTTTGAGACAGGGTCTAGCTCTGTTACCCAGGCTGGAGTGCAGTGGTGTGATCCCGGCTCACTGCAACCTCTGCCTCCTGGGCTCAACTGACCCTCCGGCCTCAGCCTCCCAAGCAGCCAGGACCATAGGCGTGCACCACTGCGCTTGGCTAATTTTTGTGTACATATATATTTTAGTAGAGACTGGTTTTGCCATGTTGGCCAGGCTGATCTTGAACTCCTGGGCTCAAGTAATCCACCCACATTGGCCTCCCAAAGTGCTGGGATTACAGGTGTAAGCCACTGCACCCCTCAATTTAACTCTTGAAAAGTGCAAAAATACTCTGTTCAGGAAGAGGCAGGTAGAGAATTGTTGACATTTAAATGAGCTTAAAAGGTGAAAATTGCATCCATGGCACTAGCAACAATTGAAAGCCTATTACAAAGAACACAGGCTTCACTTCCCAAAGTGGAAAGACAACACTAGCAGGGACTTCATAGCCTCCTTGATAAAACAAAATGAAAGGCAATATAATTTAAAACCATCCTATCAGTATTATTGGATATAGTTCAGATTATGAAGTCATGGTACTGTTGAGAAAAAACAGCCACCAGATTCTCTTCTTTATGGGCCTGTGGGGCCAGGATGGGGAGATACAGTAAATCATAACACAAGGTCAGTTTTGATTTTCCACTCTCAGACTGAAAAAAGTATATGGAGTTTGATGTTTGTTTTGGCTAAACCAAATGCTTTTTCAATAAAATTAATGTTGAATGAATTATAAATAGGCTTTAATATTGAGGGCAGTTGCAAGGAGGTAAAGGGAAGAAGAAAAGTCACATTCCAGGCATCCAGGACAATTTTTGGTGTGTGGAACCTAACATGCAATAGGTACTTATAACATGTTTGCTAATTAGATGAAAGCAGCCTTATGTTTCTAATTTGGAGACAAAGGTATAGTGCTAAGCACACAGTAGGCATTCAAATAAATCCTTTTTGTACTGAACTGCAAGCTTGACTGAACGAGCCTTGCCAGCTTTTGCTCCTCTGAACTCCCTTTCCTAATCTATTTTTCTCTAATTGATACCTCAGACATGAGAATCAAGTTACTTTATGTCATTAGAGTACAAGGAATATTCCTGCTGCTAGAGCCTAAGAAATTTGGTCTCTCTCCCAGACTCACACACACAAAAGAAGTACAAACTGCACACTAACCCATGTCCTAACACAAGTCCAAGTCCTAACCCAAGTCCAAGGTCATACACTCCTGACTCAAGAGCAAGGTTCTCAGGCACAAACACCAACCTCCACCATGGGGTGCAGTGCACTGTCTCCTGCTGTTTTGCTCAAGACCCTCAGCACCATCACTCAACACTGGCTTAACTCGTCTGTAATCCTCTGGCTTCCTTGGAGGTTTAAACCATCTTTCTTCTCCCTGATACAATTCCCTTTAGGGTTGAGTCACTCAGCTCTTTCACTGTCTCACTAACCACACTCTTAGCTCTTAGCTGCATCTCCTGTCCCTCATCCACTGACCCCTCTTTTAGATTCACTGTGTCACAGTAATAATAATACATCCTGGGTATCAGCTGCACCTTTTCTTCTGCATCCTGCATGCATGGGGTCAGTCTGTTTTTATCACATGCCAAACTCAACACAGAACTCAATCCCTCTTGAAGATAACCAAAAAGGTACACTTTTCCAAAACCATTAGTGAGAAGCACAGACTTTACAGAAGATAATGTAAAGAGACCATGAAAGGGGTTAACATTGCACATTCCAAAGACAAAAAATTAATTCCCCAATGAATAATTTTTCTTTTTTCCCAAAGTTATTTGTCTTTTGAGGCCTCATTTCTGACCCTCTTCCCACTAGACTCTCCATCCTCACCCAGGAAAATCAACTCCCTATCCTCTCTTACTTAGAGTAGCTTCTCTGTCCCTCTGAAGCTTAGGTGTCTAGCCTTGGCTTTTACTCCAATCAAGCTTAATTGAGGTGAGTTCTTTCAGAGTAGGTTCTACCCTATAGGAGTCTCATACAATCTCCCTTGAGACATCACCTTCACTATTATCATCACCACCACCACTGCGATCATCGTCACCTCATCACCACCATCACCATCACCGCCACCACCACCATCACCACCACCACTGCCACCATCACCACCTCCACCATCACCATCACCACCACCACCATCACCATTACCACCACCACCATCAATTATTGAGTTAACATCTTGTGTCAGGCAAAGTACTCAGCATTTACAAATGGTATTACAATGATCTTATGAGATAGGTAGTATAATTATTTCCATTTAAAGGGCGAGAACACCAGAGTTTGGAGAACCACTTGTCAATAGGCAGAGTTCATTGCGATTCTCTGGCCTCAACTGGGCCCTTATTGCAGCTGCCACGCTGTTGGTTTCTTCCCAGTGGACTCCTTGCTGCATTCTCAATAGTTGCCCTAGAAAATCATCAAGTTCTTAATCCCAGGCCAGATGACTTCTGTGGTTTCTGTAAAATAGTTTCCTCGATGGGTCTTCTCTTTTATAAACAGCTGTTCTGCTCCACCCTCTCATTGCTAAGGCCAAGATTTCTTGGACAGCACCTGTTCTAAGCATGTTTGGTGCATGACTGCATTATTTCATTTAATCCTCTCTACAAAGTGCTGAAAGCTGTGAAGTTGGTTCTGATAACATCCAGAACCTCCCCAGTTGATTCTGCTTCTCCAGACTTAAAACCCCACAGCATCTTTGACTCTGTCACTTTACACGAACCCTATCCAAGTGAGGAGCTCCTGGATTTCCTCCTGTGGAGCCTGGTCTGTTCTACTGGGAAGAGTGACCTGCCATGCCTGCATGCTACTGGCACCAATGGTGTCAGGGCTCAGAAGGACCATCACTGTGAAATGCCTGGAAAGCCCACTGAGAAAACTGCTTAGGTTTATGTCCTACTAACTTCATAACCAGAGAATGAGACAGTTGAAGACCCTTCATGTAGAAGCACCAACAGGAACAACAGCAGCAAGGCTGCAGAGAAGAGAGATGGACCTAAGGAACCTCCTTGTAAGTGGCTTTTTGTATGAGAATCTCTACCATACCAACAAACAAATGAACACACAAACAAAACAAGCTCAAGATCTCAATTCTATAAGAGTTTCAGGAGACAAGCACAATATTAGCAAATGCCACATTGTAACCAACACCAGCATGCCATCCTGCTAACTTGGTTTCTGGTGAGAAGTCAGCTGTTGTTCTTATTGAGGATTGCTTCTGTGGGATGAGTCACTTCTCTCCTACTGCTTTCAAGATTCTCTTTGTCTTTTACTTCTGGTATTTTAATAATGATGTGTCCAGGTGTGGATATTTTTGAATGTATCTTACTTGGAGTCTATTGGCTTTTTTTTATTTTTTTTTGGAAGTGCAGTTTAATGTTTTACATACAATTTGTTAAGTTTACAGACATTAATTCTTCACATATTTTTATCACCTTTCTCTTTTTCTGCTCCTTCTGAGACTCCCCATTATGTATATGTTAGTATGTTTCATAGAGATCTACAGGTTTCTGAGGTTCTGTTCATTTTTCTTCATAATTTTTTTTCTTTCTGTTTCTCAGTCTGGAAAATCTCAAATGAACAATGTTCAAGATTGCTGATTATATCTTCCACCTGATCAAATCTGCTGTTGAGCTCCTCTTAAAATTTTCCTTTTAGTTATCTTTTTAACTCTAGCATTCCTATTTGATTCTTTTTTTTTTTTTATCATTTCTATCTCTTTACTGATATTCTGTGTTAGATAAACACCATTTTCATCCTTTCCTTTAGTTATTTAGACATGGTTTTCTTTAACCCTTTGAACTAAATTTAAAGACTTTTTCTAATAAGTTTTATGTCTGGGCTTCCTCTGGAACAGTTTCTATTAATTGATTTTGTCCTGTGTATGAGACATATTTTCTTGTTTCCTTACATGTCTTGTAATTTTCTGTTAAAACTGGACATTAAAAATGCAATGTGGCAACTTTAAAAAATCAGATTCTTTCTCTACTCCTCAGGTTATGTTGTTTTTACAGTTTGTTGGTGTTTTTGTTTTTTAGTAACTTTTCTGATGTAATTGTGTTATAAGTCTGTATTCTTTGTCTTGTGTAGCCACTGACGTCTCTGCTTTGTTAGCTTAATGGTCATCTAATGATTGGAGAGAAATTTCTTTAAGGATCAGGAACTAGTAAGTCTCTGTCAATGAAAAAGAGTTATACTATGTAAAATATTTGAAGAGATTTATTCTGAGCCAAATATGAGTGGCCAATGGCCCATGACACAGCATTTAGGAGATCCTGAGAACATGGGCCCAAAGTGGTTGGGTAACAACTTGGTGTGACATATTTTAGGGAGACATAAGGCATCAATCAATACATGGAAGATGTATATTGGTTCAGTCCAGGAAGGTGGGACAAGTGGAAGTGGGGGTTTCCATATCATAGGCGGATTCAAAGGTTTTCTGATTGGTAATTGGTTGAAAGAGTTACTATCAATAGAAAGGAATATCTGGGTTATGATAACAGGTTGTGGAAACCAAGATTTTGTCATGCAAATGAAGCCTCCAGGTAGCAGGCTTCAGACAGACTAGATTGTAAATGTTTCTTATCAGATTTAGAGTCTGTTCTGTTAGTAACTCCAAAAAGGAGGAGGGTATTACCAGGTTTGTCCAGCTCTGCCTTCCCATCATGGCCTGAACTTCTTTTTCAGGTAAACTTTGGAATGCCCTTGACAGAGAGGAGGGATCCATTCAGATGGTTGGGGTAGGACGACCTTAGATTTTTCTTTTTGGTTTACATCTCCAAGTTTTTGCTGAGGTGCTCTACATGCATGTTGGGGAATGTCCTCCACACTCATCCAAGCAGTTGACAATTCCACCTTAAACTTAGATTTTGACAATATCTTCTTGTCCAGAACTTTAAGGGAGCCATTGATGAGGGTTTAGGACCTTCTAAGATCTTTTCCAAGCCTGCACACAGCTCTGTGCATGTGCAAAGCCTATCTTACTCCTGCTCATGGCCTTCCAGATTTCCCAGAATATGTCAGAGCTTTTCAAAGCCCCTATGAACATCCATTCTCCAGTTTTCACTTTAAGCTTTTTAATTAGCCTATTGTTTGTTGCAACTATTATCCACTATCTCAAGCATCTGTGAAGTTAAACAATTGCCTCTAAATGTTTTTAACAAATGCCCCTGAAGAAATGGCTTTTCACACTGGGCAAACTCCAAGTCAGATTAAATAAAGACAGCCTTGCAAGTGGGGTCTTTCAGAGAACCACTAGACGGGTTTTCTCTGTGACTGGGGGCTGCTGGTTTTCAAGGCTACCATGAAGCTGGAGAAAGGGTGATGCGAATGGGGCAAGTTAAAATGTCACAAACCCACTATTCTAGGTGAAATTCAGTTGTTTTGCTTGAGCAAACAATCCTTGGATGGCTGCAACACTTTGGTAAATTTCCAGAGTTCTAAAAAGTTGATTCTGATTATTTTTGTCACTTTTCTCATTATTTTTATAGAGGAGAGAATTTTGCTGAGATCACCGGATTGCATTATCTTTTCCAATATTGTCTAAATAAAATTAATATGTTAAATTATAAAGGCACATAACAAACCATCTTACTAAAACGATTGGTCCATATAAACAAATTCCTTTGGATTTAAGTAGTCAGTCGAGTGACTCACACACCTTTTCTGACCACCATTGTCTGACTGCTTTGGCAGACTCCAAAGCCTGGGCTGTGGTGGACCTGTATCCCTACTCCCTCCTCTGCGTGCTCAGCACTGGATGGTTTTACTCAGCAGTTAGCATGAAACCCTCTCAGGTAGTAAAGTCTTTTGAAGATATAACGTGGGAGCGTTCACCAGACATCAAGAAAATTGCATGAACAGGTCCTCTCATTAGAGGGACACGCTCCCAACTGTTAGCAGAGTTGGAATTTTCCACCTACTGTGGCTGCAACATTGATCCTGTAGAAGTATGGGAATGAAGAATAATGATGCTCACTCTTGGGGAAATGGGTACCCAGGAGGACTTCAAGGTCCACCTTCTAACTCCTTATTCACATTTCATAATCCTTTCACTACTTTGATGCACATGTGCTGTACCAATCTACAAAGCATTACTTGAGGGCAACTCTGCCGTGGAACTCATGCTCCCCTGTTAAAGGTCCCTTCCCAGCCTTTGCCATGGGTCCCTTCTTTGATAAAATGCAGGCTACCAAAAGACTTGCATGGATTAATTATTAATTAATTTTGTTTCACATCAATTGTAATGAATTCGTATGGACTATTTCACCTATACACATTTTTATTGAACTAAATCAAACCTAATGAGGTTTCCGACCAAAGTAAAGAGGCCTCTCCTCAGCTCTAAAGAAAGAAACATGGCAGTAGGATGTACTGCATTCTTAGGGTTAGACTCAGATTTTCTACTGGCATTTTGTAATGTAGTATTTCAAACATATATAAAAATGAATCTACCGTCTACTTCTGTCACTTGATGCCAATCTTCTATATCACCCTTGTGTCCACGTCACACACACTTCTCACCCCATTCCTGCTTTACCTTGAAGCCAATTTCAGTTCTTAGATAATTTTATTTGTAAGACATTCAGCATGTATCTCCAGAAGATAAGGGTCGTTCTTCTGTGACAGTTTTATTGAAGTATAATGGCCACATAATAAATTGTACATAATGGAAGTGTGTATTTGAGAAGTTTTTTATGTTTATGTCTCTGAAACTATCATAACAATTAAATAATGAACATGTCCATCACACCCAAGAGTTTCCTTGTGCTATTTTGTAGCCCAAAATACATGCTGAATATTTTAAAACTAAAATGTGACTTTAACCCTTCCCCTGCTGCTGTCCAACTCCTTCCCCCAATAGGCAAATACTGATCTGCTTGCTGTTACTATAGATTAGTACACTTCCTAGAATTTTATGTAACTAAAATCATATAGTATGTGCTCTTTCTTTGTCCATGTTCTTTTATTCAGCATCATTCTATTGGATTCAATAATGCTGTTATAGGTATCAATTGTTCCTTTTTTAAATTATTGGTTAGCATTCCATTATATGACTACGTCACAATTGGTTTATCCATTCACCTGCTGGGGTACAACTGGGTGATTTTCGGTTTTTGGCAATTACAAATAAAGCTATTATGAACACTTGTTTAAAAGCCTTTGTGTGAATATATGCTTTCATTTTTTGTGGGGTGTAAATAACCAAGTGTGGAATGACTGAGTCATATGGTAGATATATTTTTAACTTTTAAAAAAACAACAAAATGCTCTTCAGCATGGTCAAACCATTTTCCATTCCCACTAGCTGTGAATGGAGTTCCTGTTGGTTCCACATCCTTGCAAACACTTGATATGGTCAGACTTTTCAATTTCATCCATTCTAGTGTGTGTTATTATCTCACTGTGGTTGTAGTTTTCATTTCTCTAATGACTAAAGGTGTTGGGCCTCTTCTTGTTTACTTATTTGCCAGTCCTACAAACGACTTGGTGAGATGTCTTTTTCAGATCTTTTGTCAACTAAAAAAAAAGTATGTTGCTTTTCTTCTTAACTTCTTTATACATTCTGGATACAAAACCTTTATTATATATATGTTTTGCAAATATTTTACCTCAGTCTGGGGCTTTCCTTTTCATTTTCCTAAATGTCTTTTGAAGAACAAAAGTTTATGTTTTATTTTTATGAGGTTCAGTCAATACCTTATTTCTAATTTGTGTTTTATCTATTGAATTTAACAGATCACTGCCAAAACCAAGATCACCAAGGTTTTCTCTATTTTCTCCTGTTTTCTTTTAGGAGTTTTATAGTTTTAGTTATTACATTTATGTCTATGATCTATTCTGAGTTAATTTTTTATATGGTATGAAGTAATGACGGAGGTGGAGGTTTTCACTTTTTTCTTTCTTTTCTTTCTTTTTTGCATATAGTTACTCAATTTTTCCAGCATCATTTGATGAAGATTATACTTTCTATGCTAAATTTCTTTGGTGCCTTTGTCAAAAATAAATTGACCATGTAAATATGAGTCCATTTCTGGATTCTCAATTCTTTTCTACCCATCTGTGTACCCATCTTGACACCAATCCTACTGATTACAGTTGCTTTACGATAAGCTACAGTAATCACAAAGTAAATTGTAAAGCTTTATAATCAGCTTTATAATAAGAATACAGGACTTGAGAGGTTTCTAGTGTGATCTGAGAGACCAAAATAGACACCCCTTTACCAACTAAGACAGATCTTAAGGTTAGGGAAAAAGTTACCTATAAGCCCAGGGTTTAGGGCTTGGCTGGCGTGGCAACTCCCTAAATTCCTATGGTTACAAGAAAAACCACACCCTTGTTAAACTCTCAACAGTACAGCTAATCAGGCAAATTGTCAGATGCCTCCTAACTCTGGTTGGACAGAGGACTGGTCTTACAAGGATTCTTTCCAGATGAGCAGCTGTAGCCCTCAAGTCCCTTTGGAGAGCTTGTGCACAAACTGCCTTTGTGTCTGATAGCTCACCTTTTGATGTAAAGAGCCAAATTCCACCTCATTTTAATGCTAAAATCCTGCCCCTAAGTGAACATGGGATGTGTTACATGTATGTTTATCCATTGCCCATGTAGTTGGCTCCCCTCATAAATATATATAGCTTTTCCCCCAAACCTACTGAATATGCATGACTCTATTATATAATACCGACCCTGTAAGGCACAAAATCCAAGCTGCCCTTGCCCTCTTTGAAGAAGGAGCATCTTTGCTCCACACTGGAGGCTATCTTTTCCCAGTTTGCAAACATATCACCAATAAGACTCTCCTTTCTACTATTTAGCCCTCCTGGTGATCTTCTGGACAACCCCGGCTTGCCCCAAAGTTCCTGTCCCCACATCCTGGAGGGCCTCGTGCCTCTCTGGGAAGTGAGACTGGGATGCAAGAGCCCTTTGAGGTCTTCCCCTGCCTTGACATAAATGAAAAGACAGTAGGGGAGCCTGGCTCAGAAGAAAGAGTTGCAGAGTGTGGTCTGGATCACCCAGCAGGACCAGTTATGCTGCCTGCCTGCCAGGAAGTGTTGAAAAGTGACAAATGAGAGGTACCAAGGAGGTGGGTGTCTTTGATTCTACACAAAGATGACTAGGAGGACAGGAAATAGCAGCTTATGCACACTGGGTCACCTATAGGTTCAGTCAAGATTGTGATCTTAAAATATAGAAGACCTGAATGGCCTCCTTTCTATTTGTCTCCCTACTGAAAAAATAATCCCATACCATGTTTTTGGGTATTGGAGAAGGGAACACATTTGAATTATACTGAGGATAAAACTTCTAAGAATTCTCACAGGGCTCAGAGGAGAGGCCATGACTGGCTTGTGGGGCAGGTAAGCAGTAGGGAAAGGAAGGTGGGTGAGTGTAAAGGCACAGTGGTGACCTTCAGCAAGGCCTCATAGGAAAGAGAGGAGGTGGGGAATGTAGGTAATTCTTGTTAGGGGCAACAAATGAGTATTAGTGAGAATGAATAGATGGTGGGGGAGGGGGGACAGAAACTAACCTGTAAATTATTCTCTTTTGAATTTTAATGAGCCTGAGAGACAGACATTATCTTGTGAAAAGGTCCATCCAGGTACGAGATTTCAGGGAACAGATGGAAAGCAATTGCTGTCCTTGGTGGGTCCAATCTTTATACAGATAACCAAAAGCCTTTTCCAGCATCTGCTTGTCTCCAAGGGCCTTTAATTCAAAATATTCATCATGCCAGGGTGCCATATCTTGGGGTAAAATTATTATTATTATTATTATTATCTTAATGTACAAAAGTGGAGAGTTCAGATTCCCTTTCTTTGAGCAAAATTTGCAGAAGTAATGACCTAAGGACATTCACCAAACTCACATTTCCAGCACAGGCTGGTTTCCAGCCAATGTTTCCCAGCTTTCGGGTACGGGCTTGCATTCCAGGAGCTGCTTTTGCAAGTTTGGCTCCATGGTCCAACGCATTTAGGAACTGCTGCCGACTGTGTCCCCTTTTGAAGATTTGTGAAAAAATCAACATATCAAAGGCCCTGAACCCATGAAAAATGCTCAAAACAATTAGTCATTAGGGAAACAAAAATCAAAATCACAATCACAATTAGGTACTACTTCATACCCACTGGGATGGCTATAATAAAAAAGGACAGACAATAATAAGTGTTGGTGAGAATGTAGGGAAACTGGAACTCGTGTACACTGCTGGTGGGAATGCAAAATAGTGCACCTGCTTTGGAAAAGAGTCTGGGAGTTCCTCTAAAAGCTCAATGTAGAATTACCATATGACCCAGCAATTCCACTCCTCTGTATAGACCCAAGAGAACTGAAAACATATGGTCAAATACAACTTGCTCATGAATGTTTATAATGACGTTATTTATGATAGCCAAAAAGTGGAAACAACCCAAATGTCCATCAGTGCATACATGCAACAATGTGGATGAACCTTGAAAACATTAAGTTAAATGAAAGAAGCTGGTCGCAAAAGATCACACAGTAAATGAGTCCATCTGTATGAAATGTCCAGAATAGGCAAATCTATAGAGGCAGAAGGTAAATTAGTGGTTGTCAGGGGCTAGGAAGGAAGTGGATGGGAAATGGCTGCAAACAGCATGAGGTGTTTTGGGTGGTGATGGAAACATTCTGCAGTGACATTGTGGTGATGGATACACAACTCTATACTAAAAGCCAATGAGTTGTTTACTTAAAGTGGGTGAACTTTATGCTATACAAATTATATCTCAATACAGATTTCTTTAAGTCTTCAGGAAGCCCTCTGGTAAAGAAGTCAGCCTAACCCAGCCCTGCACTCATCTGACCACCAAAGCTTTTCCTCACATTGGCACTCTGAGAAACTGGTATTCTGAAGAATATGTTTTAGGAAAAACTGCTTTAGACAACAGGAATTTGGCAAGAGGAACTTTGTTTCTGTGAACACATATTTGGCATGTCAGGGTACATCCTTTTGTATTTTATTTATATTTGATGTGTCTATGTCCTGTCTTCTTGGTGGCTTTATAAACATTTTGGGGAGGGAAAGTATGATTTATTCTCCTTGAGTTCCTCCTTCTCACCCATACGATCCATAATGTAGTGCACACATAAATATCTCTAAATATGCAGTTGGGACTTTGCATCACTAATGAGTTAAACTATTCAACAAAGCCAAAAATATGTATTATGGGCCCTTAAGTGCCAGGCACAGTTTTGGGCATGGGGATACAAGAATGAGGGAGCTTATGATCCAATCTGAGACCAGGCCAGGGGCCATACAGTAGAGGCATCTCTCCCTGGAGGGTTAAGTTCTGAAGTCATTCCCAAGGCACATTTTTCATGTAGTTGAAATTATTGAACACCTTAATGGAGGCACCATATTTGAGACTTACCCCCTTGCTGTTGAAAAGCAGACACAACCAATTTCTTCTTCACTGTTGGAAAAGATTGCTTTCCCTTTGGTTGGGCACCAGTTGAACACTTGTACTTAACAGCTATCTTGGCCAAAACCGTGTCTCCTCAAAGGTGAGTCCAGGTCAGGCATGGCGGCTCATGCCTGTAATCCCAGCACTTTGGGAGGCCGAGGTGGGTGGATCACGAGGTCAGGAGTTCGAGACCAGCCTGACCAACATGGTGAAACCCCGTCTCTACTAAAAATACAAAAATTAGCTGGGCGTGGTGATGCACGCCTGTAATCTCAGCTACTCAGGGGGCTGAGCCAGGAGAATTGCTTGAACCCGGGAGGTGGAGGTTGCAGTGAGCCAAGATCGCACCACTGCACTCCAGCCTGGGTGACAGAGTGAGACTCCATCTCAAATAAAAATAAAAATAAAAATAAAAATAAATAAAAAGGTGAGTCCCACTGGGGCAAATCTAGGTGCTCCTGGCCTCAGCAGTATGCAGGAAGGACAAGCACAGATAAGAGTGAGGGATGCACTCCTCTACCCTCCACTCTGCATCCACCCTGGGTTGTAGCTAGGATGGCACACAGACTGACTGGCACAGTCTAAATAACTTTTTCTTTATTTTAAAAAATTTGCTGCCTTGCTTACACACTTATATGAGCTTGTTCTGTGACTCCACAATCCTGAAGGTCAGCCTAAAGTCCAAACACTGGGCACTGAAGGAAGAAAATGACCCTGGAGATGAAAAGGACAGCTGGCTCACAGGAAAGCTGCTCATGGCAGGCAAAACTGGAGGACAGAGAAACGCACTGACCTTGGATGATACAGTTTGGATGTTCATTCCCCCCAAATCTCATATTGAAATGGGATCTCCAGTGGGCCCTGGAGGTGGGCCCTAGTGGGAGGTGTTTGGGTCATGGAGGAGGATCCCTCATGAGGGGCCTGGTGCCGTCCCCACGGTACGGAGTCTTGCTCTACTTATTTCTGCAAGATTGGATTTTTTAAATCTGGCACCTCCATCCTTCTCTCTGTTGCTCTCTCTCTCACATGTAACATGCCTGCTCCCCTTTGACCATGACTGGTCATGACTGAAATCTTCCTGAGTCCTTACCAGAAGCAGATGCCGGTGGCCATGCTTCTTCTTCTTCTTCTTTTTTTTTTTTTTTTTTTTTTTTTTTATGGAGTCTCGCTCTGTTGCCCAGGCTGGAGTGCAGTGGCACGATCCTGGCTCACTGCAAGCTCCACCTTCTGGGTTCAAGCAATTCTCTGCCTCAGCCTCCCGAGTAGCTGGGATTACAGGTGCCTGCTGCCAAGCCCAGCTAATTTTTTGTATTTTTAGTAGAGATGGCGTTTCGTCATCTTGGCCAGGTTGGTCTTGAACTACTGACCTCGTTATCCACCCACCTTAGCTTCCCAAAGTGCTGGGATTACAAGCATGAGCCACTGTGCCCAGCACCATGCTTCTTCTATAGCCTACAGAACTATGAGCCAAATAAACCTCTTTTCTTTAAGAATTACACAGACTCAAATTAGCCTGGCGTGGTGGCGGGCACCTGTAGTCCCAGCTACTCAGGAGGCTGAGGCAGGAGAATGGTGTGAGCCCGGGAGTTGGCGCTTGCAGTGAGCCAAGATGGCACCACTGCACTCCAGCCTGGGCGACAGAGCGAGACTCCGTCTAAAAAAAAAAAAAAAAAAAAAAAAAAAGAATTACCCAGATTCAGGTATTCCCAGCAACACAAACAGACTAACACATGGGGTCTCCCAAGATAACACACTGCAAATGTGGGAAAGGAGCCTGGAAAGAACCATGGGAAAGAAGTTGATGTGATCAGAACACCCCCACCGAGGGCAGGCGCTTAGCAGATCCCCTGTCTCTGAGTTAGCAGCAGCAGGAAGCCTCCCCTGGGAGACGCTGGCTGCAGGATGAGGCTGCCAGCCTCTACCAGGGACATCTGGAAGCCACACTTGCTGGCTTCTGTGGAGGCAGAGGGCAGCCTTTCCAGCAGGCCACTGGCTCTCTGGAGGCTCTTGGGGCCCATCCTACCCTCAGGGAACCTGGGGAGGAAGTGTCAGCTGACTGTGCTCCTGGGTCACTCACGGAAGCCCCTTTTCCTGCCCCAAAATGAATCTGAAGAGAAGAAATCCTAGCGTCTGCCAAGTGCTATCACCCAGCCTTGCAGCATGAACATATCCAAGGGGCCTGATGAGCAGCACCTGGTCTCCCACTGGCTCAGACACTTGAAGCTACTGAATTTACATGTAATTAAAGACTCGAGTGCAGACCGCATTTCAAAACAGACACTTGGTTAGAGATAGGAGGCCTTCCCCATCAGATGGTTTTGTTTTGCTTTTCCTCTGCATATGGGCCTTACAATTTGCCAAGGAAAGGTTACAGGGGCCACCGTTGTTTAGTTTGAAGATGAGAAAGCTCAAGAATGACCTAACTACTGTCTTCAAATATGCAGAGGCATTTATTACAAGGAGGGAACGGCTGGCTGTTTTTTTCTTAAACTGCAAGAAAAGGCAGCTCAGCTAAAATCCTAAAGACCTGCACACATGGCCTCCACACTCAGCCCTTCCCCACAGCACCTTGCACATAGGAAGCACACTTCTTGCCGTAAAACCCAGGACTGCCTGCCTTTGATAAGGAAGCTTAGACCTTGACTATGATTGAGGAAGGAGGCCACGGTATCTATTTTAGAGAAGTCTAGTAGGTTCTGCCTGGTGGCTGGCAGTCAGGTCACTGAGTTTATGGCAGAGGGGTACAGGATCCTCAGTGACGGAGGCCTTATTCATGGCAGGGCCCTTAGTGTGGCTGACAGGTGGGTCATCAAAGCTCTGGCGCAGACGTGACTGAGCTGAACTCCTCTGAATAATAGAGTTGAGAACATGGAAGCCTACAGCTATGAGGAAGTCCAGGAGGAGACGGGAGAAGCTGGGGAGGCTGGTGCTACTGCTGGAAGACAGGCCAAAGAGGAAGAATGAAAAAAAATTCCAGCAGGCCATTGAGAAAGAACTTTGAACAACAAATGTTTAATAGGGATTGCAGCAGTGTGATGCAGTCCCCAACTTTGATTTCCTGCTCCACACGAGATCCTAGTGAACTGTCTCTAGTTATTACTCCTTAGCTCCATGTAGTTCCAGATCCTTTCCTGTGAGTGGATTTGGCTTGGACAGAAGAGGGAAGACTTATGTGGAGGTGGGCGCTTGGCTGCCGCCACCATTGTGGCCATCTGGAAAGGGTGAATCTTCGAGAGGAGAGCCCAGTGACTGTCGTGCATTGCCTGGGACAGCCCAGACACCTAATTCTGATCAGACAGAAGTCCCTGATCAGATGAAAAGAAAAAGCAAAGATTCTGTCTGTCCTGACCGCCCTGCAGGTTAAGCTGCCCTGCAGCCAGCAGAGTGCCTGGCATACGGGAGGCACCCTGTGCAGCAGCCAGGGCTACTCGCCCAACTGGGAGGAGGCGGATGGTGGGTAAAAGTGAGCACTGGGCCTTCCTGATGTGAGGCGAGGATGTGGATCTGGGAGGAAAGACAAATGAAGAAGCAGGTGGACAGCCCCAGCTGGGCTCCAGGTGGGGCCTGGGGTAAAGTGACCCTTCTGCATTGCTTTCCTGCTCTGGGTACCCGTAACTGCTAACAGACCAGGGCTGAGTCCCCAGACAGCCTTCTTGTCTGGGGTTCAGTCTGTGCCACCCTCTCCAACTCACCTACTCTCTATTTTCCATCTGCACTGAGACCTTGTGAACCACCGTGAAAAATGCTTCTCACTTCCAGTCCCAAGAGAGGTGGAGAGCCGCAGTAGAACGTTGCAGAAGGAGAGGCGGCTTCTAGCTGGGGATATGGGGGCTGGCCCTTGAGCAGGACTTTGCAGGATGGGGTGGACATCCATTGCTATATATTCTCCTGGTGCTGTGCTATAGGACCCCCTACTGTTTCAGGAATAAAGCCCAGCCCCTGCCAGGTGCTTGCAGTCCAGGGGGCACCCGGGTGAGTGGCAGTCAGGGCCAACACTGTGTGGTGGCAGGGCTGGGCTGGGAGCCTCACATACATTTTCCTCATGATCTTCCCCTGTGACCTTGGTGATTTCCTGAGATTTTTGTCAGTCCTTCCCGTTCTGCAAGTTGATCAGTTTGGCCCTTTGGTTTTCAGATTTTTATGGAAAGAACTTCTCTCATCCCTGCTTCATATCCTTTCAGTTCTGTCCAAAGGCAAATCTCTGACGCATTCCCACTCCGGCCATCTGACGTGTGCTGGGTCACGAGGGCAGGCTGCAGCCTCCCTTGCAGTCCCTTGCCTTAGACGCCCGCGCCAGCCCATTCAACCATCACAAATGCGCAGACAGAGCAGAAGGTTCCCAACAGGCTGCGCCTGTGCTGGACCACCCCCTTTCCTCCTTCCTTCAGCTGCCCCTCTTTCTGGATGGGTAAAAGCACTTCCATGTTTTCAGAGGCGTGGAGGGAGCCCGAGAAGAGCAGATGTTGACACCACCATCACTGCCTGCAGCAGTGAGACCAGGGGCACAGTTTTTGTTGAAAGGGTCGACCAGGAAGCACTTCCTTGACTCTGTCCTAAAGCCTCTGGAGAGCCCTTAAATTTGTGGTCCTTGAAGCTATTGTAAAGGTAAGATTTTTTTTTCTCCTCAAGTCCTACCCATCCTGACTTTTCAAGTTTGTGGTGTCTCTGATAATCTCTGCTCCTGTTCTTTGAGACCATCCCCCACACTCTCCACTCTCCAACGTGACACCTGTAAAGTCTCTTCCAGGGATCTGGGGCTGCATTCCAGGGTCTCTTTGCTCTGAGCTCTCTGAGGCTTCAGACTGTTGTAATAAATCAAATGGCAGGGATCTTCTCCAACATCATCCTTCTTCCTTCTGCTTTCCTATGAGGGCTGAAATTCAATGTGTTTGCAGAGGACTCCGTGTGAGGGTCTCAAGGGAATTTCCAATTTGGCGCAAGGGAAGGAAGGGAGAGAGAGACTAAAAATTGCTTGATGGCCACCATGTGCCGGGTGCTCCCAATATAGTCTCAAACTCATGACATCTCCCAGCCAATGGATTCACCCCCTTTACCAGTTCCACCTGGAGCTCCCTCTCCCAGACAAGCAAAGGCCGTGTTGGGGGACTCTGAAGTCAGCTGCCTGCCATTCCATCTCAGGTGTTACCGTGGGAAAGTTGTTTAACCTCTCCGAGCCTCAGTTCCTTCACATGTAAAATGGACCTACAAGTTTCTCACGTAGGGTTGCCCTGGGGCCAGGATTTCCAGATAAAATATAGGATGCCTGGTATAAAAGTTGTATGGGACATACTTATACTAAAATATTATTTGTTGCTTATCTGAGATTCAAATCTAACTGGATATCCTAAATTATTATTTATTATTATTTTTGCTAAATCTGACAAACTACCTGAAGTTTAAGTGACACGTGAATGCCAAGGCCTGGCACAGGGCCTAACGCATAGGAGGGTCTCAGTGAGTGACAGCCATTGTTGTTTCTGGGAGTTTCTGGGAAAGTTATCGAGAAGACTTCAAGGGGAGATGGAGAAGTTTATGGTTTGGTTGGAAATATTGCTGATCCCTTGCAATGTGCAGGTATTATTCAGGAACAAGATGGGCAAAACATGAATAGGACAAGCTTTCTGCTCTCCAGGGACTCCCTTGAAGATGTGTCACAACCCCAAGCCAGTATGGTAAGTGTTATAAATGCAGTACATACCTGTACCAAATGCTACACAGGACAGAGAAGTCACTCACCTGCCAGGGCACTGGAGGCCAGAACTGCCAAGGAAGTGGGCAGGCCTCTCGGGCAAGCCTTTTGAATGTGGGGCTTGGTGGGGGTGGGCAAGAGGAGAGTTTGAGGTTCTCCAGGTGGTAAGATGTGCATGGTCGGCTCAGGGCTCACGGCCAGAACGAAGGCAGAGGGGAAGGTGTGAGGTGAGGCGTGTTGGTTGTCAGCGGGGCTGGGCCCATTTTTCATAGACAGTGGGAACTCAGTGTTCTAATTATTTTTTCTTTTTTCCAGTTTTTAAATATATAAAAATGTCACTAGAATGCTTTTTTCTCTGGACCTCTTTGCTTTAAATTGGACTCTTCTGGGAAGTCCAGTAGTTCAATCAAGTCCTAGGTGATGGTTTCTCTGTGTTTTCCATGCCAGCAGCCCTGATGGAGAGTGCAGAGGCTCCGAGAATCCACTCTTGCATAAAACGTTGTCCTCTCCCGCCCCACGCTTGACTTGCCGTCTGGCAGCTCTTTCTCATCTGGGCCATGTCCCGGTGGAGGGATGGGGCAGAAGAGGCCAGACAGCAGGCTGTGCCCTTGCTCCCTGCTAGCAGACGCGGCCTTGGCCTATTCTGAGCTCAGCAGTTCTGTTTCTCCTGGTTGCTGGACGCGGGCCATGGCATTTGCTGTGCACTCTGTTATCTGGAACTCTCGGCTCCCTTGGCTCACCCGTCTCCCGCCCTGCGGCATTCTGCATGGCCTGCATTTGACAGGCCCACCCCCTCATTGCCTGGGGAACCTGCCCACGTGGCATTTAATACTCATAATACTCTTGGTGTGGGGAATGGAGGACAGGGGAGGGTACATAGTGACACAGAGCAGACATTATGAGGGAAACTTTGATATATAAGTAAGTGGACAAGGGAGTGTGCAAATATGATCATACACATGTGAGCCATATTTATGTAATCCCATATACACATACATAAGCATGCATGCACACTCACAAGGTGGATGGATTACTGTGATTACCACTCAAGAACCATTTTGGAAAAACCTCTCAAATCATGTTTTTCCTCTGCTCTCACACTGCAACAGCAATCAACAACAGAAGAAGGCTTCTGTGACCAAATGTGTGGGGATTTTCCCCACACACCAAGCAGTGGACACCAGCTGGGTGTCCTCCAATTCCCTTCCATCACTGCCTACCAGGAGATAGCATCAGATCCCACAACTTAAGAGCTCAGTCCCACAAGACTGCCTCCCACTTTCCACCAGTCTCAAGTCCAGGTCTTTGGAACTTCTGACTGACCCACTTCAAGCTGGGGTTCCCAAGACCCCCTCTTTGGGTTCCATTTGCTAGAGTAGCTCACAGAACTTGGGTAAACACTTAACAATTATAGGTTTGTTAGAAAGATATTTTAAAGGATACAAATAAACAGCCAGATGAAGAGATACACAGGGCAAGGTCTGGAAGAGTCCGGTCCTCGTGGAGCTGGGGCAGCCACCCACTCGGCACATGGATGACTACTCCACCTTCCTGTCTGTCTCCACGTGCTCAGCTCTCTGAACACTGTCCTCTTGGGTTTTCTCTCCCTTCCTTCCTGCCTTCCTTCCTTCCTTCCTCTTTCCTTCTTCTTTCCTTTTCCCTTCCTTTCGTTTCCTTTTCTTTTTTCTTTTCCTTTCTCTTTCTTTCTTTTTCTTTTCTTTCCTTCTTTCCTTCCTTCCTCCTTTCTTTTCCTGTCCTTTCCTTCCTTTTATTTTCCTTTCCTTTTCTTTCTCTTTCTCTTTCTCTCTTTCTTTCTTTATTTCTCTCTCTCTCTCTTGCTCTGTCACTCAGGCTGGAGTGCAGTGGCACAATCTCAGCTCACTGCAACCCCCACCTCCCAGGTTCAAGCGATCCTCCTGAGCAGCTGGGACCACAGGCACAAGCCATCATGCCCAGCTAATTTTTGTATTTCTTTTGGTGGAGATGGGGTTTTGCCATGTTGCCCAGGTTGGTCTTGAACTCCTGGGCTAAAGTGATCCACCCACCTTGGCCTCCCAAAGTGCCGGGATTACTGGTGTGAGCCAACATACCTGGCCCGTCTTGGGTTTTTATGGAGCCTTCATTACATGGCATGACTGACAACCATGTAGAAATGTGATTGGGCAAAAAGAACACAATCTAAACCCAGCAAGACCTGCCCGTTCAGACTTTTCCTAGCCTCTCTGTGCAGCATTTCTTCCTTTAGGGGCTGGGGCAGGACCTGCTCTGAAATGAAGGTCTTTTGACCCACAATCGGATTAGAGTCCCGCCTTGGGCAGGAGAAAGGAGAACAGGAAAAACTCAGAGAGAGGGACGTTGTCTCCTGAGGCCTAACGCTCCCAACATTATAACAAGGACTATGAGAGTGATGAGCCAGGAACCATGAATGAAAACCTATGCATATGTATCATAACACCACAGGCACATAAGCAGAGAGAAAAATGCCTAGAAAGATATTGAAAATATATCCAATAAGGTATAAATGTAAATAGCAGTGGTTAGATTATGAGTGACTTTAATTTTCCCTTCCAATTTAGCTGTATTTTCTAGTTTTTCTGAAATGAATATGTATTATACAATAAAAAGTAATACAAAAAGAAAAAACAAGTTATTTTCTACAGTATCTCATAGAAATCAGAGCACTGCTTTTGTGAGCATAATTTTGTCAGTGAGCCCAAGGGGGTGGCATGAGAGTGTGAAGTGGGGTCTGCAGCAGGCAGCATGGCCACTTGCTGGCTGGTCTCCACCAGCCCTTCATCTCTCTTGGCAGCTGGTCTGGAGTCTAAACTAGGCCCTGCATTGAACTCTGTGGCCCTCAGTCTCCTCCACGTAAAATGAGAGGATTCAGCTAACATCCCAGGGATGGCAAATCAGAGATGGTATGTGAGCTGAAACTTCTCACTGATTCCTTGGGAAAGATCCAGGTTCCTCATGAAAGACGGCCGTAATTGATTATGATATCTGCTATGGCAACCCAGGGCAAGGGGTGCCACCAACCCTCCCAGCTCAGCAGGCAGCAGCAGCCCCGCCCTCCTGGGCTCCCCTGACCTTCCTTCAGTGCCTCAATTATAGCTGTCATTGTGTTTAGCAATTATACAGTGGGAGTTCTGTTGTGTTTATTTTTAAATTGCCAATACCAGACATAGGAATAAATGAATGATGAATGGATTACTCAGAAAACAATTACTAAATGTGAACGCAATTGCTAAACAAAGGTGTGCAGTTTTCCAAGGTACTGGAGGTCTTTGTTTAGACACATCAATTCTGCTTTATTACTTTACCATCTAAAGCATGCCAGGTTGTAAATGACAGTGTAAATCTCCATGACAATGTCAATGTCAATGTCAATGTAAATCTCCATGACAATGTCAATGTCAATGTCAATGTCAATGTAAATCTCCATGACAGTGCTGTCATGGAGACAGCACTGGCTGCCAGTCTGCCATTCATCTTTACCATGTTTGGACTCTCCTTTTATGGTGTAGTGGGTAGAGCACCATGAAGTGTGTGGATCCAGGCTGCGCCCCCTTTTGGCTGGGTTATCTTCAGCACATCACTTTAACTTCCTTGGGCCTCAGGCTTTCTTGTTTATCAAGGTCCCTTCTGGCTTCAGAAACTCCATGCCCTTGAGTTGGCTCTCAGCCTCTGCAGAACTCAGATTGGGGCTATTCTGATGGGAGGTCATTTGTACCTGAAAATTCGAGCAGACTTTGGAGACCCTCACGTCCTACTCTTCCTCCCACATCTTGCACTCATCTTTTCCAAGGAGACTTCTGCCATGCCAGATCTGGAGGTGTCCGCCTCCCTTCTCCTCCCCTCCCTTCCCTCTCACTCTCCCCAGTATCTGTCCTTTTCTCCTCTTTCCTTTTACCTATGGCCCTACTCCACCCTGCCAAGGGCCCCCATGTGCCTTCCTCTCCTCCAGTCCCAGTGGGGAGTTATTCTTGTCCTTCTACCTGTTCCAGCAGGGTCCTCCAGAATCCTATCCCCATACCACCTCATCTCCTCAGGCCCCCCAACAAAGGTGCTCTGAGCTGACTCCTTATCATGGTAGCCGGTTGTGGCACCTCTCCCTCTGCTGAGGGACAGGCACCTGGATACTGTCTGGTTGAGAAAAAACAGCCCTGTCCAGCAGCTCCAACTACTGTCTTCCAGTGTCTGATGCACGATGATGGGAACTGAGCCATGTGCAGTGGCCAAGAGCTTCTCATATTCACAGGCTGTACCCGAACTATCCACCCAGGACTGCAGAGGCCTCCTCAGAGGCTGCCACCTGGCCCCCACCCCAGCTTAGCTGGCCTCATGTTTGTTAGAGGTGTTTCCACATGACAGTGGCATTCTTTTTTTAAGATTTTCTTTTTCTTGAGATGGAGTCTTGCTCTGTTGCCCGGGCTGGAGTGCAACGGCGCAATCTCGGCTCACGCTCACTGCAACCTCTGCCTCCCAGGTTCAAGCAATTCTCCTGCCTCAGCCTCTTGAGTAGCTGGGATTATAGGCATGCTCCAACATGCCTGGCTAGTTTTGTATTTTTAGTAGAGTTGGGTTTCACCATTTTGGCCAGGCTAGTCTCGAACTCCTGATCTCAGGTGATCCACCCGTCTCGGCCTCCCAAATTTCTGGGATTACAGGTGCCCAGCATAAAATAGATTTTCAAGACCCTCAAGGATGCTGGGGCAGGTTCAGCAGCTGGGCGACCAATATCCTTTCTAGGCTCCTCCTGAGAAGTGGCTAAGCCTCCAGCCTGCAGGGTGGTGTGAGTAAATGGGAGCTGGCAGGTGGGCACAGGGCTCCCAATCCCCCTAAATCCTGAGCAGGAGGGGATCCCAGAGACAGAGGGAACACAATGAGCACCCACCTGGCCCGGGACACAGAAGCTTCTAGAAGAGCAGAAAATATGGCCCAGCACATGGCATTGTTTGGAGGCAATGAGAAAGCCCTGTCATGTGCCCACCTCCACCTACTGTCTTGGACCTTCCTGAGACATGGAGACTGGAAAGCCTTGTGGGCACGGTACGGATTTTTAAGTGGCTTGAGCGGGCAGGAGGCCCAGGGTTGTTGGGGAGGCCTCTTCCCCATTGGCGCTGGGCCCTTCATCAGCGATTCTGCTCCCCAGCAGAAAATGACCAGGGGCTCCCTCCCCACACTGGTGGCGTCTGTGGCTGTGCTGGAGACAAGTTGAAGGAGCCACGCCTTGCATCCCTGGAGCCTGACTGTGCCCAAAGGTCCTCCCAGCCTTGCTCTGAACTGGCTCACCACTCAAACCTGCATTACTCACAGGCCGTGCCATCCCCTCTGCCTGGGACAGGAAGCAGAGCCTCCCTGCCATCATCAGCTGATTGCCAAGCGCCAGACCTGAGCCTGACCCAAGTGTTGCCATAACACAGGGGCTGTGGCTGTGCCCTTGTCCCAGAGGAAGAAGATGAGGCCTTGACAGGCAGGCGATGGGTCCAAGGCCACACCACTGGTGGGTTGCAGGGCAAGGCTGGAACCCAGGTCTTGCTGATTCAGATCAGAAGTTAACGCCTACACTGACCAGAGTCAAACACAGAGCTGGTATGTCTCATAGAAAAGGCACAGATTCCTTGTCATTACAAACACTCTGGTTAATGCTCAGATTTTTGATATATCCTGCATGAACCATTTCAGCTCAAGGAACCATGAGTCCAGTGTTAAAAATTATGCAGGAATAAGAGTGACAGATTCTAGACCAAAGACCTGGATTTTAGTTGACTGATTTGCCTTTAGGTGTGGGCCCTTTGGTGTTATTAATGGGGGTGTCTCACATTGGGACTAGAAGGGTGGGCTTTGGAGTCTGCCCAGACTCTTCTAGGCCTCTGTCTTCTTCTGGGAGAGAGGAAAAAGTAGCATCAGTGCTCTCATCGGGTGAGGAGGAAATGAGCAAATGTGTGTGAGATGCTCAGGCCTGCCCAGGATGGACTATGGCTGTTAATATTATTAGTAGTATTAAATGCAATGGCCTGAGGCCAATCACTTAACCTCCATAAGCTTCCATTTCCTCATCTGCAAAATAGGGAAAGAAAAATTGCTGCTGCACTTGATTGCTGTGAGGTTCAAAAGGAAAACCTCTGTATGCTGTAAATAATTACACCAGCCCTTGCAACCAATTAAAATCTTCTCCCTGCTTTAAATGGCTTGATTAGACACTCACTGTTTTCCAAGGCTGAGCATTATTGGGCATTGGCGTGTAGTTTTTAAAGGAAGTGTCTGGACAATTGTGTCTGAGAATGCAGTCTCCTCTCACTCTCAGCTCCTCGGAGTTGGTCTCCTTCTCATGGGCTACATAGTGCATTGTGACCAATGGAGAATACACACCTTTGGGAGAATTTGCGGGCAGGGCCATTTTCAGCCAGTACGATGTCTTTGTGCAAATACAGAAGGGACCTCCTTCCCTGGGACATACAGAGAACATGGGCATGCATGCAAGCTGGATTTCAGCGCCCTCCTACCCCACTGACCATCTCCCTCCTGTGAATGGCAGCCCTGTGTGCACATAATCTGCACCTAGGTTGCAAACTTCAGTGTCCTTGGGGACAGGCAGACGGTGTCAGTGGACGTGAGTGAAGTCACCTGGGTGTGAGGCAGTAGGAAGGGTGGGGACTACAGCCAACTGAAGCGCCCAGTCCAGGAGTTGTGGGAGCAGCTGTGACCAGCTCCAGGTGGCACTGCCAGGTGCAGGTCCAGGAAGGCCAGGCCTTTCCATTTATCTAGAGAAACCTAGATATCTATATAAAGTTTTCCTGCTTTTGAAAATTACTGTGCACGTCAGAAAAACACATCTTCGGGTGGAATATCGTGTGTGGGTCACAGCTGCCCACCTGCTCTATGCAAAGCCCAGTCACAATCTGAATCCTGACACCAGTGAGAGGGGGGGTGCCTCCCTCTTCCCCTCCTTTCTCCTTGTCTTCTCGCCTTCCTTTCCCTCCTTGACCACCTCCTCTGACCCAACCCCAAGGCCTGTGGGCTTCCCTCTCCCTGCCTCAGTTCTCTCTGTTCATGGCCTCCCCTCGGACAACCACACCACCTATCGAAAAACTCTTTGCCCACATCCTCCCTCTTTCCGCCAGATGCTCTCAACCCCCACCCAGCATTAGATCGCTCCCTCCTGACTGCCAGCTCCTTGAAGCCAAGAGACCTTGCCTGACGTGGAATCTGTTAGTTTAAGATATTTCTCTATGAGCAGATCCAAACTCCTCAGCCTGCTCTCTGTGACCCACCTCCCACTGTCTCCCAGGACCCTGGAGCACCTGCTCACTGCTCTCATTGAAGTTATTCTCTGAGCAAAGCCTGACCGTCTTGCTTCTGTGCCTTCATTTTAGTTGTGCTCATTACCTATGATTCCCTTCTTCTCTTGTCGACCAGCCCTGCAAAACTTAACATTTAATTGCCTTAATTCTTCCACTGAATGTCCATGAACAACCTGGCTTCCCTTTCCCAGAATCCTGCTGTTGAGAGAAGGATTCAGGATTGGACCCCAGGAATTTCTTACAGTGGCAGTTATTACCTCTCCAGGGACATAGCCTTTTACCAACTGGAAGTTGCTGGGTGCAGCAGACAGATTTGCATTCTTTGTAGTACTTTGTAGTACTATTTGTCCTGCATACAGCCAGTGGTCACCAAGAACTTAATTCTCACCTAGTGATTTCCATCATTTTTTCTTTCAAGTATCTAGAGGGCCCAAAGTAGCAGCTATGTTTCCTAAATTCAGGAAGCACCACTCCTCTCTGTTGTCTCTTATCCCATATCCTCCGGTGCTGTGTTTCCACGGGATCTTTCCTGGGTGTGCAGGAGGAGCCACGGACTTACCCTTGGGGGGTGAGTGTGGCCTTGTGTTTTGCTGTTGTTTTTGAGTATGCAAGTTCCTGTTCAAGAAAAGACCTTTCCAAAACAACCAGGTGTGCCAAGACCGTGCTGGACACACCAGCTAGCTGCTTGCACACCCATCAGGCCACTGCTGCAGCTACTGCCCCGGGGATACCCGGGCAACCAATACCAACTGCCCAAAAGAGGCCAGCAGGCAAGTGGATCCCCCCACCCCCAAGTATGTCCATAGCCAGGGCCATGTTTTGGGACCCCAGAGAGAATCTCTTCCCTGGTCTTACCCTTCATTTCTCCACTCTCTGTTTTCATCTTTCCATAATCAAGTGAGGGAGTGATGAGATTGGCTCCCAGTCCCTCAGGCTTCTGCACAAGACAGGCCTGTTCCCAGGTGGCTGTTCTGCAGAAAATTCGCATCTTAAGATTGTAAAAGGTGTTACTGGAATAAAAGGATTCTGTGATCAAAGAAGTTTGGAAAACATTAACTTAAACAAAAGTTCATCAGGTTTCTTTACTGCAGGACTTCTCAGAGCCTTTAATGCACTGTGGTTCCCCAAGGGGGTGCCAGGTCACAGAGCATTTTTCAGCCTTTTGCAACTGTGAAATTCATTTGTTCAAGGGGCATCTGGAGTGGATGGTGACGAATGCACTCTGGGAGATGTGGTTGTGCAGGACACACAGCCAGCACTCAGACCCGGGCCTGCCCACAGCACTGGCTCCTCATGTGGCCAGGCCCTCTGCCCCTCACTGAGCCTTGCCGGCTTTGCTGTAATTGTATTCCCATATGTGTCCCGTCTGGCTTGATACAACTCTGGCCACCGACTTCCGGAATATTCCAAGGCCTAGCCCAGGCCTGTGTGTCCTGAGATTACCTCTCGTTGCTGGCAGCCATCTCTATGAATTCAGGAACGAAAATCACAAAGCCAGTGGCAGGGCTGGCAGGCCTGACAAGTCGGTAGGGACCATGCTTTGCCCTTTGTCTGCCCCATGCTCCTGGCTCGGCCAGGAGGCCTCAGGGATCTAGGAATCCAGTCTCTCTGGGTTCACACCACCAGACATTCAAAGCAGAACAAAACACAGTTTCACAATGACTTCGAGAAGTCTGACACGGGTGGACCTTAAATTGCCACCCCATGATTTTAACTATTATTTTCTTTGATTCTAAGATGTCATCAATTGTACGACACACCATTGTTTTAAGAACAGCTTGTAGGGGGTGAACAAAAATGAAAGAAAAAAGAAACACCACATGTAGTGTACCGACTAATTGTAAGACACATCCTGATTTCAGAATAATTAAAATTTGAACAATTGTGTGCCTTGGAATTGAGGAAATACACTATTTCTACAGGTCGGGGTTGGCTTCCTTTTTCATTGCTGCTGAGGAAGCTGAGATGCAGGCTCCAAGCAAGAAGTCAGGAGACTGGGGTGCTGGGCAGGTGTTTGATCTCAAAAAGAAGTCATTGAAGTAGCATGTGGTCAAGCCTGTGCCAGGTTAGGAGGTGCTGGGGTGAAGCTTGCCCTGCCTTTACCCTCTAGTGTGTGGCTGTTTATCCTGTCAAGAGGTAACGTGTCTCCTACAGCTTCCCAGAAGGCAAGGTGGTGTGTGCGCCTGTGTTTTGTAGCTGTCAGAAATAGCTGGACCATTCAAGTGTATGTGAAACCAGCTCTGTAAGCTGTGAAATGGAGCATCATTCTTTTTTTTTCTGCAATGGCATAAACATCGCCACTAATTCCTAAAGATACAATGAAAACAGAAATGTATTAAGAGTATTTTGGAATGACTCTGAGCTGATGACAACCCTTCACTAGCTCACATCATAGGGGGACTCACTCACCTCTTCTTCATCCAAGGAATCCCACCTCCTGCTTCCTGGGTGGAGTTTCCTGGGTGAACCCCAGGAGGAGGGAATCTCCACCGAGGTGGTGATGTTTGAGCTGGTTCTTAGAAAACAGGGGCAATGATGGGGCAGAAGATATTCAACAGAGGAACTGGGGCTGGAGATAAATTGAGGAGCAATGAGAAGTTTGCTGCGAGGGCACGTGAGCTGGGAGGTGGGAGGTGAAGCCCGAGCAGGATTGGAGTTAGGCTGATGGTCTATACCACCTTCTCACTGAGTGATTTTTACATCTTGTTTTCAACAAATCAGCAAAGACACTTTAAATGCTGTCATGAGCTGGCTGCAAGTGTTCAAGTGGTGCCACCAATGCTCTTGGTTGTGCCCGGATCGCGTGCTCCAGAGCAGAGCTCCTGTGCAGCCTGTTACCATGCCCCATGCCCTCCACCTCAGGAGGCTGGGCTCGGTGTTCCTCCTGCTGGCACCTGCTTCCCCCGGGCACAGGCATGGCTAATTTCACTCAGGTCTGGGCCGGCTTCCTTCCCGAACCTCTTACTGTTAAACATGCTCTCCTCATTCTGTCTCCCCTATCATGCCTGTTACCCCGTGTGACACTTGTCATTCATTTGTTTCATTTTTATAATGTGAACTCTGTGGTGGCTTTGCTCAGTCCTGTCTCCGCTGTGCTCAGAATGTGGCCTGACACTTAGCAGAGGCTCTGTGTTGATTGTTGCTATAGAATGACACTGTTCTCTGAGTTCTTCCACATGTATTACTTTGTTTGATTCTCATTCCTTTTCTGATTTGTGGATGTAAAAATTATCTAAAAGACGATAAAAGAATTACCCACGATAGTTATTGCACAAGGAGGGAGAGGGACACGCAACCCCACGCTCTCCCCGCTACAGCGTTAACCTTCAGGATGACACCACCCTCGACACTCACTTCATGATGGCCTGCACATCTGACCTTGTGCAGGAGCCCGCAGCGTGGGATTGAGCAGCCTCCTGCTCCAACCAGCTGACTGCCCCTCAGAGGGGACTGAGGTGACAAAACAGGATCCCATCATTTGGTAAACAGGACTCAAGCATGAAGTCTGAGGGGTGTGGGGAGGTGCAGGGTGGGTAGCAAATGGCTGTGAAAAGCAAGAGACTTTCCACGGGCAAAGCTAAGTCTAGATGTACCCAGATTAGCGACTTTTCCTTAAAAGGTTTTTCCAGCCAGGAGCAAGGGACTGGGTGAATCATCCCTAAGACGGGTGACAGGAGGCAGGAATAAAGCATGAATAAAGCATCAGGAAGGGACTAGGATTTAAAACTGGCCCCTCAATGCTTCTACACTGCTGGTGAGAATGTAAGTTAGTTCAGCCACTGTGGAAAGCTGTCTGGAGAGTTCTCAAATAACTTAAACTAGAACTACCATTTGACCTAGCAATCCCATTTACTGGGTATATGCCCAAAGGAATACAAAATATTCTACCATAAAGACACACACAGGCATATATTCATCACAGCACTGTTCACAATAGCAAAGACCTAGATGCCCATCGATGGTGGATTGGATAAAGAAAATGTGGTGCATATACACCATGGAATACTGTGCAGCCACAGAAACGAATGAAATCATGTCCATTACAGCAACATGGATAGAGCTGGAGGCCATTATCCTAAACAAATTAATGCAGGAACAGAAAACTAAATACTGCATGTTCTTACTTATAAGTGGGGGCTCAACATTGAGTAGACATGGACATAAAGATGGGAGCAGAGGACACTGGGGACTCCTGGTGGGGGGAGGATGGGAGGAGGGTGAAGACAGAAAAACTACCTATTGGGTATTACGCTGATTACCTGGGTGACAAAATTATTTGTATACCAAAACCCCATGATATGCAATTTACTCATGTAACAAACCTGCACACCTACCCCTTGAACCTAAAATAAAAGTTGGAAATAAAAAAAAAACTGGCTCCTCTATCTGGGCTCCTCTCCCTTCTTAAGTCCTAGGAGAGTTGGCCAACGAGGCCCTGAGTCCAGACACGCCCCACCTTGGCCCAGTGTCCACCTGCACCTGCTCACATTCCCATGTGCCACCATTCCTTGATGCAGCTCACTCTCTAGACCAGTGGCTCCCAGCCACTGGGGTGCATGAGAGTCTCCTGAGGAGCCGAGGTACATGTGTGCTCAAGTCAGCATCCAGACCCACTGGGTCCAGTCTCCAGGCTGGCCCAGTTTGAGAGGTGGGTTTAGAGAGTTTCTCTGCAATAGCACTGGGAATACCTACTGCTGATGGAGCACCTAGATGGATGCTTAGACTCAGAGGTGACTCGGAGGGCTTCACAGACATAATCATAAAGATCCTTTGAACACTGAGGCTCATGAAGGTCAAGTCACTCTCCCAAAGTCACTCAGCTGAGAATAGCACTAGGATAAGAACCCCTTATTTTATTTTATTTTTTGAGACGGAGTCTCGTTCTGTCATCCAGGCTGGAGTGCAGTAGCGCAATCGGCTCACTGCAACCTCCACCTCCCAAGTTCAAGCAATTCTCCTGCCTCAGCCTCCCGAGTAGCTGGGATTACAGGCATGTGCCACCATGCCTGGCTACTTTTTTTGTATTTTTAGTAGAGACGGGGTTTCACTATGTTGGCCAGGCTGGTCTCGAACTTCTGACCTCGTGATCCACCCGCCTTGGCCTCCCAGAGTGCTGGGATTACAGGTGCATGCCACCATGCCCGGCTACTTTTTTGTATTTTTGGTAGAGATGGGGTTTCACCATACTGGCCAGGCTGGTCTCGAACTCCTGACCTCATGATCGGCCCACCTCAGCCTCCCAAAGTGCTAGGATTACAGGCATGAGCCACCGCGCCAGGCAAGAACCCCTTATTGACCCCTTAGACCTTCTCTCAACCATCACACCAGCTTGCCATGGAGCCCAGGCTTAATTTACCTTGGTATCCCAGCACCCCCAAGCCCAGAGAAGCACGGGGCTTGGTATATGGTGGGTGTTTGCTATAGACCAAATGTTTGTCTTCAAGTTCAGGTGTTGAAGCCTGATCCCCAGTGGGATGATACCTGGAGGTGGGACCTTTGGGAGGTGCTCGGGTCATGACAGTGGAGCCCTCACAAATAAGATTAGTACTATCATAAAAGAGACACTAAAGAGCTGCCTTGCCCCTTCCTTCAGGTGAGGACACAGCGAGGAGTAGGCTGTCTATGAACCAGGAAGTGGGCCCTCACCAGACACAGAATCTGCCAGCACCTCAATTTGGACTTCCCAGACTCCAGAACTGCAAGAAATTAATTTCTATTGCTCACAAGCCACCCAGTCTATGGTATTCTGTTACAGCAGCTGGAGCAAACTGAGACAGTACTTGACAGTGATTTTCATGAAGGTTCTCCCTTGCTCATTTTTAAGCCCACTGGTTCAGACAGAAGCCTCTGGGAGAGCCCTCCAGAGTCCACCTTGAAGGCTTCATTCCTTCTACCCAGAGCATCTCCGTGGAGAGGAAGAAAAAGCATCAATGAAATGAGGTGCCCCAGCGGTTCTGGGGAGCAATTCCTCTCTTCATATGACCATTTGGGAAACCCCCAGTGAGATGGAGTGTGCTTTTAAGCCATGAAAACCATGCACATCAGCCCCACCACAGAGGTGAGCAGAAATGTAGAATATGGTGTCTCTTTCTCCTCCTTTTATTTTCAGAGAAATAATTAGGGATTCTGTGGTAGGCAGCCTCTAAGATGGGCCCCAATGACCCCCACTCTCCCTGTATCCTCACCCTCATGTCATCCTTTCCCTGTCGGTGTGGACCAGTCTAAGTAACTTGCTTCTATGACTAGAATAGGGCAGAAGTAATGAGATGTCACATCTTCATAGGTTATAAAAAGCACTGTGGCTTCCATTTTGGGTCCTCTGTCCTACTCTCTCCAGAGTCACACGACCCCAGGGTAACCAGCCACATGTCACAAGGCAGCCTGTGGAGACGCCTAGGTGGGGAGGGACAGAACCACATGAGTGAGCTTGGAAACAGATGCCCCCATGCCAGTCAACCTTCAGATAAGACCAAAGCCTCAGGTGACAGCTTGACTGCAGCCTCATGAGCAGCCTTGAGTTACAAGCATTCAGCTAAGCCGTGTCCATATTCCTGACTCACAGAAAGTGTGAGATAACACACATTTGTTTTAAGCTGCCACGTTTTAGGGTGACATGTTACACAGCAATAGATAACTAATACAGCTTCTTAGCCTGGCAAGAAGCAGGAAGAGTTAAGGAATTAAGACAGGGTGATTCTGGTGAAGATGAGAAAGATGCAGATGTCATGGGTGAATGTCTAATACCTGAGAAATTCAGAAAAGGATTTCTAGGGCAACACAGAGTTAGAGCAGAGAAACTGAAGGCCAGGCCAGGCATGGTGTCTCATGCCTGTATTCCCAGTGCTTTGGGAGGCTGAGGCAGGAGGATCATTTTAGGCCAGGAGTTCGAGGTTACAGTGAGCTATGATCACAGCACTGTACTTCAGCCTGGAAACAAAGAAGGCCACTTCTTTGTTTCCAGACTCAAAGCAATTTATTAATACCAACTGCTTTGTCCTCTGACATTCCTGTGATTCCCACTGAGTCACACCTCTGTATTCACGGTGTTTCAGAAATTCCCCAGAATTTACACTGGCAGAGGTGAGGGCAGAGTGAGGGCCTCATTGCTCTGGACGTTGGCGGGGCTGTCCCTCTTGGGTTTATCTGATGTCCACCTTTTAATCAATAATGACTAGCCTATGACAGGGACAAGGCTCAGGTCTAATGTCTGGGCTTATTGGAAGGCTCCTGTTCCTTTTGTTGTCTCTTCCTTCCTCATTCCCAGAGCTGCTCTGAATGCAGTGGGGCACCTGCCTTATCCAGATGTGCTGCTCACAAAATGGACAGAATTCACTGCTCTCTGTGTGCTTTACAACAAAAAATGTTGATAAGTTGCTGTTGGGACCCCTTAAATACACTTCGGGTGAGCAGCGGTTTCCCCTGCCCATCCCAGGCTGGATGGAAGTCATCCCTGCGGAGGGTAAAGCTCAGCCTCAGGGGTCAATCTGGATTTCTGTGGGGGCATCTGAGGAGGCTATCAGGTTCCCCAAATGTGAATTGAGTCCTGGTTCACATCTTGGGTGCTTCACGTCGTCCCCTTCTCACCGAAGGGGAGAGACAGCTGGCTGTGGCTGGCTTCATGTCCTAATTCAACAAAAACAACGCACCTAAGAAAATGCATCTAAATACTTCACAACATTTCCTCCTCTATCTGCAGAGGTTGGAGATGAGCATAGACATTACTGATTTTTGACCCTATCAAGTGACGCCTGCTTGAGGCACCCTGCAGTACCTGCCAGTGCCTTCAGACCTGGAGCCCCCATGGAAAATTTCTGTCTTATTTCCTGCTACCACCACGATCCTTTTCTTACTTCTCAAACCCATCTAAGCCATATTGATAATATTTTGTACCATCAAATACTTTTTGTAGAAAAGCACTTTTTATAAACAAAGCACAACTAAACTCAGGGCAAGAGATGGCTGAACTCATCACCTGATAACCCTTCTTTTCCACCTCCTGCCTCCTCCTGCCTCTACCATGTTGCCTTTTCCACCTCTGTGGCTCATGACCACACAGGATGCCAGGCGAGGTCAAATACAAGGTTGCTAGGAAAAATCAGACAAGAAAATTAAGCAATGGCCAATTCTTGCCAGAAAACACTGTGATACCCCTTTGGGTTTTCATTGCAGGGGTCTTGAGGGCCACCCACACAGGTGACTTAAATCTTTCACTCTCTTATCAGTCTCTTGGGAGAGAATGTGGATCCACTGGAGTGGATGTAGGCCAACCCTCTTCTAGAGAAAAGTACAGCCACACTGGATGGTCATTATCATGGTCCCCAAAGCCTCCATAGCTGGTCTCCCTGCACCGATCGTGTGTTTTACACCCGGTCTCCACCACTCAATGTACCACATAGGGGTTCATTGCATCTGTCACCCCCTGTGTTTTGTCCTTCCTTGTCATCCTGGGGCTCCTGTGGTGCTGGTTGGTGTAGATTGTCACTAGCAAGCAAGAAGGCCCCCCCACCCTACTTCTGTCCTGGGGTCACAGCCTGGCTGGCATTTAGGGCACTTAACTCTTCCAATGAATCATATTCTCCACTCCTGCACATAACTTCCTAGCATGTCTCAGGAGACATGCTGAACTCTCAGTAAACTGCTTTCGGAGAATTATTTAAACACATGAATAAGGATAGAGAGAAATATAACAAATGTCATACGCCCACATGGCTTTATCAGATCTTAATATTTTGCCATATTTGTTTCAAGCCTTTAGAAAAAAACACATAAAACATTACAGACACAGATGAAGGCCTCCTTGATCTCATTCCCTTTCCCTACTCCTCAGAGATGCCACAACCTTAAATTTACTGTGTATTAATCTCAAGCCTGTTTTTTAGATTTTCCTACAGTATTCATTCCTAAGTAATATAAAGTATTGGTTTGTAAGTTTTCCATTTTATGGAAATCTGTCCTGTTGTATCTATCTTCCTGAAACTCATGATTGTTTTTAGATTTATCCATGCAGATACCTGTTGCTCTAACTCCTTTAACTGCTGTATAATACTCAGTCATATGAACCTTATCAGAATTAATTTGTCTATTTTCTGCTGATTGTTTTTCAGTTCCTTTTCAATTTTTCACTACAGATAATGATGCAGTGAATATTTGTGCACATGTGTGAGAGGTTCTCCAGTCTGGATCCATGCTCTACATCCTCACCAGCCCAGTATGAGTTTCTTATGTTTGCCTTTTGTGTCAACACTTGGTAGTGGCAGACAAATGTTTTGGCCAGTCTGATGTGTTGGAGGTTCTGTAGTTGATTTTGAGTGTCAACTTGGCCGGAATGTTTCTGTGAGGGTGTTTCTGATGGGGATTTACATTGAAATTGGTGGGCTTTCAGTAAAGCAGATTGCCTTCCAGAGCCTGGGCAGGCTTCGTCCAGTCAGTTGAAGGCCTGAATAGAGTAAAAGGCTGAGCTCCCTGAACAAGAGGAAATTCTCCAGCAAACTGTTCTTGGGACTTCACCTGCAACATCAGCTCTTCCTGGGGTCTTCAGCCTGATGGCCTTTTGACTTGAGCTGTAGCATTGTCTTCTCTCCGGGTCTCCAGCCTGCCAGCCCAGCATGCAGATTTTGGACTTACCAGCTTCCATAATCATGGAAGAGATATTAACTCTCATAATCATGGAAGTTAATTTCTTAAAATAAATCTCTTTCTATATACATGTAAATCCTATTTGTTTTATTTCACTGGAGAACCCTAATACACAGGTGGCATACTTTTTTGTTTGCTTATTTCTCTGATTACTAAGAGGTAATCATCTAGTCAAATGCTCATTTGCCCTTTGAGCTGCCTTCATCCATAACTTGTTCATGTCTTTTGGTCATTTTTTCCATTGACTTGCCAGTGTTCATGTATTCTGGATTCTGGCCTTTGTCAATTATATGACTGCATTGCAAATACTGGTTTCTGGCTTGACATTTAACATTTTTTATGAATAATTTAAAAATTTTAAAATACAATCCTGCTTACTAAACCAAATAGTCTGTTAATTTTTGCATTAAGGGTCTTTTTGTATATAGTTTAAGAAAATAATTTCTTACTCTGAGTTCGTAAAGATAGTCTTCTACATCTTCTTCTAAATTATTTGAAGTTGTTGCTTTTTACACTTAGGTATGTAATCAACCAAGGATTTGTTTTTACATGTGTGTTGATATAAGGATCTAATTTTATTATTCTTGTATGGATAACCTATTTTTCCTAAGTTATTTCTTGAACGAGCCCACCCCTTCTTTTTACTAATCTGTAATGACTCTTCCGTTATATATGAAATTTCCACAGATGCATAGGTCAGTTTCTGAGTTCTCTAATTTTCTATTGATCTATTCACTATCTATATATCGATATTGTACTATGTTAAGTATTATAAATGTATAATTAGTCTTGATGATTATCAGCTTGTCAAATTTCACACACAAAAAAATCCCCTTCAAGATTTTGGATAGAATTGTAGTGAATTTAAAGAATAATTAGGAGATGATATTGACATCTTTCCTTCCTTTTTTTTTTTTTTTTTTTTTTTGAGATGGAGTCTCACACTGTCACCCAGGCTGGAGTGCAATGGCGCAATCTTGGCTCACTGCAAACTCCGCCTCCCAGGTTCAAGCGATTCTCCTGCCTCAGCCTCCCGAGTAGCTGGGATTACAGGTGCCGGCCACCAAGCCAAGCTAATTTTTTTATTTTTAATAGAGACGGGGTTTCAATATGTTGGCCAGGCTGGTCTTGAACTCCTGATCTTGTGATACGCCTGCCTCGGCCTCCCAAAGTGCTGGGATTACAGGCGTGAGCCACCGCGCCCGGCCTGACATCTTTCTTAAATCAACACTAGTTTTTCCATTTAAGAATGTGGTGAATCACTCCACTCACTAATATTTTCTTTCATGTCCCTCAGCTGTATTTCCAAGTTTCCTCTAAAACCAGCCAAATGAACCAAGAAAAATCAAAACCAAGCAACGTGCACATATTTTGTTTAATGTATGCAGAAAGATCTTATAGCTTTAGTTGAAATATAAGACTCATTCTCCTGTTATATTTTCTAATTGGTTATAATTAATACATATAAATTGTACCCAATTTTGTGTATATATATTCGTTGGACTGTATTTTCATTTGAATAGTTTATTAGAAAATTCTCTTGAATTTTCTATATAGATTATCATATTTCCTGCAGATAAAAATATTCTTGCTTCATTCTAAATTCTTATTCTCCTATTTCTTTTGCTTGTTTCATTGCCCTCAGTACGGCTTCCAGGATACTGATGAATAGACATATTGACAATGGACATCCTCGTCTTGTTACTGATATTGATGGGCATGCTTCCAAAGTTTCACCATTAATTATAATGTTTACTATACACTTTTGATAGATAACCTTTATCACATTAAGGAAGTTCCTTGCAATTGCTATTTTGAGCACTCAGCTCGCTTAAACCTCTCATGATTTTGAAATAAATTCATGTCAGGCTATAAATTTACCTCTAGATATTCTTTCTTTTTTCAACAAGGTCTCACTCTGTGGCCCAGGCTGGAGTGTAATGGCATGATAATGGCTCACTGCAACCTCCACCTCCTGGGATCAAGCAGTCCTCCCAACTCAGTCTCCCAAGTAGCTGGGACCACAGGCACCCACCACCACACCTGGCTAATTTTTTGTAGAAACAGGGTTTTGCATTGTTGCCCAGGCTGGTCTCAAACTCCTCAAATTTCTGTTGTAATTTCTTCTTCAGCCTATTAGTTACTAGGGAGTGAATTTTTTAGTTCCCACATATATGAGTTTGAGACTGTATTTTAGTATTGACTTCTAATTTAATTGGGTTGTGTTTAGAGAATATGATCTGTGTTATTTGATGATTCTAGATATTTGTTGAGTTCTTTGTGACCTAGTATGTGGTCAAATTTTTAAATAATCTGTATATCACCAACTGTTTTTAAATGATCTATGATGACCATTTATGTTTGGCCGCAAAGTTTTACACACACACACCCATTAGATAATGCTTGTTACTTTTGTTTTTCAAATCTTTTATAACCTAGTACTTTTTAAATTGCTTGATTTATCAACTTTTGATAAAGTTAAATGGGTTGTAATCTTAGACTTGTAGTTCTGTCAATTTGCTTACTATATTTTGAGGTGCGTGTATGTTAGACACATACATATACATTTGGGCCTGTGACAGCTTCTGAGTCGGTTGGTGCCTTGATTATTATATAGTCTCTCTCCTATTATAATCTGTCTGCTATTGCTAGCATTTAAATAGTGTATATTTTTCCATTCCTTTATTTTCAGCCTGTGTGATTTCATCTTAGATGGTATCTTGGAAGCAAGACCTACCTGGACTTTTTAGAAATCTAATCTAATCATTTTCTGTCTTGGAGTAGGTAAGTTCCCATTTGCTGTCATTACAGACATACTTCAATTTGTTATTATTTTGCTACCATGTGTTTTGGGTTTTTGGGGGGGGGGGGTTTGGGTTTTTTTGAGACAGAGTCTTGCTCTGTCACCCAGGCTGGAATGCAGTGGTGCAATCTCAGCTCACCGCAACCTCCACCTCCCGGGTTTAAGTGATTGTCTGGGCTCAGCCTCCCTAGTAGCTGGGATTACAAGTGCCCACCACCACGCCCAGCTAATTTTTGTATTTTTAGTAGAGATAGGGTTTCTTCATGTTGGCCAGACTGGTCTCGAACTCCTGACCTCAGATGACCTGCCTGCCTCAGCCTCCCAAAGTGCTGGGATTACGGGTGTGAGCCACCACACCTGGACGTGTTTTGTTTTTAAATTCTCTTTTTTCATCTTTCCTGCCTTTTTCTATTATTCTGTGACCTAATGAGTAATGGAGGGAGCCCCATGAAGAGTGGAGTCTGCCTTCAGGAGCAGACTCTGCCTGGCATCCCAGAGGAGTCTGTGTCTTGAAGCAGTCAGTGCTCCCAGGGCTGAGCCGCTGGCCCTGAACAACCATTCCTTGAATAAAGAAATAAAGAGTGAGGCTAACTCAAGACCCATCCTGGCTCCATAACTCTATTTCCAAAGTCTTTTTTTTTTTTTTTTTTTTTTGCTTAACATTGCAGGGCACCTGCTCTATGCTCACTGCTGGGATCACACAGGGGAATGAGTAGAGCTCTCCCTGGCCTCAGACACCCCCACTTAGTGAGAAGGTTACCTGTGGGGACAACTCCCTTGCCAGGTGATAATAGCTATGATGGAAGCACCCACAGAATGTTTGAAAAGATTTGGCAAAAGTGGGGCCACAGTGTTGCCTTTGGCAACAGCTAGGTGAAGCTGATCAGCAGCCATCCCTTTGGGTAGGTCCATGCTCCATTTCTCCACTGTCCTCACCAAGGCCAGACTAGGTCAGGCAAACAAGGCCCAAGAAGCCAACTTTAAGGAGGCACTCATCTCCCATTGCTAGCCTTGTACTTGCAAAGCCCCAAGAGTGAGTGCTTCCTTAAAACATGCATCCTGGGCACCTTCCTAGCCTTGCCCTAGCCCTAGTCCTGACCCTGGTCTCCAACACTCCCTACTGCCTCCCCAACAGTGAGGCCATGTATAAATGGTCACATCCTGCTTGCTCTGTTGTTTGTCTACTGCTAGAGTTAAGAGGAATGTGAATTTTCTGGTATGCTTGTCTCCATCAAAACTGAGTAAACAAAATATAAACCAAAAAGAGTCCTGGACTTCACCTGCCTGATTCACCTATTACATTCCCCATGGTCTTGAGTTTGAGAACCTGAGGTTCTCAGCCTGATTGCAAGGTCCTTGAGTGCCAAGGGCAAATGTCCCATAGTAGGAACTTTAGTCAGAGGAGCAATGGGAACAAATGTCTTTTAGAAAAATAACCCTTGCTTTGGTGGTCTGAGAGCTGATGTGGACTGAGAAATTGAGAGTCTCCTGCAAAGGTGAGGGCATAGAGAGGGGAGGGTGAGGGCAGCTGTGCTCACTGCAGGAGTCAAAACAAGGTTGGATGAGGTAGGACTTAAGAATTACTAGATGGCTCTATCAAGACTTCCTGGTCAGTGGTGAGGCTTTAAACAAGAAAGGAGTACGGAAGAAAGTGGACATTTGCTTTGGGTAAGCTGAGTTTGAAGTCAGGACATCAGAGTACACCGGCATCACAAGGACCATTGCTGAGAGGACTCCCACCACCATACAGACCCCTCCCTCCACTCTGGGCTCTCTCCAGGGCAGGAGTCCCACATGGCTTCTCAAGTGTGCCTCTGCTGGAGCCCAGCATAAAATATCCCCCAGCCGGGCAGCCAGGTTAACTTATTGTTAGCAGGCTGAAAAGGAGGCTGTTATTTCACAGCAGAGATAAAAGTTAATCACAGATTAGGACTGCCCAGAAAATATTGATGACTTCATCCACCTGAGTACTAGCCTGGGGGAAGTGTTCACCACTCCTTAGTTGTCAGACCAGTCCAGCCAGTTCCCTGACTCCCTCTTTAAAATGCAGGCCCAGACTTTAACAAAAGCCTGGACCCATGAATAGACAGCATTCATACGCGGGTTCTGAGTCATCCTGCAGACCTACTGCGTGCCCTGCCTTCTAGACTTCTGATTGGAGAAGGTCTCCGCTTACCTTCCGCCCTGCCTTGCCACTGGACCCTCCCTCCCACCCTCCCTCTCTCATTACAACTTTTATCTGGCGGCACCATCACCCTGGGAGACTCCAAAACAGAAAACCAGACAGACAGTGGTTACAGAATAAAAGACCTGTGTTTGCAGGTAAGGGGATTTCTCCATTCTGACCATCCAGATTGAGGACTAGAGAATCTATCTCTTTGGGTAAGATGAAAATGGATGAAATTCAAGCTGTGTTTGAAATAAAGATTTCATAAGTTATTATTGTTGGTTCCAAAGTATTAGGCAAAAACTGCAGGGGTACCTGGGGAGCCCACAGAGCAGGACACAGGAAGCAGAAACCTCTCTTAGGATGGTACAGGCAAGGGCACCAACTCTGTCCTCCTGAACTGGAGGATCACCTTCACACATTAAAGTTGTGAGCTCAGCTGGGTAAAATGCACACTACACAGATACCCCTGAAGCATGCGACATTCCCCAACACCCCCAGCTTTGGCTGTAACAGAACTAGTGTGGATGCCAAAACAAGATGCCCCACATGGTTAAAGAATCTGACGACTCTTTTTGTAGAGGAGTAGTCGACTATGTCGTTGTTATTCCCAAAGATGGAAGACAGAATCATCAGAAATTACAGTGACAGGGGTTTCTGCTCGGTAGTATGCCGAAAAGGTAAGGTCCAAACCCTCAGTCTCGCTTTCAAGGCCCTCCATGACCCGCAACTCCCCTCCTCCTCCTCCTTTTCTTTTCTAAGCTTTTTCTTATTATTGCCCTGCCCAGGGCCTGCACCCACCAACTGTTCCTAGTATCATTGGTTGATGATACCATGAACGATGAACCGTGGGGCTGGCCTTCTCTCCAGCTCAGAACACACTTGCTTTAGCTCAAGACTGTCCAACCCAAGCCCGCAGGATGCACGTGGCCCAGGACAGCTTTGAATGTGGGCCAACATAAATTCATAAATTTTCTTAAAGCATTATGAGACTTTTTGCTATTATTTTTGTTGTTCTTCATCAGCTAACATTAGTGTTAGTGTATTTTACGTGTGGCTCAAGACACTTCTTCTTCCAATGTGGCCCAGTGAAACCAAAAGGTTGGACATCCCTGCAGTCTTTATGCTCGTCTAAATGTCCACTTCCTTCAGGCCCCAATGTGTCCCAGCTCCTCTAAGAAGCCTTCCTTGGGTTCCCACTCCCTTGGAACTTTTCTCTTCTGACCCCTCCCCTAGCCTACGTTGGTCCCCCACTCACTCATCCTCTGGGCCAGTCATTTGGCACACAGTACACGTTGTGTTTCTGTGGAAGCCCTATGGGGAGAGAATGGGTTGTGGGGGCCAGGATCTGGAAGCTTCCAGTGGATGAAGAGGATGTCAGTGCTACTACCAGGTAGGAAGGCTCCGGATTACTAAGAACCAAAGAGGTGGTGTTCCAGGGGTCAAGGAGAGAGAGAGCCCAGAGTGTGCAGGCCACTCAGAATACGCAGGGGAAGAGCAGGATTTGATTCAGGAGCCGGTGGGACCCCAGGAGAAGACAGGGAGACTAAACTGTCACCCTCCACCACAGGGAGTTGAAAGGCACAAGTGCGGACAAGAGGATCAATCAAAGCTCCGTTCTGTTCCCAATCCTTCCAGTCCCGATGCTCCAGAGAGCAGGGGAGGCACCTGTACACAGGTACTGGGCATGATTGATGAGGCAGTGCCCAGGAGCCCAACTTCCTCGAAGCGAGAGAAAGGACAGAGATGCTAAGATCTGCACACTTCCACATTTTAGAGAATTTGGGAGACCCATGTTGGATGTGGACCGTGGTTCTTATTTGTATTATTTTCTGAGTGGTAGATGTGCTTAATCCCAGCACCTGCCTAAACTGATGACAACAGCGGCTTTCCTACTGGAAGGACATTGCCACTTGATAGCATATGCTGTACCTCGCTTGCATGTCCCTGCTTCCAAGCTTTGGGGATTTCTAGGATTGTTTTCTCCTAGTTTCCTTGTGTCACGTGGGCTCCTTTATAAAATATCCCCATATAATAGTGCATGATGTGCTCTATTACAAAACACAGATGTGTCTGTCCAAGACAGCCTGGGGGCAGCGAGCTGGGGCGTGGCAAGGAGACGAACTGGAATGACGGGAGAGCCCTAGTGGATGCACAGTGCACCGCTCTTACACCACAAGCCTCCCGCCCCAGCATGATTTAACCCGTGAAGAAAGCAGAGCATTTAATATGTTCTACAGATGTTTTAAAAAAAGAATAACGGCGCTTGTCCCAAGTGTGGGATGGAGGCACACACTCTTCTGAGATGTGAAGCAAATTTCATATCTCAAAAGAGAAAAAGGACAACAGTTCCTGCTCAGTCACCAAGTCTGATTCTCAACCCTGGAACGCCTCAGCCTGCCTGAGCCCAGAAATGAGGCTCCTTGTGAACACTATGGAAATGCAATGGCTGTTTTGATTTTCCATAACGGACAGCACACTGGTCCGGGAGGCATATCCAATCTAAATGAACTAGCATCTGTGAAACTTCCTAGCACAGTCCCAGCACATCGCAGGAGCTGAACTAATGTTCTTTTCCCTTCCCAAGGAACCCTGAAGCCTTTGAAGGAACCGTGATTGGGAAGGCATCAACATTTGCTTTTCGCTGGTATAAATTTGGACCACTGGTCTGCCCGGGGTGTCCCCTGCCAGTGGTCGTGGACTGCTAGGGAAGCACAGCACACCCCCCAACACCCCCCCGCAAGGAAGACCCTTCATTGCCCACCAATGTCCTCTTTCTGGCGTCCCTCACATTCCTGGCCGAGACCCTCCCTTCAGTCACGCCATGAGGTCAGGGCCACGGTTGCCATTGTCTGCTGGAAGCCAGTGCAGCACTTGGAGCTTAGAAGATGCACACAACTCTTTGTTAAAGAACAAAGAAATGGGAGAAATTTTTTAAAAGAAAATAAACAGAGAGAAAGAGGGTGAGACGAAGACTGTGGCTGAGGCTTTGTTTTCAGGCCGAAAGCAGGACACTCAGCTCATTCTCAATGAAACTTCAACATCGATAATTCAAATGTCTTAGAAATTGTACATTGGAAGGGGAAATAAAATGATTTTTCAGCTCTTTTAGGCTTACAGATACCTAAATGAAGCATAGATTGTAGAATGTTGTTCAGAAGGGAATTAAATTTGGATTTCATCCTTCCCAGGGACTGGGGGCACTGCTTGTCACTTTGACTCAAATGGAGAGTCCCTGCCACTGCTTGCTTGCCTTCATCTGACCACAATGTGCTAAGCGCCCAGCCCCAGGGTATAGCTGAGCCCTGCACCAGCTGCAGTGAACCGCTTGGCCGGGTGCCCTCTTAGATCCTCCCTGCCCTGTTCCCTGGCTCTCTGTCCCCTGCGGTCCTCTTCTCTAGGACTGTTGAAACTTCTCCGCATCTGGTCAGCTTCACACAAAAGGGCTCCTATTTTACAGGCTGAGAGCCCCTTCCTGTGTGTTGGCAAAACTGACACATCGCATTGCTTGGGTTTAATCTTCAGGTACTTTTTCTGTTTTTTTACCTATAAAATTAGTATAAGCATATGCTCCCGTAATCAACACAATTTAGATAAAGCAAGAGTTCCTCTGGGCCCTCCCACTTCCATTTGCATTTTCTTTTCTGTGGACTAACTGGTCATCTTCTTTATCCACTTGTCTATGAGGTTGTTGATCTTGGTCTTTTTTCTTATTAACAGATAGGAGTTCTTCATAGAGCCTAGATAACAATCCAGAATTCATGTGTATACGCACGCATTTATCTATATGTATATGTATAAGCACATTACACACATACATTTGCACACATACAAATGTTAGAAATATCTTCTCCAACTCTGTTGCTTGTCTTTTATCTCAGCTTATAGAGGTTTCCGATTTTGAATCAGAAGTTTCACATTTCGTTGAAGGTAGACATCACTCTTTCTCTATTTGCTTTTGTGATTTGTGTCTTGCTCAAGGCCTTCCCTGTCCTACCCCCATGTCATAAGCATGTTCTCCACTATTTTCTTTCAGTCCTTAATCTTTCTTCCGTAGGTAGCCAATGTCCAGCACGTTTGGTAATGACACCTCCTCGGTGAAGCGCAAGGCCACCTTGACCCCAGCTCCCATGGGTCTGTCTTCAGGGGAATTTTGAGGTTGTTTTTGCTGCAGGGTGTCAGGAACTCCTTCCTCTCTGATTCTTGGAAAAGTTTACTGTTTGCTGCTGGCTTTGTGGTCTCTCCTCCCTGCGCAGGTAGGGTGTGGAGGGTAATCAGAGTCAGTCCAGAGGTTGCTCAAAGTTTCAGTTTATCTCCAGCCACTATTTGCTAACTCATCTGAGAATTCTGCCAAGATAAACATCAGACAGACCCTCCTATGGTTCAATCAGTCTGCTCCTGGGAAAATTAGGACATGTGTCTGCCCGGCTCTGCTGGTGTTCCTGAGAGTGACTGGTCTCTGTGTGACCTTTCATTGGCCAGGCTCCCCCAAGGGAAACGTCCACCAGCAGAAAAAGTAGGAAAAAAAGCCCTTTATGCAGAGAAAATACACTGCAGAAACAAACATAGTCTAACCCTGCCTTTTAAAACATAGCTTTTAGACTGAAAGAGTTCACCCTTCCTCTCTCCACCTGGTCACTCTTGGGATGACAATTTCAAATCCCACATAACATTCACAGTGTGTTATTCCCATGCAATTACCTTGTTAGGTTTCATACATTTAGAACACGGAGCGGGACAGGGGATGCTTCTCCACAGTCTCTTCGTTATTGGGACATACTCCAACGCTCAGACAGCTCCACAATGCACCTTTCTCCCACTCTTCATTCCTTTTCTGGCAACCCTCTTTCTCTCTCAGAGGATTTTAAAAACATGTCTTGCTACAAAAAGCAAAGAATGACAGTTGCTTCAGAAAAATACCCAACTGAAAGATCCACTCCCTGACCATGGAGAGCTCACTACAGATCTAGAAACGCGAGGCAGAGACTTGAAGATGCTGCACACATCCTGTGTGGGAGTGGGAGAAAAGCTGCTGCTTCCTTAGCATTAAAACAGACAGGGTCATTTCAGCCTTGCAGGGGATGACCAGCCCTCACTGGAATTATGTGATGGCATCACATTTGCTCCTCATGTAAACATTCCAGCGGGAGAACGACTGCTCCCTGAAGACACTCATGGTGTGATAAACAGCAGTCAGTGGAATCAAGGCAGGGGCGAGGTCCTCTTCCTTCTGCCTCCTTCTCACCATGGCACCTTGAGAGAGGCCCTTTGTCCCTCGGGTTTTTCCATTTTCTCATTTGCAAAATGAAGAGGATCCCATCTACACCGTCGTGTTTAGAAATGACACAAGATCACAAAAACCTCTGCCGCCTCGAAGATACAGAATTGCTGGTGAGGCTCGTTGTCTGAGAGCCGGGCTCTGCTCCCCTCGGGGCCAAGTCTACCAATTGTTCTTTGGAAAACAAAAGTTGGAGGCATTAAAACTGGGCTGTTCCAAGTGTTCTTTACGTTTTATAAATTTTATAAGGTGAAACTCAATATTTAGATGATTGGTAGAAACGTCTCTTGGGGGCTTTATGGTTTTCTAACCTGGAGTGGGGGGACATGTTACCTCGGCAGGAGCATGTGGGCTGAGAGGAGGGAACCACATCAGGGAGGCCGGTGACTGGAGAGGGAAGTCCTCCTCCTGTGGAGGGCCTGGCCCTCATGGATTCCCCACTTCCAGGCAACTTTGTGACCTCAGAGAAGCTAACCTGATGTGCATGCTACTGACGTTGCCCATGCCGCTCCTGCTGGCTGATGGAACTATCTGTCTGGAGTCTGTGGATGGCGGACCTCCTGATTGTGTGGAGCGTGAGTTTTTCGAAAGAGATCTCTCACTTTCATCCAGGCTGGAGTGCAGTGGCACACACCACCACACCAGGATAATTCTTTTATTTTTTGTAGAGACACGGTCTCACTATGTTGCCCAGGCTGGTCTTGAACTCCTGGGCTCAGGAGGTCCTCCTGCCTCGACCTCCCAAAGTGCTGGGATTACAGGCGTGAGCCACTGTGCCCGGCCTTGGAACATGATTTGTTAAGGTACCTCTGAGGTGAATTAGAAAACCAGTTCAGGAAGTTGGAAAGGAGAAATTCCTAGAATCCTGTGTAACTGCTGGGTTCACTTAGTATTTCCAGTGCCAAGAGGGACCCGAAGTAAAGAGGAGCAGATGACATGGGAGTCTTGCCAAATAGAGAGACAGGGCCAGGGTGCAGGGGAGGTAAGGCTCTGTGCCCAGGTGCGGGGGAGGGAGGAAGCTTCTGGAAGTCCTCTGGGATTGTGGTGCCCATTTCTTTTGCTAAAGCCAGTGTTAACAAGGGTTTCAGTCCCAACCATGCCCCATACCCTGGCTCCCCGATCCTGCCCCAGCCCAAGCTTCCCTGCAGTGGGTTTCACCCCGTTTCTTCTCTTGCACTTGCCTCTCCCCTGCTACCCCGTCAATGATATCATCAAAGAAATTAGACCCGGATTGGTCACTGCAGTACATGACTGCATGCAGTACATGGCGAATTCCACTTCACTAGCCCGATAGGGTCATCTCTTGTAGTTGCCTCAGCTGCAAAGTAGGGTTAATAATGCCAGCCTGGCAGACTATGTGATAATACTTAGTAAGAGGACTCAGGTTAAGAACATTCCTAAGGTGCTCTCCAAAGAATCCCAGGGACTGTGAATGAAATGTTAAAATAACCTTTCTCCCTTCCCTGTCCCTGCATCTCATTTATCCTTGAGAGAAGGTCAATGAGGTGTTTCCCCGAGGCCAACTTCCAGGTAACACAAACTTCAAGGGGGTACCTCTAAGCACTTAAATAAATCACGTTATTCTTCTAGCATTTTATGTGACTGTAATTCTAGAACTGTACACATTTCCTGCCTTTAGAAGTAGTGTACAGGGAATTGGGGTGAAGGGTTTTCTTCAGGACTCAGGAGGGCAGGTGACAGGACTCTCCCTGGTGTTGTGGTATGCAAATGAGCCCCCGCCCATCAGTCCTGGGCCCTTCACCATGCAGACCAAGACTGGGCATCATTTTGTGTGAATTCTCTCCCTCTTTTTTTTTTTTCAGTTTACTTGAAGGCAATTTATTAATAGAAAACATTTTGAGGAGTCCTGTTCACAGATGGTGACCATGGCAACCCCCTTCCTGCAGGTGCTTTTGGAGGGGATGGCAGTGACATCCTCAATCCACCTGATCTTCATACCTGAGCAGGCCCCAGGTCCAGGGATCTCAGTCCTATTTCCATCTGTGGCCTGGAGTTTGATGTAGGCCAGTGGTGTCTGGCTCCTTGCACCTCTAGGCCACATCCTGGGTGGCCAGCGTGGCAGCATGTGGAGAGGATTCATCTGGCCACCCTTTACCTTCATCCCACCAGTCACACAGCACATTTTTTTTTTTTTTTTTTTTTTGCCAGAAAGATCAGTGACATGGACAAATGTGTCATTGAAGGATGCAAAGATATGGTAGATGCCAAATACATTCTCTCCTTCAGCCACCTGAAGTCCGGGGCTGATGATGTGTTCTTCCTTCTTTTCCTTCCCCTTTCAAGGTGTCATTTCTGTGCATTATCTCCAGACTCTGCACCAAAAAGCCCTGTGAGTTCTTAGATCTGCCTTTGAAGTCCCTTTTCTTTCTGTGTCCTGTTGCCGGCTGCCATCTCTGGCTCTCCCTGCCTCCTCTTGGCTCCCTACCCTACCTTAGCTCTCAACTGCTCTTTGAGGAAAACTGAGGGTAGTCAGAATGGCCTTTAATAGGGAGGGGTTGATGAGTTTGCAGCAGCTCAGAGGCTCTCAGTGTCTGAGTCCTGCATTCTTAGCCCTGAGCAAACACAAGCTGTTGCTGTGGGTCTAAATGCCAGATCCAGAGGCCCTGGTTGCATTTGTATAATACACCTCCCACTTTGTGGCTGGGTGTGTCCTCGGATTTATTTTAGAATAGTCATTATCTATTTCCGTGGGGAATTGTGCTACTAGCATGGCCACTTTATTGGAAGATCCAATAAAGAAAGCAGTGGGTGGTCTCTTGAACTTGGGTTATAATATAATCGTATTACAATAGGAGGCAGCATAGTTTAGCGGCTCAAAGCTTAAGCTGCTGCTTGGTCGTGCCATTACTAGCTCTATGCAGTTTTTGTCCTCATTAAATTACTATATGCAAAGAGATGAGCAGAGCAGAGCAGAGGCCTGCATCTCTGCTGAATCCTGTCAAGTCCTCATATGTGGGCCTGGCACAGATTATGGGACTGAGAGGATGCCCACCCCTCCCAGGAGAAGTGGGGAGGTGCATTGCCCCTGGAAAGCAGGGTGAGAGGGGCAGGGAAGGGGTGGAAAGCTGTCAGGACAGGGGGGCCTAGCTTCATGGTGGCTTTGTCACATCCCATATTTAGCCCAAGATGGGGCTATTTTGGAGCCGATTCAGTTCCTGGGGATATTTTTTTCTTTTTATAAGATTCAGAACTACTCTGAGCTAAAACCAATCTTTATCTGTAAAACAGAAATAATAATACTAGCTGCCTAATAGGGCTATTGTGGAAGTTAAATGGAGAAATGTACATCAAAGGCTAAAAACAGGGCCCAGGCAGGACAAGCACTCAACAACAGCTAGCACTCAACAACAAGCACTCAACAACAGCTAGCACTCAACAACAGCTAGCACTCAACAACAGCTAGCACTCAACAACAATCACTCAACAACAGCTAGCACTCAACAACAAGCACTCAACAACAGCTAGCACTCAACAACAAGCACTCAACAACAGCTAGCACTCAGCAGCTAGCACTCAACAACAAGCACTCAACAATAGCTAGCACTCAACAACAGCCAGCACTCAACAGCACTACACAGTGTTATATGTTATTGAGTGCTTATCCTGTCCTGGGCACTGTTCTCTGAGGACTCTGTTCTTTGCTATCTTTGACAGCATTTCTTGAATCATTTTTGAAAATTATTTTTGCCTTTCTTTTTTTATGAAATACTATCCCTATAGCCACCAGACACAGAGCAATGGGATAAGGGTCTTTTTCTTCTGTTTTTAACAGCACAGACTTCTTAGCAAACCTTTCCTGGCCTTTAGAGTGGCCTCAGAAGGACACTGTGTTGCATTCGAGGGTTGTATATCAGGCAGGCCTTTAATACTGGTTGACACTTTTTGGGGTTTCATGGCACTAGAGAGACCACTTTGTGTTCCTCCTGAGGAGTAGACTGAATCAGGCTGTTGGGTGGAGGTGACACTTCTCTGTAGTCCCCTATAATACCCCAAGAACCCATGCATTGTTCCCCCACAGAGGTCTTCACATGGCAATGAGAGGAGGCAAACTCTTGTGAGACCTTGGAAGAAATATCAATAGTGTTCAACAATCCTGAGTCAAGATGAGAATTCTTTTTAATTTCACAGGAACCCTGAGTTGAAGGAAGCCCTGCTCATCCTGTTAACATGGTGGTGGCTGCTGGGATCAGAGTCAAACAGCATACTGAATAGGCTCTGGCTCTCTTCTGACTCAAAAATCCCAGAGTAGTCTTGGACCAGGTCTGAAGAAGATGCTTTATATGCTGCAGAACAGGATGTATTGGGCTTTTGGATCTTTTCATTAAGAATGTGTAACTATTACCTCACTGTAGGGTGAACCTATGCAACTAAAACTTGAGGCAGGATGCATTCTTCTGTCTCTTAGGACAAACCTCTCCAGAAAGTCTCCTTGGAAGTGAGCCATGGGGCATGGTGTTGTAGTTGGAGAGCCAGCCACGCTGTGAGGGAAGAGAGCGCTGCCATGGTCTGAATGTTTGTGTCCCCCCAGAATTCATATGGAGAAACCTAGCCCCCAGTGAGGGCATTAGGAGGTGGGGGCTCTGGAAGGTGATTAGGTCATAAAGGCAGAGCTGTCATTAATGGGATCAGTGCCCTTATAAAAGAGGCCCCAGAGAGTTTGTTTGCCCCTTCCACCGTGTAATGATACAGCAAGAAGGCACCATCTATAAACCAGGAAATAGGTTCTCATTAGAAACCAAATCTGCCAGTGCCTTGGTCTTGGACTTTCCAGCCTCCAGAACTGGGAGAAATAATTTCTCTTGTTTATAAGTCACCCAGCTTATGGCATTTTGTTACAGGAGCTCAAATGTGTTAAGACGGTAGCACTTAGAATCAGAGGCTTGGGGGCATGCTCCTTGAAGTTAAACTTGGCTTGTGACTCACTTTGGCCAATGAAACGTGAGTTGCGGTAATGACGTCTCTTCTGGGAACAGACCTGCAAGCCCAAGGCTTGATACACCATGTCCCCTTTCCCCTGCCACAGAGACTGATGGCACTACTTTGGGGGATTCTTCCAACCAACACTCCTAAGTAAAGGTGACAGAGAATAGAACCCTGCTGAGTCAAGATGGCCATATAGCATGCACAAGAGATAAATGTGTGCTGGGCGCAGACATTGAGTTTGGGTTTATTTTTTACCAGAGCATAACCAGCCTGTCCTGGCGGATATAGTTAACAGCCAACAGTATCCCCTAAATGCCACATTTTACACACGGCCAGTGGAGCCTTATAAATTTGAGAGCTAGGAATCTTCCCATTTTACAGATGAGAAAACTGAGACTCTGAGCAGTAACAACTCACACTTGATGCTGAAACTGGAACCTTAACCACCTACCACCACCTGCCAAGCCTGATCTGTAGCAGGCAACCAGCACATTCACACTGAATCTCACAGACATTCACTCTGGGCTGAGCAGACATTGGCAGACACTGACCCCTTCGTTTGTTTCTGAGGCAAGAAGAGGCATTTCTCATGGGAAAAGGGTTGAGGACAGGAAAGAGGGCTCCTAGGAAACACACCCATCCATCTAAGTCCACAGGAGGCCAAGTCAAAGGTGTAGGGTCACTCTATACCCATTGCTTGGCCCTACTGTGCCTGGAATCCCCCAAGAAGCCACCAGAAACAAAAACTTCTGGGAAAAGAGACAGTGGGAATTTCCTCAGACAGTAATGAGTTATTCTGGATCAAATGCCCACTGGGCCAAGAAGGTGAGTCACCTAGTCAGTTTGGACTGCCATAGTGGAATACCATTGATGGGATGACTTGTAAACAACTGAAAATTACTTCTCACAGTTCTCAAAAGTCCAAGATCAGGTCCCAGCATGGCCGGATTCTGGCAGGGACCCTCTTCCAGGTTGAAGACTTTAACATCTCATTTTCTTGCATGGTGGAAAGAGAGTGAGAGAGCTCTCTGGGGTCTCTTTCATAAGGGCGCTAATCCCATTCATGAGGGCTCCACCCTCGTGACCTCATCACTTCCCAAAGGCCTCATCTCCTAATATGATCACCTTGGGGGTTAGGATTTCAACATATGAATTTGGCAGGACACAAGCAGTCAGTCCATAACTGTGACACACAGGAGAAAACTGCAGGCCAGCCAGGGAGAGTGGCAAGGAAGGGAACAGGTGCTTCCTCTCCACAGGGCAGCTGCCATTCTGCTGAGCATCTGCAGGTGGGAAGATGGCCAAGTGTTTCCAGAGCATCCCATTTTCCAAGACAAGTTGGAAAATATAGATTTTCTTTTTAACATGAAAGGTCAGCTCCTGATCTTTAAATCTTGATAGGTCATTAAACAACTTAAAATGCATGTGTGCCAAGCAAAACACATTCCAGACTGTAGCCCCCAAGCCTTCAGTCTGTGACCTCTGGAAAGATCTAGCATCATTTTGCTGCTTGAAGGAATGTTACTGGGGGCAGAATCTCCTCATCTAAACAAGGAATATGTCCGGAAATGCTGTCGCCCGCCTGACATGTGGGTGGAGTTGGCTGCCATCTGGATCCGGGTGTTTCAGAACCACCACCTGCTGCGAGGTGTCTGACATTCCATAACTAGGGACTCAGTTCTTGTTTGGGGGCACTGTCTCCTGGTTAAAAATAAATGAACCTTGACTGCCTTCTCAATAACTTTTCCCTTAGAAAAAAGCAGTAAGTATGAAGACAAGACCCTGAAGTTTGGCCAGTGGGTGAGATGCTGCAAAGAGGGTTCCCTGGGATAGGGCAGAAGAGGAAGGAAAAAGTAGCTGGGTGTGTGTACCAGGAGGACTTGCCCCAGTTCATGGTTTCCACTCATGGTACCCAATGTTGGCCTCCAACACACAATCCTGAATTCCCAGCAATGGCTGAGAAAGGTGCATGGGCCTTCAGGGAGAGAGACTTCAGCTGGGCTGAGGAAGCTGTTGAGGTAGAGCCTCTCAAACTCAGTTTTCTCAAAGGCACGCAGAATTTCCATCTGTGGCTATTTGTACTAATGATGATGTGCCCTCCACACACGCGTCTGTTCAAACTCTCATTAATTTTAAGCAGGCTGGGAGAAGACAGCCTGTACACACTGAGAGAGTCAATATACAGACAATGTCAAGACCATATAGAAAGACAGGACTCTGACCCGCAATCTGTAGCAATCAGCCCAGAAGCCAAACAACAGCTCCTATAGCAATCAGCCCCAAAATTCTAGGACTCGATTAATAACTGACCGATTCCTTAGGTTTTTTTGTTTTGTTTTGTTTTTGTTTTGAGATGGAGTCTTGCTCTGTCCCCCAGGCTGGAGTGCAGCAGCATGATCTCAGCTCACTGCAACCTCCGCCTCCTGGGTTCGAGCGATTCTGCCACCTCAGTATCCTGAGTAGCTGGGATTACAGGTGCACACCACCATGCCCAGCTAATTTTTTGTATATTTAGTAGAGACGGGGTTTCAACATGTTGGCCAGGCTGGTCTCAAACTCCTGACCTCAAGTGATCTGCCCACTTCAGCCTCCCAAAGTGCTGGGATTACACGCATGAGCCACCATGCCCAGCCTGATTCCCTAGGTTTTTGTCCCCACTTCCAACTTAGGACCAATGAAAGAAAGCCAAACATGCTCCCTAACCAATCACATGGGAGTCTCATTTCTTATAGCCACCTTCATTTTCCCCAGGCCAACACCCTCCACTCAGGGCAACCCGAAGGCTTCCTTTCTTTCTTCTTTGAGGCTTTCCCACTCCCCTACCTGCCTCTGAGTTTCTGCCAAAACACAAGGGATGGTGGCTGACTCCCTCGCTAGCACAAGCTCTGAATAAATAGCCTTTGCTCCTCATTTGGCTGGCTTTTGTTCATTTCCACAGCTCACAGTTTAGTTGGGGGTTGGGGTCACTCCAGGTAGGCAGCATTGGCCAACGTGGTTGATTAAAATGCACCCCCACACACTAACTCTGCAGAATGCACTTGGAGGAGGCAGGTTTGAAGGGATTGATGTACTCATCTGTTCCAGATGGAGGGCAGAGAGGCTCAAGAGATGTTTGAAATCATTGTGTTTTGACCAGAAACTTCATTAGCCTGAAGACAATGGGGCAATTGTCCTGGGGCAGACAAAGCAGAGTGCTGGGGACTTGGATAAGCTGCCACCTGAGCTGTCTGGGCACAGATTTCCACAGGCCGATGCCCGGCGGTGAAGAAGGCAGTTCTCTTCCTGTGAAAGGCAGCCACTGGGGGTGGTGGCCACTCAGTCCCACTGGAGGGGGCCAACATGGACAAGTGGCCCTGTCACCTCCTTGCTGGGGCAAGTCACCAATGTTTTTAGCAGGCAAGAGGCATCTCAAATTAAACCCAACTAAAAGAGATGTGCCTTGGGAAGGGAATGGCATTTTCTAGTATAAGAACAAAATGTTGTCATGGACGGAGAGCTTTAAAGACATGATACCTTTATTTTGCAGGGAGAAGCAGTTGGAAATGAAAGAAGTTGAAATGTACAATACTAATTGAAAAGAATTGGGATAGCCCTGAAATGTATTCCCGGCCCCCTCTCTCACCAGTTTCTGATATTTTGAAAACTTCAGGAGATAAATTCGAGTTTTTCTCCAGACATGGCTCTACAAAGAATCACATTTAGAGGCACTGCTTGGAGCTTGGCCAGTTAGGAAGAAGGGTGAGGAAGACTCCGCACCAGAGCCCTGTTGGTCCTGGCACAGGCCCCCATAAATAGGAAGAGAAGGTGCTAAAATACCTTTGTTCTTTTTAAAGAAGGGCTGCCAATTACTTCAACCAAGGTCCTGATTCCACTCCTGCTAATTAGGCTGACATCACAGAATTTACCAGAAGAAAAGTGGCCTGGAAAGCCACTCTCCCCGTCTCTAGGTTTCTGTGTGATCATGTGACACAGCAGTTACTATGGCGATTATCAGTCTTGAGTGGATTGTCCACAAGTTAAACTTACATCTGACAAGTCAAATTTGTCAGTTTGGGGAAAAAGTAAAGTGGGTTACTTTTTTTATTTTTCCTTGAAGAGATTTTCTTGGCTCCTGGAGATACCTTCTCCCCCTTTCTAGCTGACAGGTTTTTTTCCACACTGTAGTTTTGAGGTTGTTTTATTCTCTCTTGTGGTCTATATTGTGCATAAGAAATAGACATAGCTGGCAGCTGTGGCCCTCCATCATGATGTGGGGATAAAATAAAACACTTCCTGTGATTCAGTGAGGCACCAATCATAGGCTCTGCCTCTTCCGTGATGGGAATAGTATGCCAGCGACTGGGTTTTCTCTCCAACAAGTGTTTTCAATTTCCTTCATGGGCACGAACTGCACCACCACCAACATACCATGATCCTGCATGTGGGCATGTGTGCACATATGTGTGATGGGATTCCTAGGCTATAATGTTATTTTCCCGAATGCTGCCAGACACATGTCTCTGGAAATCCAGTGCTCTATCTCTCTTATGCCTTCTTGTGCATACAAATGCAGACCAGGAGCCAGAGCCAGAAAATACATACATAAAACCAGAAACCTCTTATGCTGATGCCGCGGAAAAATAACAGATATGGACCTCATGGAGGAGCAGGCTCTCCATAAACCAGCCAGAACCCACCTACCCCAACCCCAGATGCAGACAGACTGGTGCAGGTGGCCCAGCTGGGGCTGTAGGAAGAGTGTGCAGAAGCTGCAGGAAGAGTGGGTCCTGCTCACTGCCTTCTCTTTTTTTTGTTGTTATCTTGCACTCCCCATGCCAGGGGACATGGGAGGTGGAGAATCCTCGTGAAGTGCGTGGGGACAGTTGACCATCTTCCACTCCTCCCAGTCTACCCCCAGAGCCTCTCTCTCTACAGGTTTGCCTGGCTCTTAATTTGAGGACCTGTCTCTGCAGAGGCCCCTTGGTGATAAACTCAGGGTCACGAGTCAGTTCTCATAGGGATGTTCACTCTCCAGACTCACACCCACTGGCTGCCCTTGCAGACCTGCTGGGTGCCACAGAACCAGGGCACACTGCAACCAGAGCTTCCAGAAACTGGGAATGCTGGAAGTATCCAGGCAAGAAGCCAATAGCTCCAGGGACCCTGTGGCTCTGGGATGCAGGTGGCCTCTGCTCACCAAGTTCATGCTGGTAGGTATGTGGATGCTGCACTCCGTCCTCTGAACAAGATGGCCACTTTCCTTACTGGCAGATAGTGAAAAAGAATCCTTTTAGCACTGTCTAAGCAAGAGGCTGGCCTGCCTACTTGCCAGAACTTTCCGTGAACTTGCCAGAACACTCCTGGCCTCAACCAAGCCTCCCGCCTCAGCCTCCCAAGTTGCACAATCTCATGGTGCAAAAGGTATCCCTCTGGCCTGCACCCTGCCAGGAGCTGACAGGCGTCCAGGGTAAGCCAAGATGGGTTTATCGTGAAGCTCCCAGAGTGAGAGGGTAGTCCCAGCATAATGGTGCCAGGTAGGAAGGTGCCCGAGGAGTTAGGGCTAATGAGAGCCATCATTTATCATGAGGTGCCCACATAGTGGGCAGGGCCACCTGCCCTTTTCCAGTTACTCCTACAACCTGGCAGGGCCTCACATTCCCACCAGGAGATGTTTGCTTCCTCCCAGGATCCAGACAAGGTTCTGGGTGAAGACAGACAGGAGTGGTGGAGACAATGACTAGGATCCCTGCTGGCACTGCAGGAGAGCCCTCAGCGGATTACAGGAGGGCCCATCTGCTGAGAATCTGCTCATGCCAGGCACCATGCTAGGAACATTCTCATTCTAACTTTATTCTCATCCTTCAGAGAAAGCCTCCAATTTAGACCCTGTGATTCCATTTTACAGAAGAGAAATCTGGGGTCCAGTACTTCAACAATGCCTGTGTGTCCCAGTGCCAGTAGGGAAAGCAGAATTTGGACCCAGAATTACAGACAGACCCTGAATCAGTGCTGTTTCTTGCATTCCAGTGCTCCCCAAATTTCAGCAACTCATGTGTCACCATGCACCCCATTTACTTGATATTTTTCTTCTGATCAACTTGAAATCACTCACTTTTAAACTTCAGCTTGTCTTAAGCCATGATATTCATAAAATAATGGATTTAATGTGCAAGTAACACTTTTTCCAGATCTCATTAAAAGTTTCCTGGCCACAGAGCCCCTCTTGAGGGAGGTGAGGGAGAACTGGAAGGAGGAAATATGTAGATGGAAAGGAGAGGAGTTAGCAGAAAGCACCAGTAAAATAGAAGTAGGCTGTATATGAGTGAGTGGACAGCTCATTTGTTTCCCAGGACTGCAGTAACAAATGCCCACCAACTGAGTGGCTAACAACAACAGCAATTTACTCTGTCTCAGCTATGGAGGCTCCAAGTGCAAGATCGAGGTGGGGGCAGGGTCATGGTCCCACTGAAACTTGCAGGGGCGGGTCCTTCCTTGCCTCCTCCTGAATCTGGTGGTTGCCTGCAATTCCTGGCACTCTTTGGAGGGGCTGAGTCACTCCAATCTCTGCCTCTGTCTCCATACCACATTCCCTCGTGTGTGTGTGTGTGTGTGTGTGTGTGTGTGTGTGTGTGTGTGAGAGAGAGAGAGAGAGAGAGAGAGAAGAGAGAGACCCTGGCTCTCTTTTTAAAACATTTATTTATTTATTTATTTATAGAGACGTGGTCTTGCTCTGTGGCCCAGGCTAGAGGGCAGCAGTGTGATCACGACTCACTGCAGCTCCAGCTGGGCTCCAGCAATCCTCCTGCCTCAGCCTCCCCAGTAGCTGGGATTATACGCATGTGCCACCAGCTAATTTTTTAATTTTTAAAATTGTTTTAGAGATGGAGTCTTGCTATGTTTCCCAGGCTGGTCTCACATTCTTGACCTCAAGCAAGCCTCCCACCTCAGCCTCCCAAGTTGCTGGGGTTGCAGGTATGAGCTACCTGGCCCTGCTGTTTTCTCCTTTCATAAGAACAACAGGCATTGATGTACTATGACCATCCAACATGAAGAGTATGACCTCATCTTAATGAGTTACACCCGCAAAGACCCTATTTCCAAGTAGGGTCACACTCTGAGGTCCTGGATGGATGTGGATACAGGGTCACTCTTCGACCCAGCACAGATGGAGCGAGTGTGGGTGTGAGCGTGTGACACACAGCAGCCCTGGGAAGGGACGTGTGATTGAGCTGTGCAGTTAGTGAGAGGCAGCCTGTGGGGGAGAAATACCCTGGTAAGGAGGCTCAGGCCTTCTCACTGCGGGCCTGCCTGTGCCTCTCTGGAACTTTCTACCTCTATCAAGGGAGAAGCTCAGACATCGCCAGAGTGAGAGATGAAATGTATCACAAATTAAAAAGAGAACTACCATATGATCCAGCAACCCCATTTCTGGGTATTTATCCAAAACAGTCAGCATCCTTATGCTCCTAGAAGCCTATTTACAATAGCCAAGAAGTGGAAGCAACCTAAATGTCCACCGACAGATGAATGGATAAAGAAAATGTGTTGTATTCACGCAATGGAATAATGGAATATTATTCAGCCTCAAAAAAAAGGAAGGAAACTCTGACACATGCTGCAACATTGATCAATCTGGAGAACATGATGCTAAGTGAAGAAGGCAGACACAAAATACTGTTTGATTCCACTAACATGCCGTATATAAAATAGTGAAACTCGCAGAAACAGACAGGAGCATGGTCCTGCCAGGGGCTGGGGGAGGGGACTGAAGAGCTGCTGCTCAAAGAGCCTCAAGTTTCAGTGCAGTGAGATGAATAAGCCCTGGGGACCGGCCATGAAGCATGGCACCTGCCTAGAGTTAACAAGACTGTATTGTGCCCCTAGAAACCAGCTAAGAGGGGAGATTGCATGGTAAGTGTTCTTAGCACAATAAAATCAAATTTTTTGAAAAAGAATTAAGCAGAAAGAAATAAACCTTTATTTGGAAAACAAAAACAAACTTATTATATCGCTGGCCTTGAAAGTGGGTAGGGGCCGAGGGGCTCCCTGGGGACTGGGAAGAGGCCCTGGCTGTTGCTGCTTTGGTCTTTTCCTGCCTCACTCTTGTGTCTTATTTCCCCACTAGCTCAGAGGTGGATGGGAGAAGTGCCATTGATTGGGGCCTCTCATACCTGGGCCGCCAGGGCCATCTCCACTTACAGAGAAGGAGGCTGATTCTAAGGCAGGAGCACATGGTGGAGAGCCCATGGTCAACTGGGGGAGGCTGTGCCCAGCACAGTGGCTCCAAGCACATAGCCCAGTCTAGAAACTTCCCTGAAGGAGGGGCTCTGTCCACGTCACCAAGTTTCCCCAGACTGCCTTGTGCTGGCATTCAAGAGCTTATGGGGGTGACCCCTCAGCCATGGGGTGGCTGATGGGCAGGGCCTGAGGTCCAAAGTCTCCCTTCCCACTTGCCCCCCTCATACACATGACCCCACTGGGGGTGAAGGCAAATCCTAGCATTTTCTGAGCTGGCCTTTGGGATGGGCTGTCATCACATATCTGGGATGCAGGCCCTTCCCATGAGCGCTAGTCACTGGGGCTCGGGTTCCTGCAGCTAGGTGTGCTGCTCCTGGAGTGAAGTGGCCACTGTAGGCCTCTGTGGGTGTCTGCCCCACTCATGATGTTCCCTTGTCTGGGAACTGCCTCTCCCATCCACAGAGGTGAGCCTCAAGGAGTCACCTGTGTTCTGTGGGACCTTGGATTAGTCAGGGTCCCCCAGAGAAACGGAGCCGAGAGAAGAGTAGGATGTGCATTAATTGGCTCATGTGATTACAGAGGCTGACAAGTTCTAAGGCCTGCAGCCAGCGAGCTGGAGACCCAGGAGAACTGACCAGTTCTTGACATCATTTCTCACACAGGCCTTTGTTGGAGTCCAAAGGCCTGAGCCCAGAAGGCCCAATGGTGTAGCTCCTGTTCCAAGGCCAGCAGGCTCCCAACCCAGGAAGAACCAGTGTCCCTGTTCAAAGGTACTCAGGCAGGGGGAGAGTTCCCTCTTGCCCTCAGAAGGTCAGCCTTTTTGTTCTACCCAAGACTCTACTGATTGGATGAGGCCCACCACAGTAGCAATCTGCTTGACCCAGTCTATTGATCTAAATGGTAAACTCATCCAGAAAACCCCTATTAATTAATTAATTAATTAATTAATTATTGAGATGGAGTCTTGCTCTGTCACCCAGGCTGGAGTGCAGTGGCACAATCTCGGCTCACTGCAATCTCTGCCTCCCGAGTTCAAGCAATTCTCCTGCCTCAGCCTCCCTAGTAGCTGGGATTACAGGCACCCGCCACCATATCCAGCTAATTTTTGTATTTTTAGTAGAGACAGGGTTTCATCATGTTGGCCAGGCTGGTCTCAAACTCTTGACCTTGTGGTCTGCCCATCTCGGCCTCCCAAAGTCCTGGGATGACAGGCGTGAGCCACCGTACCCAGCCTCCTATTTAGAATAATGTTTAACCAAATATCTGGGGACTTTGTGGCCCAGTTAAGTTGACACATAAAATTAATCACAGATCTCAAGCCAATCAGATTCTCTCTCCAGAGGAATTTTCTACTGGGACAGAGAGACCAGCTGGTCTCTGCCTTGGTAGGACCTGGGGACCTGATGGGCAGACAACTTTGCTCCTGGCCTCCTTCTCAGGCCCTTGAGAATTGTAGGACACCACCCCTCCCTGCCCCTGTATCTTGATCAGACGCATACCTTCCACCTTAGATGAGCTTGGGCTGAGTTTCTTGCCTGCATCCCCACCGGGACCCCTGTGAAGGCTGGCTCCCCTCAGTCAGGCTCTCCCTCCTCTGTGGGGTCTTCACCCATCCCTCGCATGTTTTCTTACGGCTGGGCTGGGTCATACTTAGAGAACTGACTAAATACAGAGTCTCACATCCTCAGTGATTATTACAATAATTCGAGTGAACACGGAAGACTAGATTTTTATTTGTGGGAGTGTGTGTGTGTATGTGTGTGTGTGTGTGTGTGTTTCTAACACCAGCCACTTGCTTCCAGAGACACATTTCCATCTGTGTGGTCACTAGCCTGCAAAGTTGTGGCACTTCTTGGTGCCTCCTTCAGGGCAAGTCTGAAATATTTTAATAGACGACTTAAACGTCCTTTAGGTAGAGGTTTCCAGAAAAGCCAGTGGAGTTGGATATATGGTTTTAATAACAATTCTAGTTACTGAGGCTTCTCCTCCCATCCTTGGCTTGGGTACATACAGTATAGTTAAAACTAAACTGTCGAAGGGGAATGATTTAAAGCAAAGTTCTGGCCGTGAGTGGGCCTTGGGAAACCTGCTTTGAGGTGCTTTGTTTTGTTTCTGGAAGAGAGCTGGGGAGGACAGCCAATGCTATGTCGGCGTGGCTGCATTTTTGCAGCATGGAAGTCGGCGGGATTATTTTATTATCACGCTGACTGGACTATCACCCTGGTCACAGGCTGCAGCAAGGAAGACTGAATGTTTGCAACTGTAGGTGATGAAGATGCCACAGAGATGGCCTAATTAATCTTCTCATCTGTTAGCTGGGGACACAGGGAGCCCGACTTGCTCCAAGTCTCCCAGCCAGGCTGTAGGAGAGCTGGATTGCACCAAATCAGACACAAATTCCAGATGGCTCAAGGACCTAAGTGGAAACGTGAAACTTTCCAGTCACGAGAGAACACCTTTATGACCTCATGGTGAGAAGGAGGGACTTCTTGGGGAAGACTCAAAAAGCACAAACCAAGCGACAAAAGGCTGACACACTTGACCACATTACAATTAAGAATTTCTCTCTATCTTAAAACAAGAAGAAAAGCCAGTGTGTAAAGTCTAGGTTTCCCCTGGAAGCATAGGATGGTATGCATGGGAAGAGTGGCAGTGTTGGCTCCCTCCCAGCACCAGCCCCTTGCAATAATATATGCCCCACAACAGTGCTGTGAAGCATGCGTCCCCAAGTCACATGGAGGAAGCTGAGCCTGGGGAGGCCAGTTGCTTGCCACAGTCACTGATCTGGTGAGTGACAGGGCACCACAAGCCACCACCCCCTGCAATCATCACCCATAGACTCACCAATGCCCCTCTCCTCCCCTCCCACCTTTGCAGGAACCAAGGTGTTCTTTAAAAAATGAAAATCAGACTGTGATATCCTCACCATCAGGTCCTTCTCCTCCTCACCTCTTACCACATTTCCCTTTCCCCAGCTCCTGCAGTGCGGGCCTCCCCAGGGCCTTTGCACAAGCTGCTCCCTCACCTGAGACCCTCTTCTCACTTCTCCACGTGGTCAATGTCACTCATCCTGAAATGCCACCACCTGGGAGAACCCTGCCCTGGCCTGGATGCCATTCCTCTTAGCACTGTACATAATTTGGCTTCTATGTATTTGTTTAACATCTGTCTGGAGTACACTGAATGCTCTTTTGTTCCTGACTGTACTCTTAGCTCCTAATGCAGTGGCGGGCACATAATACATGCTCAACCAAAATTTGTTGACTGAATGGTGAGTCCCTACTGAAATGTTTCGAGCACTGTCCCTAATGAGCCATGTGACCTTGACTATGAAAGCCCACAGTGCCTCCCAGCTCTGACCTACATTCACCCAGCTACTCAGAGACAATAACCCTACTGTGTGCCAGGCAACAGGGATGCAGTGCTCCAGGCAGCCCAGGGTCAGGCAGCATCTACCAAGAGTCTAAATTCACACAGTTCTCTTGGTCTCCAACTTGCCTGGAGATGGCTGGCCTCCCCAGATGTTGGCTTGCGTTTCCTGGGTGGCCCCCTGGCTATGGAGGTGATGCCGGGGGCGGGGGATGAGTTCCAGCCTCCAGGAAGGATGCACCTGAGCCAAAAGGCCATAGTAGTGCAGGAGCCAGGGCCAGCAGCCAGTCAGAGGAGGGCGGAGCCTTCGGGACAGCAGCACGTCTCTGATGCCAATGGGACAGCAGCAGCCCTGCCCGCCCTGAGCAGGCTCCCTTCAGGCTGTAACTCCTGTCTATTATTCAAAAAAGGGAACCTTTTTCCTCCTCTCAAGCTTTGTACAAAACCATGACGAAATAATTAAGTTGTTGACTCTTCTTTCTTCCTGGGGCAGAAAACACAGCCCCACAGAGGATCACATTTCACCTGTGTGCTGCCCATCTGTGCTCCAAGCTCAGAAGTCTACAGAAGGAGCCCTCCACCAGCCCTGCAGCAGGGTCCCCGTGCTTCCTCACCAGCGGGGCTCTCTCCACGGGCTTCTCTGCACAGCGCAGCATTTTTTTAAACCAAGGTTCTAAAATTTACCTTGCTTCTTTAGAGGCACCTAGGAAGCCTTCGTTGCTTCAGTGAGCTTCTCATGGTAAACAACCAGAAACAAATCGTAATCATACGGGGAAGGGTTGCGCTGGCAGGGTCGTGTGGAGGAAAGGGCCAGCTATGTGGATTCCATCTCCGCTGGGATAGGACTTCTGAGGACGGGGGAGTGCCCTGAGAGGCCACTGGGTGAGGGGCCAGTGGGGGTCTTGGGAATGAGGGAGACACTGGACAATTTTTGCGGCTTTCTGAGAGGTGAAGTTACTTGACAGGGGTAAGTGGGGAGAGAAAGGCAGAGGGGAGGAGAAAGGAGCCTGCACCTACTGAGTGCTCACAAAGTGCCCTGTGCTCTGCCCATGGGTTACCTCAATTTTCTCATTTAAGTCCCTTGCTGACCCTGAGAAACAGAGATTATCATCCTCATTTGATGCTTCAAGAAACTGAGGCTCAGACAGGCTGAGCAACTTCCCCAAGATCACACAGTGATTTGCACCCAGGCCCATCTAAAGCATTCATACCGCGCTGCCTTGCATGGAGGAAGGGAATAGCGTGGCCTGAGAAAGTCTGACCAATAGCCCCTATCCTCTCCCACCTGAGCTGGGATCCTCGTGACAGATCTGCAGACATGCAGTGGAGCTATTCCAGCCACAAGGCCCTCAAGCATTTGCCAAACCAAGCATTTGCTGCAACCAACAAATGAATCTGTGCACCCCTTCCAATAGCCCACACACAATGGTTTGGTTCAATGTGTCTATGTTTGAGACAAGCACTTCCAAAAGGAAAGCACGTGTCTGGCCAGTGGGACCCATAGCAGGTTCAGAGTCCGAAGGGCCATGAGGCATCCTTGGCACCGACTGCCCCGGCCAGCTGTGCAAGGTTGGAGGTGGTAGGTGGGGTGTGCATTCACCAAGGCTTTTCCTCGGCATTAATCTGCTTACAAGAAGACTGCGCAGACTCTTGTGAAAAGTTCACCAAGGTTACATGCAGGGGGAAAGGCAAGGCCAAGGTAGGAACGGGGACCTCCATGGAGCGGATGACCTGAGAAAGCTGCAGATGGAAGATGGTGGAAAGATGACGTGAAGGTTAGGGCACAAGAGTAACAAGTGTCCTGGGCTCAGGGGGAAGTTAATCCTAGTCAGAGAAAGCAGGGAGGGAAGAACCATCTATGCCACCCATGAGGGATGGAGTTGAGAAGGCCCCGGCTCTGTAACTCCAAAGCTCAGGCTCTTACTGGGCCATCACACAGCCCCCTGTGTGCTAAAGTGATAAGTGCCCTACATCAGAAAGCACTCATACCTCTCTAAACAGACTCAAGATGGAGCTGGATTCCAAACCCGGAAGCAAGGCTCTCTGCAACTCATTTTTTTTTTCACTTTCCATATTGTGCTGAACAAGTGGGGAGGGTTGAAGGCAGTGGGATGTTCAGAATGTTGGCAAGTGACAGTGACCAGAGGCAATGGAAAGCAGGACAGGATGTGACTTGAGCATGTTGTGGAGGGTAGGAGAGACAGTGCCGGGGCAGATTCAGGTCCTCCCCATGCTCCGCCGGGCTGGCTGGCCCTGGGGAAACGGCAAACGAGAGTTAGCCAAGGCAAAAGAGCTTCTTAAAAGTGATTTTGATTGTGAAGTATACCACTCATATTATAAAATGCATCACACATACAGAAGACTGTATAAAATGTACCTGAACGATTTAAAGAATAATCATAAGATGAACATTTGAGTATCCACACCCAATGCTAAACAAAACAAAACAAAACAACAAAACAAAAAAGCAGCATCTTACAAAACGGTCCTGTGTTTCTCTCACATGGTGTCTTCCTCCCTCCCTCACCAGGGCTAGCAAACCTCCTGATTTTTATGTCGGTCATCCACTTGTTTTTCTTTATAATTTACCATTTATGTGTGATCTCTAAACAATGGATTCTTCAGTTTAAAAAAAAATTAGTAGCAAGCACAAAGCCAGCTGTGCAAAGAAAGGGCAATGTAGCCCCAATAAACAGAGGCCCCAAGAGCACGTAACATGCCGCAGAACATCAGAGGCTGGCCTCCGCTGCCCCGATGATGACCTAATTACTTGGTATTCCAGGAACTGGGCCAAGGGACAGCCCGGTCTGCCAGAACATCAACTCCAGCAGGGAGAATGGGGGCCATGAGGCCCAAGGGGGCAGAGCAAGGCAGCTCATGTCCTGAGAAGCCTGCCACCTCATTCCCACACTGGCCTTGTCTCCATCCTCCCCATCTCCTGGGACCAGGGGTATTAGGAGAGGGGTGATCCCGCACAGAGACCCCCCACCGCTTTTGGGGGTGGAAGACTGAGATGCACTGAAGGCATCGACTGCTGTGGGCAGGGCTGGAAGGTCCCTGACCGGGGGATTAATGGAGGCATCATGAGAGTGGACTAGGGCCGCTCTGTGTTGCTCCCTCGGGGAGGGAGGGCAATGATGCAAGATCAAGCAGTCGGGGGAAGATCCTCAGGGACCGGGCGGGAGCTGAAGACTTCCAAGAACAAAGACTCCGGACTCTAATGCTCAGTATGAAGTCCTGTGACTAATTCCCCCCATACTTATTCATTCAATAGCAGGCACCCCCTCACCCACCATTCATTAAAGTCTGTTCCATGCAAAAATGTCTTCTGAGACTGAGTTGTGAGGTATCAGTGAGGGGCTAGAGTTCATCTCTAGGTTTGATGTCACCCAAGATAGAGAACCCAGCTAATGCAGAGGACCATGTATCCGTGGAACTAATCCAGTGAGAGCAGAAGCTTGGAACTGGGCTGTAGAGAGCTATGGAACCCCACAGCAATTTGAGGTGATCTTAACCAGATGTGTAAGAGACTATTTAACCCATGCACTAGCATCTGTGCTCCTCTGATGTGCTCCCATCTCTCTCCTACCCGTCTCTCTAGACTAGAGGCCTTCCCGTGTGATTGCTGGCAACTCCAGTGCAGGCACTGGCTGGCATTTCTTTGTCCCTCCAGCACCACCTCCTGCCTAGTGCAATTTATGGTCATGATGGTTCAGAAAGAACTTTTTGAAGGGATAGCCCATGCCAGATTTTATCATGACGCAACTTTGCTTCAACTGGATGTTAGTGTAGAATCAATCTCCTTAGTTATTTAGAGGAAGCAGGATGTTCAAGAAGGTAGACAGCAAATAGTGGACACATTTATTTTAGGGAAAAGAATCATTAGAGTGTGTATTCTTCCAGTCGTGCAGTCATTAATTTAACTATCATAATGCAAATATTTAAAAAGGAAGAAAATTAACATTTAGTGAGTGCCTACTGCATGTTTCATATCTTTGATTCTTCCTGGGTTTACAAAAAGTATCTCTGAAGTCTTGTAGTGTGTCCACTGAGTTTCTCTAGTTTCACTAAACCTCCGGACAGAAGAGCTCCAGGCAGCACAGCAGTCACCTTCTGCTCCCTGTCCTGGCCGCTCCTGTCGGGAGAGAAGGCTGGGGCGCTGTGGGGCACTGACTACAGGTCTGTGCCGGAGTTCCCCGATGATGCTGGCTGTAAGTAATGAGCGTGGTCTGCTGGGCCTTCCATGCAAAGTTGGCTCAGAACCAGCACCCTCTCCCTGCCCTCACCGGTGTGGCTCCTATGGGGAAACAGAGTCAGAGCTGAATGGAGGAAAAGCTCTCAGTGAGGGCAGAAAATGAAGTTCACCTGGCCAGCCCAGACACCCAACAAACAAACCAAAAACAAAATATAAACAAATAAACAATAAATAAATGCCAAGCACCATGTGAAACATTTGCATCTGCTGCTTCACAAACCTACGAGTGCCAAGTGTGGTATATGAAGATGAGCAATTCTCACATCTCTCTTTAGACAACAGAATTTACCAAACTGCAAGAAAAACTGACCTCCAGATGTTACCGCCACCTGATGCATATTGAATGAGCTCAAAACAAGCTTCTGAATTTGGAATCATCCTTCTCAAATTGATGGAGAAAGTGACAAAAGTGGAGGCATTTCTGTGGGTGTGGAGGGTGCCGAGAGCCAGATGTGGCTTCTTGCAGGGACACAGACCTGCCTCCAAGACAAAGTATTCATTTGGTGGCCCCGGGGGCCCCTTCTCAGGAATAGTTAATAATATTAACAACTCCAACACTTCGTGAAATTATTTAGGTAATTAGCAAATAAAGATTACACCTCTAATTTCTTCTTTAAATTCTGATTTGGGGCCCTAGACTCAAAAAAAAATTGAGGCATTCGTAAGTCGAAGTTTTACCACTACGAGAGTTAGCATTTCCTAGTGTGGAGAAAAAAAATCAGATAAAGAAATTGCACTGGAAAGTGAAATTGGATTTTTTAAAAAATCAATGAAGTAACCAGGCTATTAAAATGGAAAATAAGTCTGATGTCATTCTGAAAAATAAGGGAGTGAGTCACCTGCAGAGCCACTTAATTAAGCACAGGAAGTAACAGGAGAGCTTGAGTAATTTTCCCCGTTAATGTCAGTATTTCAAAATGAGTGAGGCGTTAGGCCACTCTCTTTTAATCTGAGAGCTAAATCAGCTCTTTTGCCCTCAGGACATCTTGAGACATTTGAAGTTGATGAAGAGCAAAAAGGAATGTATTAAAAATTATCCCAACTGCACTCAAACAAGGAGAAAACTAAGCTTTCTACTTTAGGTCCCTGGGGCATGGAGTGATGGAGGCCGGGGAGCAGGCGCTGGGAGCAGGCACTGGGAGCCTGGGGCTGGAACGCTCTCTGTACGGAGTGGGGGAGGCAGCCCAAGGCGGCACCGTCACAGTGGTCATAGGGAATGTCAGCAGAGGTCTTCCCTGGCTCCTGGGGATTGCAGTAATTTTCATTTCTGGCCTGTAGCAGCTGAGAGGGGTGGCTTCTGTGTTTGGGTTTTCACAGAAGTGATGTGGGACATTTGAGCACCTTGAAAGAAAGTGTCCGTTCTCCTTCCTGTCAATGCGGGGTCATGCGGGGCCTGGCTGGCCTCCCCTCCTGCCTCTACCAGCCAGAGCGCCCTGGCTTCATCTGCCCCAGCCAGGACACTAGGTCTGGGGCGCTCTCCCAAACAGCAGTATAGAAATGCCCCAGGCCTGCCCCAGACCCACCCTAGGGAAGCGTGGGGACCGTCCCAAGGTGTGCTTGGGGGCTCTGAGTCTCAGTCCTCTCCACCAAAGTGAAGGAGGCTCCTGAGGTTCCTGCTGGATCCCAAACTAGAGCAGGCTCTGACAAGGAGGACCGGGGCTGTCCCCTGAGGCCTCGTGTTTAGAGCATTCCATTGTCCTCCATCCATCAGGGCCATCATCATCAAAGGCCTGTTCCTCTCCACTGCTGGGATTAGCATAGTTTGCACCTATGTCTTTTGGTGTTGGTTGGTTGTTTTGTGTCTACTATTATTATTTAACTTTGCTGAAATTCGGGAACTTTAATCCCTACATCTGGCCTGGTTTCCATAAGGGCTTGTTTGGAGAACCGAGCCCACGGGGGCGTGAGTGCCTGCGAAACACAGAAAGAAGCCGAGACCCAGGACTGAAGACTCGAGACTGCTTTGGGCGTGTGGAGTTTGCATCCCTGATGAGTAAGTCAGTCTGTTCTGAATGATCCAAGCTTAATTCGTGGTTAAAAACAAAAACTGGCCACAACCAGGCAGCTCTAGGTTTTAGACAGCACCCTAAACCCCAAGGACCACCAGACACTTTCCCAATATTAACCACCAAGAGTGAAAAATGCATAATGCTCAGTTTGCAAAGTTAACTTCATCAGAAATGCTTCTCCCTCCCAGGTAGTTCTTTATTACTTCATCTTGAAATTGGCAATGTAGCGCTGGGTTTTTACTCTAACTTTTAAAATGTTTCTCGTTCTCCCCCATCCCACCCCAAATAGAATCGCTTGATAAAAACAAAAGCAAATTAATATTTGGTGTTCACGTTTTTAACCAATCAGCCAACTGAGAACCAGGTGGGCTAATCCTAATCCCTTTTTGAGGATTGTCCTGAAGGCCAGAGGCCAGGTGTGGCCTCCAGCCTCAGGCACCCACAGACTTTCAAGAGGCCTCTTCCTGAGGTCCTCTCTCCCTACTTTAACAAATTCTCCTCCCACATGAGATGACACATCTGACAGTCACCCAGCTGCTTGATGTATGCAGGTCAAGCTGTGAACTGGCTTTGAGTTCCAATCACCATTAGAAGGTAAATTCACTGACTTGAAAGCTTACTGATGTCATGGAGTCATAATCAAAGATCTCTTTGAAGTGGAAGTTGGTCAGTCATTGCAGGAGGAGGTAAGAAGGGGTGAGATAAAAACTCAGGCAGCTGAAACCATTACCCCCTGGGGAAGCAAACCCCAGCCCTCAATTCTGAATCCCCAGTAAGGCCTCTCCCCAGTGCAAGCAAGCCCACCTTTCCTTAGCCATCCCCATTCATAGCCTCATCTGCTTCTGCCTCACCAAGGGTGACTGCTGTTCAAATCCTGGCTCAGCTGCTCACCGGCCTTATGCCCCTGCCCTGGGGAAGGCCAATGCTTGGCTGCTTGCTCACCTACTAAACAAGAACCCTCTGAGTGCTGGTGCATTTCCCTCGGTGAAGGGTTTGGCTTGGAGTCAGGGTCTTCTCTCCCTCTTCTGATTGCGAGCCTGGCCGGACCCTTGCCTGGGTAAATACACATGCTCTACCCTCACCTGCCCCCGACATCCCACCCACCTGCCCTTCTCTGCCCCCTGGGCCTGCCCCATCCCTTGGCTTCCTGCCCTGCCTTTGACCTGGCACCAGCACAATGTGCGGGTTGCTGAGACCAGGAACAGGTTCATGCCAGGAGAGTCGTTTCCTGACCCAACGATCAGCTGCATGAGAAGGGGTGACATCATCGAACTTCCACGGTCACTCTGCCCCAGAGCCCCTGCATGCATCTGCCCTGGGGAAGCACGGCCCCCAACAACTGATATACCACGCCCCAGCAGTCTCCCGGCCTCAGGAGGACCTGCGGTCAAAGCCGCCAAAACTGTGAGAGTAGCACAGCAGAGCTGCCTCGATTTGTGGGAATGCAAAGGGAGCCTGGGCTGCTCTGCCAAAGCCAAAACCGCACTGATTTTCTACCAGGCACCAGCTACTCCGAATGCACAAACACACCCTCCACTTCCCGGAGAGGAGACATCTATGAAGCCTGTGTGGGCCCTGCCCGCTGATGCCCAGGGCAGTGGGATTTGGTTTTTTGTCCAGGAAAGGCATGGATATAAATCATGGCTGATGGGGTCGGTGGCTGTGTGTTGGTTTTTGGGCTGCCCCACATCCACCCCTGCCTATTGGCCCCAGTTTCCTTTTGGGGATGAGTTTTCCCCCACTGTGTTTGGTGTGGGTGGGAGAATAATCTTAGGTGCCTGGCCTCCACCGTGGAAGTCTAGGAAGTGAAATCCTGTCTCTCCCTGCCTGTGGTCACACAGGGTAGGGTAGGTGACCTAACCCTAGCTCACAGGCCCTCACCGAAGAGGTGGCATCTGCAATGAGTGAGACAGGGACAGAGGATCAGCAGGTCCAGCTGGGACCCTGGACTGATGGCCTCTGCCATAAGACAGGGTTGTGCTTCCTGCCTTCCCAGGACAAATTCCCTGAGCCCCTCATTACCTTCCAGTTTGCTCCGTTGAGCGGGCTGGAGCCTCTTTCTCATGATGATAGAATCCTAACTGATACTGCAAGGGGATACTGTCTAGCCTTCAGTAAGCCACTGTAAGCCCCCCAGGGTCCCTGACAGTGGCCTGGGTATAGTGTCATGGGGACAACAAAGAGAAGCACAGGCCTTCAAGCAGGTGAAATCGTGTGTTTTTTTTTTTCTTTTCGTTTTCTCTTTCTTTTTTTAAAAAAGAGATGGGGTCTTGCTTTGTTGCCCCGGCTGGAGTGTAGTGGTAGGATCATAGCTCACTGCAGCCTCCATCTCCTGGGCTCAAGAGATCCTCCTGCCTAGCCTCTGGAATATCTGGGACTACAGGTGTGTGTCACCACACTGATCTTTTGTTTGTTTGTTTGTTTGTTTCATTTTTTGTAGAGATGGAGTCTGCCATGTTGCCCAGGCTAGTCTCAAACTCCTGGTCTGAAGCCATCCTACCGCCTGGCCTCCGAAAGTGCTGGGATTACAGGTGTGAGTGCCGTTCCTGGCTGGTGTGTTTCTTCTGGAGAGGAGTCATTTGCTAATATCTGTATCTGCTGCCTCTCTCTTTTGGCAGAGCCTCTGTCTGTGTATGCATGACAGAGTTTTTCCTCTCTTACCAGTAAATTAGCAGAATATAGTTTCCTTTGCTGTTGTCATTCCTCTAAATGGGTGAGTATTTTATGTCTGAGGGACCTTCCCCGCCTGGGAGACAACTGATTCTCCAAAGCACACTAGTGGCCAGCAGCTCTGAGTGTGCCACAAATGCACGTGCCTGTTCCATTTGTACAAGGAGGATTTGCAATCACTGCATCTGCTGGCCTGCCCAGGACAGAGCCCTGTGGAACCTGGGTGCTCACCCTCACCCTGCTCACAGGGATCCCCCGGATGCCCTGGTGGCTCAGGCAAGAGCCCTCTAGTCCAGAATCCTGTCATTCATCCTGGTGAGGAATGAAGCTCTGGGGCAGTCGGGGCCTATAAAGGCAGTGGCTCCTCCTCCCACCATGTTCTTAGTGACCTACAATGAGAGGAAAATCCATAAATGCCCCTAACCCAGTTATTTTAAGTATACAATGCAGTGGCATTAAGTACATTCACAATGTTGTACAACCAGCACCACTATTTCCAAAACGTTTTTCATCACCTCAAACTGAAACTCCGTACCTGTTAACCAATAACTCCCCATTCTCCCCTCTCCCCAGCCCCTGGCAACCTCGATTCTAGTTTCTGTCTCAATCAGTTTGACTAATCTAGGTACCTTATATACGTGTTTTTATACAATATTCGTCCTTTTGTACCTGGCTTATTTCACTTAGCATGTTTTCAAGGTTCATCCACGTTGTAGCATATATAAGAACTTGATTCCTTTTTATGGCTGAATAGTATTCCATTGTGTGTACATACCACATTTTGTTTATCTGCCAACAGAAACTTGGGTTGTTTACACTTTTTTTAAGCTATTGTGAATAATGCTGCAATAAATATTGGTATACTAGTCTCTATTGGAGTCCTTGCTTTCAATTCTTTGGGGTACAAACATAAAAATGGAATTGCTGGGTCATATGCTAATTCTCTATTCAACTTTTTAAGGAAACATTAAACTGTTTTCCAAAACAGCTGTATCATTTTCCATTCTCAACGGCAATGTCTGAAGTTTCCAACTTTTCCACATCCTCATCCACACTGATTACCTTCTTTTTTGTTTGTTTGTTTGTATTGTCGCCATCCTAATGGGAGTCAAGTAGAGTCTCATTGTGGTTTTGATTTGCCTGTCCCTAATGACCAATGATGCTGAGCATCTTTTCATGTGTTTATTAGCCAGCTGTTTATCTCTAACTGCTCCTGATACTCCTGCGTGTGTATTCAAAGATAAGCTGTGCCTGAATGTCCTTTCTCACACTCAACTTCTAATTGCAACAAAGCTCAAACTCCTGCTGCTCGCAGCCCTGCTTTGAGATGCACCTGGGATGACTTAACCCTTTGGCTGCTTTCAAAGTGGGTGAAAGGTATCCTAGTAGAGCAGGGTTATGGAAAGTCCTGAGAACAGGCACTAACATTCAGTTAGTTTCTTGGCAGAGACTTCCTTTTTTGCACTATCACAAATAACGAGGGTGCTTGTGGCAGAAGGAACTTCAGACTCATGCCTGGTGCCACGCAGCACCTGCATGGAGAAGGGTCTCCTGTGGGCAGAGGAAAGCCCCAGACAGGGCACAGGTGCTGGCCAGTGGCTCAAGAGGGTGCAGCTGCCTCGGCCTTTTCCAGACCAGCCTTGACCCCTGCCCGCCCAGAGAAACAACTGTTCCCATTTTGACCAACTTGCTTGGAGACACCTGACCAGCAGCCTACCACCAAAATCACACAATAACCATGGCATCGTGTTTCTCGCGGACAGATGCTGAGACGCAGCCAGCCACCCTTTGGTTTTTAGTGCTCTTCCCTGATAGCATCTGTTGGCCTGCTGAGTCACACTGCAGGTGAAGTGCACTCATCCCTCTGTGTGAGCTCTGGCCATTTGCTGCCTGTGGTTCCCCCATGAGTCAGTGGCATTGGGCCTTACTCTGAGGAGATGTAATGGAGGGACATGGAGGTCACAGGGCATGTGCTGAGAGGAGAGTTTGCAATTCTTGAAGAGTTTATTTTGAATAAGCTGAGTCATGATTACTTCAAGGACTAGGCTCAGCTGTAGACACCAACTGCAAAGCCAAAGCCTGGGGCATTTTGTCTGGTGAAACTCTGAAAGTTTCCATAAGATATTATTTTGAGTAGAACTAGATAACTTTTTTCCTGATGAAACATGCAATTTTCTATAAAACCTTTAAAAATCAAAACGTAAAAGAATTAATGCCTTACTCATTCCAAAGTAACAAAGAGTGTCTCATATATTTAAACATTCAAATCAACTTCCAAATTCAGTCTGCTATAAATTCAGTACAGAAATGGGGAGGATGTAGAAGAATGAGGAAGACCCAGGGAGAGGGAATTCACAATTCACTCAAAATGCAATCAAGGTGGCTATTCTTTTAAACATTTACAACAGCTTTGACACTTCTTCTTTGGTTTTTGGATAGAGCGTCTTCTTGAAATCTCTGAGTCAAAGTTGATATCTTTTAAGACGCTCTTCTGTTCCCCAAAGTGTCTTTGCTTTTTCAGGGATAGGCTGGTGGTTCCTCTTGGGTGTCCTCAGCCATGCCAAGTCCTCCTGGGACCCGGGAGGCTGGGTTGTCCTGTCCTGGTGGGAGTGAAGGACCGTGGTTGGGTGAAGTCTTGGTGGAGGCAGCTGCCTAGCTCTCCTGTGCTCTCCTCTGGTGGAGTGGGGAGACTTGCTGCTCTGTAGATATGAGCTCGGGGAGGAATGAGGGCTGAGCTCCCTCCACAGCCACCCAGTGTCTCAGCAGGAGGGCCCCACTTGGAGATGCCAAGACCCTCCCAGTGGGTTCTCTCCTAGCACAGCAAGGGAGAGCTGCACCAGCAGGTGGAGAAGTTGGGGAACAGATAAGCAGCAGCCTCTCAGCCAGGTGGACACCTCAGCGTGGGAGCCTCAAGCAGCCTTGAGGGCAGTGGCGGAGAGGAAGGACCTCCTCCCCTCACTGTCCACAGCATGGCCCTCCACCCTCTGTCTCCCTTGGTCTGTTGATATCTCTCTTTTCTCCTCCCTGCAAGCTCTTATGACTATGTTACATGTGTGGTTGGTTTGTTGGAAGGACAAGAGAAGGAGCAGGAGTTAGAATCATCTGTGGCACCCACCAGTCTCACCTCCACCCAGGTCTATCTTCCCAGCAAAACACTACATGGTCCCCTGTATGGAAAACTTCCCCAATACTCTCTCACCTCCCTGCACTCTGCCAATCTGTCATCTTAACTTTGAACAGCCCTAGACGGCCATCGTCATGAAACTCAGCTCCCAAGCCTTGCCACTTGAACAGCTTTCCACATCTCCCCACAGAGTCCTCTAAGATAAAAACCAATAGCCCTGGGAGGTATCATTTTTTATTTTACAGGGCCCCATGCAATGGCATGAAGCCAGACAGCAGAATAAAAGCGGAATTCCTCCTCACAGCCTTGGCCTTGCCTCCTTTACCTTCTGCCTTGCCCTCTGTCCTCCCAGCTTTCCATGTCTTTCTTCCTCCATTTCCCTTTCCTCCTTTCCTTCCTTCCTACCTGTCCATTCTCCCTTCCCATTTTTTTTCTTTCCTCCATGCACCAGTTTTCCAGCCTTGTTCCACCCTAGGACCCTGGGCCTGAAGAGGCTGGAGCTGCAGTCCTGACGCTTCTTCCTCCCAGAGCCCCAGGGATGTGTTCCTACCTTTGGTGGACCCCTCACCACCTATGCCAAGCATTAAAATCTCCCTCCTTCAGCCAGTCTAGGCCGGAGAGCGCGCCTGAATCTTCCTGCCTCCCCTCTTCACGTGTGTCCCTAAGGATAGGCTTGTGCCCTGTCTATGAGGCGGACATAGTTGACAATGAACTGACAGTGGTAGTCCCCAGCCTCCACTTGTAATACCTGGGGACATCTCCCCAACTCCCCCCATCATTCTCCCGTCATATCCCCCCAGAGGATGCGCAACATCCTCTGGCCAAGGATACAGCTCATTCTACCTGGAGCCCCTTGGACCAGCACAGCTGCCTGGGCCCCTCCCCTGCATCACTGGAATGCCCGAGGCCGCCAGACGAGGTGGCCTCCTTCCTAACGCAAGGATGTTCCCCTGGGGTGTTCTGTCACATAAATTCTTCCAAGAATTTATTTCCAGAAAAAATTAAATTCCCCAAAGAATTGGTATATTTTCTTTTATTAGACAATAAGAGCTGCACACCACAGCGCTTGCCTTTTCTTTTTGCTTTTCTTTCCAGGGCTGTGTTAGTGCTGATTATGGATGTATTCATCAGCTCTCTTTTCTGTTCTTTCTCTTTCTGCTGCCATTTGTCCAGTTTATTCTTGGGTGTGTGTGCATGTGTACTTATGGAGAGCTCAGTTCAAGTAACTTTGTGGGAAGGCTGGCCGGGCCGGCTTCTGTGGTCTTGATGCACCGCCCTTGTCCTTCCTCCCACCTCTCCTGGCATTCACACCTGCTTCAGAGTCCCCTCCACACATTCAATTTGGGGTCCTCTACCCCTACTTCGGCCCATGTGATCACCAAGTGGTCCAGAGCAGTCCTTGGACCTGTCCACCCCATGAAATGGGAGCTTTCCAAAAAGAAAGAAATCACCTTACATGGTAGATCAGGCCTGAATGCCTGCAGAGCCTCCTGGCTAAAGGACCAAGTTTCTACCTCCTTCCCATCAGCTCCCATCTCTCAAGGGACTGAGTTTCTACTCTCCTTTCCCTCAGTCCCCATCTTTCCCCACTCTGTCACAAAGGAGGGAAGAGAAGAAGATGGAATTTTGGTTTCACAGGTGAAGGAAGGGGATCTTGGTAATGAGGGAGGTTGGAAATTGTCAAATCAGCATCCATGAGCACAGCCACCCCAGAGGAAGTTCTTGGTCTATCCTTGCACAGGTCTTCAGCCCAGTGGGTGGAGGTGTAGTTTGCAATGAATGATGACAGATTCCCCTTGCCAGACCCTGGAACCAAAGGTTTGGAGGGCCTTCTCAACAGGCCCTCCATAAACAAGACAGAAACTTGCAGTTAGCGGGGAATTATTTCTTTGAGTGGCAGCTCAGCTTTTTGCAAAGTCCCACCACAGATCAAAGGGCTCTTTTTGCCTGGGGGAGAAAAGCTGCTTTCTATAAGCTTTTAATATTCAGCAGGGCTTCATAGAGTTACAATCGAAGCTTCATCTTAAATGACAACTTGTGTCTGGACATCAAAATTACCCCATCTTGGCCGGGCGACGTGGCTCACGCCTGTAATCCCAGCACTTTGGGAGGCCGAGGCAGGTGGATCACCTGAGGTCAGGAGTTCAGGACCAGCCTGGCCAACACAGTGAAACCCCATCTCTACTAAAAATGCAAAAAATAGCCAGGTGTGGTGGCACGCCCCTGTAATCCTGGCTACTTCGGAGGCTGAGGTGGGAGAATTGCTTGAACCCGGGAGGCGGAAGTTGCAGTGAACTGAGATCGCACCACTGCACTCTAGCCTGGGTGACAGAGCAAGACCCCTTCTCAAAAAAAAAAAAAAAATTCACCCCATCTTTTCTTATCTGTGCGCATACTTTAAGGAAAATAGAGATGTATAAGTCATTTTGAAGTAAGCTTAAGTATGGTGTTGGAGTCACTAACAGAGCCAGAAAAGTGTTTCAAATAAAGTACAAAGTTTATGATGTGAGCCTGTGACCTCCACTACCTTACTCAAATACAAGAGTGGACAGATATCAAGCACGGGTCCTCCAGACCTCAAGCTGTTCTCATTGGTTTGTTGGGTAAGAGGGTCAGTTGGGTGAAGAGTCATCCTTGAATTCTAGACTTGGCACCGACTCCACTCATGGGATTAAAGCCTGCATTGTCTATAGCCCTGAGCGCCTGCCATGCACCTGCCAACTAGCCCACTGTTGGCTACGTGGAAGGACAAGGATTGGTGTCTGGTCACCAACTGGGCCAGCATTTGTAATGGCCTTATAAACATGGGTGTGAGGTTTGTGCACACCCCCTGAGTACTGGCTACCTTTGCCAGGCTCCAGTGGTGTACCCCCTCAGTGACAGGAGAGGTTTAAAAGGTGGGGAGGGCAGTCCAATCAAGTGTGGGTCCCTGTATGACATCACCCAACCCAAGAGAGGACTTGAAGCACAAGAGGTGTGGTGAGAATTGGCTCATGCTCCTTCCTTTGTTGATCTGCCTTTCCAGGGACACTTCCACCCCAAATCAAGAACAGAGTTTAGGATGAGGCTCACCTCTTTTGGCACAGCCTCTGCCCTGACACCCTTACCCTTTGGCCCCTGCTCTGAGGTTCTTTCAGATCTTTGCAGAGACCAGGCTCTCTCTTGCTCCAGCCCTTCGCTCAAACTGGGACTCAATGCCCTCTACCCTGGCCTGTCTGCTCCTTTCATCCTTCCAATCCCAGCCTGGGAGGCTTCTGTCATCCCTTCAAGAGTGGGTTAGGGCCTCCAAGCCTCCCCTACCATCCATGCCATCCCTGCATTGGGTACTGGTCTTGTGGGTCTTCCCCTAGGCAGGAACCAAGTCAGCCTGAACCACTGATACATCCTGAGTGCCCCTCACTGAACTGGGCAAATAGCAGACTCTTAAAAATGCTCAAAGCATGAAAAACCCCCTGGACTCGCTGAATGTGAGCGTCCAACTGAATAGAATCAGTAGGAGCTCACTTCGGAGCAGCTAGCAGGAAGAGAGCCACACCCGATGCATTGTGGTTCCTTCAAACCCAGCAAGCTGGTCAGTGCTAACCCTTGGGACACTTTTGGGAGCTGCGGAGAGATCTGATTCTGTGGAGCAGTTGAGGTTTCAGGTAAACTATAACCACATGAATAGAATGTGATGGGCTTGTTCATTTTTCAGGGTTAGAGTTGCCTAGGCCAGAATATCCAGGAGCCTCCTGTCTCTGCACTGTGCACAATGCAAGAACATCCGGGCAGCCCTACTCTGGAATCTCCACAAGGGCAGAGACCCATAGGATTTATTCCCACTGGTTCCCAGCCCCCAGTACAGTGCCTGACCTACAGGAGTTGCTCAGCAATTGTTGGTTGAATGATTGAAGGGAGAAAAAAATGAGTGATAGGGTTTGGATTTGCGTCCCCACCAAATCTCTTGTCAAACCGTAGTCCCTAGTGTTGGAGGTGGGGCCTGGTGGGAGGTGGTTGGATCATGGGGGTGGATTTCTCATGAATAGTTTAGCACTACCCTCTTGGTGTTGTTCTCATGGTACTGAGTTCTCTCAAGATCTGGTCTTTAAAAGTGTGAAGCATCTCCCCTCTCACTCTCTCTTGCTCCTGCTCCTGCTATGTAAGACACCTGTTCCCCCTTGCTTTCTGCCATGATTGGAAGCTTTCTGAGGCCTCCCCAGAAGCAGAATCCACTACGCTTGCTCTACAGCCTGCAGAACCGTGAGCCAAGTAAACCTCTTTTCTTTGTAAATGACCCAGTCTCAGGTATTTCTTTATAGCAGTGCAAGAATGGACTAATACAATGAGTTTATGGACAGAAAAATTCTTTCTTAGAGAAACAGATAATGTAGCTCCAGCTGAGTCTGGAGACTTTCCCAGTTAAATTGGAAAACCCTGTCTTTAATATATTTACAGGTGATGTTCCACTTTCAGGACTTACTCTCCCACATGAGCACATGGAAATCCTGAAGACGATCTTCACTTAAATGCTCATGATGATGAGAAAGGGACCATAAGATAGATACCACCCAGCAATGAGAACGAGTTACGTCCACAGGTAGCAACAGGATAGAGCTCAATAACATGGAGAGAAGAAAGCAAATTGCAGAACAACTCCTTTTACATCAGCATATAAAACCCAACACATGATACCCTATATTGCTTTTAGATAAATGTATAGAATTCTAAACACCTGGACAGGAAATTCTATACCCAACTCAGGGTGGTGAGATGAGGCTGAGGACCCACGATGGGTGGGGATGAGAGAGGACTGTGGGAATCAAGCTGCAGTCAAAACAAGATCTGAAGCCAATAGAGTAAAATGTTCTCTACTGAATGTTAAAGGTTGTCCCTATTAAGTGCATTTGTTATATTACTCTCTAGAGTTTTTTGCATATTTGAAAGTTCTATAATATTTTCAAAGAAATAATTTTCTCAGATTATCGTAATAATTTAGAAACCAGCGGTTACTTTACTTAGCATTTGCTATAGAACCTACCAGAGTTATTTTATTTAAATAGTATAAAAATTGACCTTGCGAACAAGAATTCTTCTTTGAATTGAATTCTCCCAGTTTCCTAATTATTCAATTCAGCCTCTTTTGCACCAGTCTGCCCATTAACCAATGCAAATCCTTAAGGGACCATCTCAGGCTCCCCTGCCGTGAATACCCCATTGCTCCCTCCCTTTTCCTCAGCTCACCTTATCCTCCTGCTCAGCCTTCCTCAGATATCTGGGGGCCGCCATGCCCCTCTCCAAAGAGGTCAAGCGAGTTTTCAATGATAGCAAGCAAAACGTCTACGCACTAGAAGCAGTGGTGCTCAAACTTCCACATGCATCAGAGTCTTCTGGGGCTTGTGAAAACAGATTTCTGGACCCCACCCCCAGTGTTTCTGATTCAGTTGGTCTGGGATGGAGCCTGAGAATTTGTGTTTCTAATAAGTCTCAGGTGATGCTGATACTACCAGTCCAGGGGACACACTGATAAACGGTGGGTTGGAGAAGGTTGGAATGTCATGCCTCTGCATATTGTGTGCTGCATGTGCTGTGAAAGAATGGCACGCTTCTGTGAGCCTGGTCTGTCCTTCCTGGTGCCCTCTGCCCTGACATTTCATCATCACGACAATATCTGGCATTGATCTTTGTTTTAGTCCCTCTCCGCAGAGAACAGATTTAATCACATATATTTCCATTTGGTCTGGACCAAGTCAACTTTTGGCCAGAAGAGAACATCCAAAATTAAATAAACATTATTGTGTGAAGAATGAAGAGGGAGATGAAGAGAAAGTCAAAGGGCCCAAGAAATTAGAAATGAAAGCAGGAAGAAAGATGCAAGGCAAGAGGGAACATGGAGAAATAAGAAAGTTGATACTTTCCATTCCCACTGACGCAAGAGGCCCCCAGGACCAGCAGACAAAGAACAGAGGGACTGTCTGTCATTCCTGTGTGGAATAATCGTCTCTAGCCAGAAAACAAACAAACAAAATCAGTGTCTGAGAAGGATAATTGACAGGCAGGAGTTCTCCATCCTGGAAACTCTTTAACACAGAGTTTTGTTGTCATCATCTCTTGTGGGGGCTTTGGATGTCTTCAAGTCCTGTCCACACAACTCTGGAGGCACACGGTCCCTATGGGAGGGGACTTCCCTGGCAGAGTCTGTGTCCAGACACATGTGGGAGCTGGTACAGAAGGGAAATAGACAGCTTCCCATTTTTAGGGGCTTGGGGCTTAAACACATTTGTTCTTGAGTCAGGCGAGAAATCAGCAGCAAACAAGACAAGGGTGGGAAGGAGAGGTGGTGGTGGTAAAGAGAGCGCTTCGGCTTTCATAGATGGAATTTAAGGCAGAAACCATATGCCTGAATTTCCAACCCTTCCAGTGCTTGGGAATCGCCTGGGCCTCACTCCCACAGATCGTGATGTATTGGTCTGGACTGGAGCCTACTCGGCAAAACTGTTCCTGACTGATGCCACAGGGCAGGTTTGAGTCTCACTGATCTAGAATAGAGCCCAGCCATCATCCTGCAGCTACAAGAGAGGAAACTGAGTCTCAGAGGGATTAAGCAACTTGCCTAAGGTCACATACAAGGGAAGAGCAGAAGGAAGGTGAGAACTCAGATCTCCTGACAACTATCTCAAGTGGAGAGAAAATAAGTTTTGGATGAGTTTAAGGTTAAAACTAGTTGGCCATTTTCCCCACATCAGCATCCAGAGGGAGGATTTCCCCTGATGAGCATCCAGTGGAAGGAACCCCAGGACAAGACAGGAATAGACTCCAGGTCTCATGCTTGCATTTCTCAGTGGGGTTCTGTCCACACACTGCTGAAATGAGTCTGAAATGGTCCTGTCCTGCCTGCTATCTCCTGGGAGGCCTGATGCCTGCAGGCTGTCCCTGCAGGCAGTGACACCTGTGTTTGGCCTGTGTGGTTGTCCCCATGACATGGGCTTCCTCTCTCTTGGTATCTACTCCTAGGAAAGAACTTGCCCCTTCAGAGGGTGGCACAGCAAGTTTGGAATATGGTATCCACAGATGAGGAAATGAATCAGCAACAGGAAAATATTTCAGGGCAACTGCAGCTTACTAAGTGTTCACTCTGCCAGGCATTGAGCCTCTGGCGTAGTAGGATCCCAGGACATGTCATGAAACTCCCAGGTAGGTGGCAGCCCATCTGACAGTTTTGAGAACGAGTCAGTACCTGCACCGCGTGGGGAGGGAATGCAGCAGAGCAGGGAGACAGGAGCTAGCAGGCCAGGCCTCTCTTGCATCTGATATGTTGAGAAAATGAAGCCAGAACTGGACCAGAGCAGCCTGGGATAACATCCAAGATGTCAGGGATGAGGCAGAAATTCCAGGGCAGGAGGCCCCATGACCTCCATTTTGCAGGATAACCTCACCCTCCAGAAAAAAGAAAAATGAGATGACCTGCTACCTTGCCAGGCTGATGCCCAGTGGCATCCTACAGCCCACTGTGAGCTGTCCCCAACACTGGAAAGGAAAGGAGGCTGTGACGGATGAGTGGCCAGCTGGCTCAGGCCTTAGTTTTCTCATCTATACAAGGGGCTGTGTGTTGCAAGGATTCAACGAGATAGCCCAGGTCAAGCTCTTGGCAGGGGGCACAGTCTTTTCTAAGTGCTGCAGAGACATTAGCTATTGCCATTGTTGCTAGTATTCTTATGAGAGTCTAAAAATTGCTTTTTCTTCTTAGTCTCTTAAAATAGAATCACACTAAATTCTAGAAGCAAAAGCAGAAATAGAGCTGATGTCATCCAATTATAAGCCTGAAAAGTCACTTTCATTAAAATGCAGCATTAACATCAACCCTAGAAGGGCTTCTCCTCCACAACCAGAAGGAATTGATTTGCCCAATCCTTGCCTTTCAGGTACTTCACTGGTTCCACAAGAGGCTTCACAGAAGAGCCCTCAAGATCTCCTACTAAGAAAACCATCTACTCTGTTTTATCAGGACTAAGTGACCGACATCCACTAACGTGTGTCCCTCCAACACTTCCTACATGTTAGTGTAGAGAGTGACAGGAGGAGCTTTCCTGCCCATTCATTTATCTGCTCATTTATTCATTGATTCATTCATCAGTTGGCTACTGAATACCCACCCCATGGCAGGCACAGTTTCAGGTGCAACGTTGAGACAGAGCACGGAGTTGGCAGGGCAGAGACAGAGGCAGGCTATGGACCAGAAGCCATCAGAAGCACTCCTAACAAAAATTAAGCAGGGTGAAGAACAAAGAGCACCTGAGTGGTCTAGGATGATCATGACCTTTGGGAATGTGGCAGCTGAGACCTGAGCGTCGGAGGGTCCAGGCTCTCAGGACCTCTAGTCAAACACTCCAGGCAGAGACAAATGCTCTGAGGCAGGTACCTGTGCCCCTTGCTAGTTAACTCTGGGTCTAAGTGGTTAACCAGGCTTAACCTTGGCAGCCTGAATAAGACTCCTCCCCTCCCACCTCTCCTGGTGGGCAGACCCTTCCTATAGCCACAAGGAGCCTTTGTCTTCAGTGACCCCTCCCCACCTGCGACACAAAGCAGAGGTGAGACTGGAGGTACTCGGACCAGACACCCCCATCTCCCAAGGATGACTGTTCTGCATTCTGGAACCATGGGCAGGGCATGGGCACTCTGTTTCCTCATCTGGAAAATGGGCATGATCCCTGCTTTACAGGATTGCTCAGAGGTTCACAGGAGATGGCAGAAAAGTCATTGTGCAAAATGTAAGCAAATATCCAAGCATGGCACATTTGAAATTGGAGTCCTCCAGGTGACTGAGTGATTTCTGTAAATTGTGTTGTCATTGTAACTTCCTTTTACATCCACATCCTTAAGTTTTCTGCCTTCTTTAAAACCTGCTTGCATGCAGCTCCCAGAATTAGCAATCACTAAGCCTAATTAGTCTTCTCCTCCCAGAGGGCTCTGCCTTTTATTTTTCCTTTTATTTTTAGTTGACACAAAATAATTGCGCATATTTATGGTGCACAGAGTGATATTTCAGTACATGCATATAATGATCAAATCAGGATAATTAGGAAATACGTCACCTAAAGATATATCATTTTTTCATGCTGAGAATATTCAAAATCTTCTCTTCCAGCTTTGTGAACATATGCAATATATTCTTGTTAACTATAGGCATACCTCTGAGATATTGCCAGTTTGGTTCCACACCACTGCAATAAAGTGAATATTGCAATAAAGTGAGTCACATAAATTTTTTGGTTTCCTAGTGACTATAAAAGTTATGCTTATACCATACTGTAGCCCATAAGCATGTAATAGCATTATGTCTAAAAAATATATACACCTGATTTAAAAATAGATTATTGCTAAAAAAAAAAAATGCTGGTGGTTTTGGTATGTTGCAGCTCTATTTTCACTTGTTTTGAGAACTTTTTTGACCTCCTTCTTAATTTCTTCATTCACCCATTGACCATTCAGGAGCACGTTGTTTAATTTCCATGGATTTGTACAGTTTTCAAAGTTCCTTTTGTCATCGATTTCTGGTTTTATTCGATTGTGGTCTGAGAACATATTTGATATGATTTCAATTATTAAAAATTTGTTGAGGCTTGTTTTGTGGCCTAACATATGGTCTATCTTAGAGAATGTTTCATGTACTGAAGAGGGAAGCATGTGATTCTGCAGCTACTGGATGAAATGTTCTGTAAATGTCTATTAGCTTCATTTAGTCTCTAGTGCAGTATAAGTCTAATGTTTCCTTGTTGATTTTCTGTCTAGATGATCTCTCCAAAGCTGAAAATTGAGTTTTAAAGTCCCAAACTATGATTGTATAAGCATCTATCTCTCTTTAGCTCTAATTATATTTTCTTTTTATATCTGGGTGCTCCAGTGTTGAGTATATGTATATTTATAATTGTTTTATCCTCTTACTCAAATGATCCCTTTATCATTATATAATTACCTCTTTTTCTCTATGTTTTATGACTTAAAATCTATTTTGTCTGCTGTAAGTATTGCTACTCCTGCACACTTTTGGGTTTTTTTTTTTTTTGCATGCAATATCTTTTTTCATCCCTTCAGTTTCTGTCTATGTGTGTCTCCACAGGTGAAATTAGTTTCTTGTAGGTAGCATAGAGTTAGGTCACTTTTAAAATCCATTCAGCCAGTCTATATCTTTTAACTGGGAAATTTAAGCCATTTAAAAAAGTTGTTATTGATAGGTGAGGTCTTATTCCTGTCATTTTAATTGTTTTCTGATAATTTTAAATAATCCTTTTTCTTCCTTCCTTTCTTCCTTCCTTTCTTTCTTTCTTTCCTTTGTTTATCTTTGCAGTTTGGTGGTTTTCTGTAATGATAACATGTGGTTCCATTCTCTTTCTTATTTGTGTGTCTGCTTTACCAATGAGTTTTATACTTTTGGGTTTTCATGATGGTGAATATAGCCCTTTTGCTTCCAGATGTAGGACTCTCTTAAGCATTTATTGTAGGGTCAGTCTAGTGATGATAAATTCCATCAGTTTTTGCTTATCTAGGAAAGACTTTATTTCTCCTTCATTTCTCAAGGATATCTGTGCTGGGTACAGTATTGTTGACTGGCTAACAGAGGACCAATTAATAAGCCAAAGAAATGGCTCTTTAACAATGAACATTTCTGCCATCAACTGACAGATCCCAGGAATAAATGTTTTCCAGTGAGGAGACTTCTCTGGTTTTCAGAACACCTCTGGCTGCCCCTGCCCACCCCATAGAAGGGCTATCCCTCCAGGTCAGGTTAGCATCATCACCTAGAGCCAACAAGTCAAGGAGGTGATGGTTTGCCTTTGACATCTCTACCCAGACCAGACTCCACTGAGAAGACTCTCCCTTTTTCATCACTGCCCTACCTAGTTAGTTGGTCCTGCCCTGGGGCCAGAGTTTCACTAATAGTATACTGTTAGCTCAGGCAACAGATGAACTCTGCCTCCATGCGCAAATACAAAAAGCTATCTCTGCTTCTTTTTCACTCACTTAAGATTTTGGAAGAATGGCTCCTAAAGCGGGTGATCCTCACGACTTACAGTGCCTCAGCATCACATGCTATTCATTTTGCACAGCAAAACCAGGAAGTGAATATGACTGTTATCCCTACTTCACAAGTAGAGGACACTGAGGCCCTGAGAGGTTAAGAGGTGCAGGTAAGATTTGAACCTACGGGCTGTGTGCGGTGGCTTATGCCTGTAATCCCTGCACTCTGGGAGGCCGAGGCGGGCAGATCACGAGGTCAGGAGATTGAGACCGTCCTGGCTAACACAGTGAAATCCCGTCTCTACTAAAAAATACAAAAAATTAGCCGGGCGTAGTGGCGCTGTAGTCCCAGCTACTTGGGAGGTTGAGGCAGGAGAATGGCATGAACCTGGGAGGCGGAGCTTATAGTGAGCCAAGGTCGTGCCACTGCACTCCAGCCTGGGCGACAAAGCCAGACTCCATTTAAAAAAAAAAAAAGAAAAAAAAAAGATTCGAACCTATGAGTTGTGCCTCCAGAACTCAAGATCTTTACTCTTTGCCACATCCTTCTGCAAGCCCAATCAAGGACTTGGGTGTTTTCAAGGTTTGCCCTTTCCACACAGCTGCCTCTCTCCTCCAGTCCATCCCAAATGAGGACTTCCTGTGGCCAATTTGCTACTGGGAGGAGGCAGAGACTGCCTCTTGCCGCCTCCTAGGGAAGTTTCTAGAACCTGACTTTGATAGTAGGAAGTAAAGAAGAGGAACCAAGGGAACAACAAGACCTTACTTTGTTTTCAAATCCCTGTTGTGGGGTCACTGCCAGCTGTCCTGTGGGATCTGTGTTATTACTGCTCAACTTGCAAGTTCTTTTCCCCTCCCTGGCCTCAATGTCATCCAAACAAGAGGGTTACAGTGGGTATTCTAGAAGTCCCCACCTGACTTTAACATAATTTCAGCAACCTACTACTGGGACTACGCAGAGAGGTTTTGTAAAAAATGTACAGCTCATTGTTACCTCTCACTCGGTTCATTGATAGAATTAAGGGACTGGAAAGCCCTGGACATCTCATAATGAAATAAACTAGCCCTTTGTCTTTAAGGGCTCTTTCCTTCAGTATATCTACCTTCCATGTTAGAGCCCCTTTGCTCATTTAAAAAAATGTCAGGGTTATTTTAACAAAGTAACTCAGCAAAGGCTATTTATACGTTTTCAGAATGAGAGAGAGGAAATCCCTAAATAATTCTGTCTTTAGTTCTCCATGTCAGGGTACATCGGCATGGAATTAAAAAAAAAAAAAAAAAAAACAACCAAGTCACCAGGTGAGTTGTACAGTGACAAGGAAGAGCTGAATGTGGCCTAGCCTCTCTAGTCTCCAGACAGGGTCATGGCATCAGAATAGAGCAGCTGGGAGGATCAGTACAAGAGCTGAGAGGCCTAGAGTCAGGGTAACCAAGCTCTGTAAGGTCCATGAGGTAGGTGGGCAGGCAGGTGAACAGAATGCTCTGCTGAAAGGAAGACTGACCTCTCTTTCAAAAGAAGATATCAGGGTACTTAACATAGACCATCTTTAAACAAGTAGCCCACTTACTTTCTTACTAATCTGTAATCTGTAATCAGCTCAGAATGAAAGAACAGCATTTTAGCTTCTAAAGTTTTTAAACATCATGTAAAATAGTCTTTGTGAGGCAATGAAGATGTTGCGGGTGTTTTCAACTCTGCAAACCCAAGTATGTTCTTTTCAGTAAACTCTTTACTGAAGTAAAAGATACATAGAGAAAAGCACACAAATAATAACCAGAACACACTGATGAATTTTCACAAAGGAGGCAAACCAGAGAAATCACTGACTAGGTCAAGAAGTAGGACATTGCCAACACCACAGAAGTCTCACTTGTACCCCTACCAGTCACATACCCAAAATAACTATCACCTTTGACTCCTGACCCCATTGATTAGCTTTGTCTGTTCTTGAACTTCATGTAAATGGAGTCATCAGGGTACCCTCTTGGTTTTCTGGCTTCTTTCACTGAACATGATGTTTATTACATTCATCCATGTTACTGTCTGTTGCATTAGGTCCTTTAATTTCATTGCTCAGTACATCTTATCCATTCCACTGTTGATGGAAATTTGGATTGTTTCCAGTCTTTGGTTACTATAACTAGAGAGTCATGAACATTTTTGTAGAATTTCTGGGTCATAAGATACACAAATGCTCAGCTGTAGTAGATCCTGCCAGTTTTCCAATGTGGTTATACTAATTTACACTCACACCAGCCAGAGGATGGCAGCTGTAGTTGTTGTATATTCTCTCTGGCACTTAGTATTATTAGTCTGTCATTTTGGACAACCCTGGTGGCTCTGTAGAGGTTATCTCCTTATGACTTGAATTTGCACTTCCTTGCTAGCATTTATTAGAAAATTACAAAGCCTCTTTTGTGAAGTGCTTGTTCAAATCTTTTGCCCATGTTTTCTATTGGGTTATTAATGACTCATGGAAATTCTTTAAATATTCTAGATACAAACCCTGTATTGGGTTTATGATTTGCAAATATCTTCTCTTACTCAAGGGCTTGCTTCTTCACTCTCTTAATGGTGTCTTTTGATAAACAGAAGTTCTTAGGTTTTAAAATTTTATGTATTTTATTTTTATTATTTTTGGAGTGCAGTTGTGCAAACAGGGCTCACTGCAGCCTCAAACTCCTGGACTCAAGCAATTCTTGCACCTCAGCCTCTTGAGTAGCTGGGACCACAAGGGTATGCCACCACACCTGGCTAATTTTTTAAATATTTTGTAGGGATCTTCCCTTCCTGGCCTCCCCAAGCGCTTGGAATACAGGTGTGAGCCATCGCACCCGGGCAGAAGTTCTTAGTTTTAATGAAGTCCAATTCATCAATCAGTCTTTTCCTTTGTGCTTAGTATATTTTGTATTACATTTGAAAAGATTTTACTCCAAGGTCATAAATTATTCTCTTATGTTATCTTTTAGAAGTTTTATTATTTTGCCTTTCACTTTTAGATCTACATTCTATCTGATTGATTTGTGTGTGTGGTGTGAGGTAGAGTCAAGATTCATTTTTTTTAAGTATGAAGATCCAACTGACCCTGCAACATTTATGCAAACATTATCTGTCCTATTCCAATTGCATGGCAGTATTGCTTTTGTCATAAATCAACTGACTGAATATGCGTGGTCTGTTTTCTAGTACTCTCTTTTCTGTTCCATTGGTCTATTTGTCTATGCTTGTGTGTATCTCACACTGTCTTATTTGCTAAAGCTTCAGAATAAGTCTTAACAAATGTTCTTGCTCAAGATTGTTTCAGTCCTTTAAATTTCCAAATAAAATATAAACTTTATTCCTCAAATAAAATAAACAAAATTCCACTAAAATTTGTTGTAAAATTGTACTGACTCTATAGGTCAATTTGGACAGAACTGACTATAAAAATATTGTCTTTTATTCCATGAATATATATTTTGGATTCTTTTAATGCCTCTTCACAATAATTTTATAGTTTTTAATTACATTTTATTAGATTTATTTCTCTGTATGTTGATGTTATTATACATGACATCATTTAACTTTTTAATTTTCCAATTATTTGTCACTCACCTAAAACTATTTGTTCTCTTAAGTTGATTTAGCAACTCCTCTTCCACGTGGTTAATACTACTAGTTTGTGATCAAAGTTATCATTCAAGGTAGAGCTTTTCAGTCTATTTTCTCTCTGTTATTCAGACTGGGGGATTTATATTGTTCTTTCCTCAATTTCACTGATTCTATCCTCTGTCATATCCATTCTACTATTGAGTAGAATCCAGTGATTTTTTTTAAATTTCTATTGTTATATTTTTTAATTCTATAATTTCCACTTGGTTCTTCTTTCACAATTTCTATTTCCTCACTGAGATTTTTCTATTCCTTCATTTGTTTCAAGAGAATTTGTAATTGCTTTCTGAAACATTTTTATAATGGCTGTTTTAAAGTCTGTCAGACAGTTCCACTATCTGATTCATCTCAGTGTTGGTGTCACTTGTCTTTTCTCATTTAGGTAGTTTTCCTAGTCCTTGGTATAATGTGTGTTTTTTCATTGTATTTGCACATCCTGTTTTTTATGTTAAAAGACTCTGGGTCTTTTTTTTTTTTTTTTCAGGCTATCACCTAAGGTCCTAGCCTAGTTTAGTGGGCTGTAGGTCCAGTGGCAACTTCATTTCAGAGCCTTCATACTATTATAGCCTACTGGAGCTCCCACTGGTCCTTTCTGGTGCCCCTTTCTGGGGCTGAGGGAATTTCCATGGGCTGGGCCACCTGGTGCCTCTAGATGGGCAAAAGGAGTCTCAGGCCTACGGAGACCAAGAGTGCTTCCCAAACTAGGCTGCCTGTTATGATGTGGTTCCTATTGTTGATACCACCCAGTCACCCTACATGTCTGTCAGTGGAAGTGGAGGAGAATACCAGGCTCACCAGGAAGCAGGAGGAATGAGTCTATGTTGGCTGTCTTTTGGTGCCAAGTTGGGATCAGGTAATACCAGGCCTAGGTCACCTTCTCTTGTTGGATGCGGTGATGGTAAGACATCCTACCTCTATTGTTCCTCCAGTCTTAGGGTCCCTAACTAATTCCTCTTTCTGTTTCCATCTTTCAGAGTTCTCCTTTGGTTACCTCTTGCATTATTTCTAGACTTTATAATTGCATTTAACTGAGAGGAGAGAAGACAGAAATGGATCTATGCTATTTTGTCTGGACCAGAAGTCCTTTCAAAATTATTTTGAATGAAATAATTCATGGAATACATCACTACAAAGTCAGCCTTGAATACAATTTATTGACTTAAATATAGCTAAATTATTTTAAAAATTGGTAGACTCTTAGACTCCCGTCCACCCTTGGTCTCAAAAGAGATACCTTTTCATAGACATAGAATACCCTGACATATGGAGAGCCCACCACTTCCACAGTACCATGGAATCAGGGGAATTATCCAAATAGTGGTTTCCTTGTTGTACCCTAGGCAGGGACAGTCAAGAAAACTTCATGGATCTGTAGTGTAAAGCTAGGGAGAAAGAGGAAGAGTTGCCTGTTTGAATTTCTGTAACTAGCGTATCTCCAGATAATGCATGAACAGCCAGTAAAGATGAACGCAGATTATTGATGGAAAGAACACACATGGAGAAGAGAAAAAGCAAGTCCACAGAGCTTTTTAACATACACTCCCTCACCCCTACCCCCAGCTTAGAAGGGCAGGAACCTGCTGTCCAAAACAGGAAATATAGGAAATACCAGCTGAGAAACTGTCCACTTGACGTCCATGAGCCCAGCTGCCCCTCTCACCTCACTCCTATTTTAAGTCAGTGACACACAGTCATGCTTTCCTTTTCTGCACCTGAAGGAGTGATGTCACTCCAGACTGAGTCCTTATTAGAGGTGATGATGGAGTTATTTTTAGACCTGGGAATGGTCTAAAACATTTTGCCTCAGCCTAATCATTGGATCCTTCAAGGAAATGGATATTCTGATGCACATCCCACCCGGTGTCCTATCAAATGGAACCTTAGCTCTCAGGCAACTTGTTAGTTTGAAGGCAGTGACAATGAGGCCAAGAATGACTCCTGGCTCCTCCACTCTGCCATCACAGGCTGCACCCAGAGCCTCCCACATCAGATTGTACCCACCGTGCCAGTGGAAGTGATCTCTAAGTCAAGCTATTCCTGCCCTCTCTAGCCTACTTTCTCTGGGAGGCATTAGAACACAGTCAGATCCCGAGAGTCCAGACCTGGATTCTATTGCTTTGTAAGCTAGGTCTTTGGGCAAATTACTTCTCTAGGCTTTTGTTTCCCGGTCTACATAAATGAGACGAATTCATGGTTATGTGGACTAAGTAAAAAGTTGTAGGTACAAAGTTCCCCTGGTGCTGGCAGTGGGGAGTGCTCCATAATCTCTAGCCATTGCTATTGTTATTCTCAGCGTGCTGAAAGCACTTTCATGTATGCTGTTTCACTTGATCTTTTTTAAAAGGACTGTACATGTTTTAATTAATTTAATCTTCTGTATAGTTTTATGAAGAACACACTCTTTTGACCTCATTTAACAGCTAGCCATATAACTAATAAGTGATAGAGGTAAGATTTAAAGAGAGTCTGGTTTCAGAGAACATTCTCTTGATCACTGTATACAAATATTATTCCAACCATAGTGTAGGCTCTTCTGGTCTTACCCTTCCTATGAGAGAGGGGTTATTGTCTCCATTTCATAAATGAAAGCAGTAAGAGTCAGAGCAATTCACTGAGCTGACAAGTCATAGGATCACTGAACAAGGGCTCCAGTGGCAGTGCCTGGGAGTGGCAGAACAAATAGCACAGTATCACATACAACTGCAGCAACAGCAGCAGTACCCGCAGCAAGTACAATGACACATTTACTACACACTTGCTCTCATTTAATACTCACAAGAATTATGGCCTCTGGGTTCTATCATCAACACCATTGCAGATGAGGGGACCAAAGTTCAGCTGGATCAAGGAAGGTGTTCAGGGGCATAGAGCTAGGGAGTAATGGAGTTGGGTGTCCCCCTGGTCTACCATGCCCAAGCTGTGCCTCAGCTTCTGTGCTGCCATCTCCTGCAGCACTTAAACAGAACCCCTAAGAACAACTAGCAGCACTTGCCTGATCAATGTAGCCAACAGAAGGAGGACAACCTATTTTTCATAGATTTTTTGGGGGATTTTCTATTTAAATAATCATGCTGCCTAAAAAAGGAGACAGTTTCATTTCTTATTTTCCAATGAGCATGACCTTTATTCCCTTTTCCTGCCTTATTGCAGTGGCTAGAACTTCTAGTACTGTGTTTAATAAGACTGATGAAAGTAGAAATCTTTGCCTTGTTTTGGATTGTATAAGGCAATGTATTCTGTCTTTATCATGAAATACAATGTCTGATGTAGTTTTTTAATAGATGTTCTTTATGAGGTTGAGGAAGTCTCCCTCTATTCCTAGTGTATTTGAGAGGATTTTCTATTTTCATCATTAATGGGTGTTGAATTTTGTTAAATAATTTTTTGTTGCCAACTGCTATGATTATATGGTTTCTCTTCTTTAGCCTGTTGCTATGATAAATTTTATTAATTTCTTTTCAAATATTGAATCAGCTTTGTCTACCTGGCATAAATTTCACTTGGTCATGGTGCTTTAGTCTTTTTATACATTGTTGGATTTTGATTAATTACATTTGATTGGTGGTTTTTACATCCAAAGTTCATGAGAGATATTGATCTGTAGCTTTCTTTTTGCATACTTTCTTTAGCTGGTTTGGGTATCAGAGTAATGACGGCTTCATAAAGAGAATTGGGAACTTCCTAATTTTCTCTTCTCTCCTATTTTCTGGAAGATACACATAGAATTGGCATTAATTTTTATTTGAATGTTTGGTAAAATTCTTGGATGAAACCCTCTGGACCTGGAGATTTCTTTTTGGGGAGTATTTTTATTATAAATCCAATTCTTAGAAATATCTACACAGCTATTCAGATTATCTGTTTCACCTTGGCTAAGTTTTAGTACTTTGTGGTTTTTGAGGAATTAGCCCATTTCTTCAAACTTGTTGAATATATGAGCATAAAGTTGATTACAGTTTTTAAATTATCTTTTTATAGCTAAAGACATCTATTGTGGTGTCCCCTATTTCATTTCTGATGTTGGTGATTCATGTCTTCTCTCTTTTTATATTTGCCATTCTTGCTAAAAGTTATTAATCTTATTAATTCTTTTAAAGAGACAACTTTCTGTTTCATTTTTTCTTTTTCCAGTTTTCAAGTTCATTAGTTTCTGCTCTTTTTTATTTCCTCCTTTCTGCTTTCTTTGAGTTTATTTTGCTCAACTTTTCTAATTTCTTGAAGTAGAAACTTAGATTAGTAATTTGAGATCATTCCTCTTTTCTAATGTAAGCATTTACTCCTATCAATTTTATTCTCAGCACTGCTTTAGCTAATCTTACAAATTTTAACATGTCATATTTTCATGTTCATTCTTTTCTTGTCTTTTTAAAATTTCCTTTGAGATTACCACTTTGACGCATGGATTATTTAAATGTTTTTTGTTTAGTTTCCAAGGGTTTGGAGATTTGCCTATTGACTTTCTGCCTTGATTTCTACTTTGATTTTATTATGGCCAGGTAACATAGTCTGTATAATTTCAATTCTCTTGAACTTTTTAATGTTTGTTTTATGATCTAGGATATGCTCTATCTTGGTAAATGTCTCATGGGACCTTTAAAAAAATGTGTATTCTGCTGTTGTTGGACAGATTGTGCTATGAATGCCAATTAGATCCTGTCAGTTGATGGTGTGGTTGAGTTTTTCTATATTCTTGCTGATTTTCTTGCTAGTAGTCCTAGAAGTCCTGAGTGCAGGGAGACAGCAGGGATTGATGCCTCAACCACAATTGTGGATTTCTTCTTTCAGCTGTCTTAGTTTTTGCTTCAGACATGTGAAAGTCTGTTGTTTGGTTCATAGGTATGTAGAGAAAATGCTCACTAACTGTGTTTTTCTTTTACTGTCACACCACAATCATCAACACAGAAGAAAGGCCCAGTGACTCATGGGAAACTACTGTATTAAAAACTTGCAGCTAATGTTTTAAATTAACCAGAAAAAACACAAAAGTCAGAACACTGCACCAACAGATAGAGCCCTGTGCCTTTATAAAAGAAAAAAAATATTGCCTTCTATACACTCTCCCTCACCATAAAGATAATCCTCTGGTTTTCTCCTAAGTAACCAGAGAGTGGATACCCCACACCGCAAAAAAATAAAATTCTATTTGTTGAATATCTTTTGTCTTAAAGATAACAGCTCAGGAAAAATAGACTGCACTTAACATGATTTATGTCATTCCTTTTTTGTGCCCTTATACGATATGAAGAAAGGCTTCTGTGTTGATGTTGTCATGGTGTGACAGCAGAAGAAAAACACAGCTAGGGAGAGTTTTCTCTACATACCTATGAACCACACAACAGACTTTCACATATCTGAAGCAAAAACTAAGACAGCTGAAAGAAGAAATCCACAATTGTGGTTGGGGCATCAATCCCCCACTGTCTCCCCACACTCAAGACTACTAGGACTACTAGGGAGAAAATCAGCTAGAATATAGCAGCGGACACCAGCTGGGTGTCCTCCAATGCAGTTCTGACACTATCTACCCAGAGATAGAGTCAGATCCCACAGGTTGAAGGTTCAGCCCCCAAGACTGCCCCCATACACACACCAGTTGTAAGTCTGGGCCTCCACAACTTCTGACTAGCCAGCTTCAAGGTGGGGTTCCCATGACCCCCTCTTTGGGTTTGATTAATTTGCTGGAGCAGCTCTCAGAACTCAGAGAAATGCTTACCTATGTTTACGGGTTTATAATTAAAAAATATTGCAAAGGAGACAGATGAAGAGATGCCTAGGGTGAGGTATGGAGAAAGGGTCACGGAGCTTCCATGCCCTCCCTGGGTGCACCACGCTCCAGGAACCTCCACATGTTCAGCTATCTGGAAGCTTAACAACCCTGTCCTCTTGGCTTTTTATGGAAGCTTCATGATGTCAGCATTCCTTCCCCCAGGATATAGGGTGGGACTGTCTCATGGGAGGGTCTTAAGATCCACAATGAGAAAGGCAGAAAGGTGGGAGAACATTAGAGTGAAAGGAAGGCAGGAGAAGGTCAGAGGCCTGTCCCTGAGGCCTAACACCCCCAACAATATAACAAAAGACTCTAACACGGGATGTGGGAGTTATGAGCCAGGACCCATGGATGAAAGCCGACATATATCATAACATCACAACAGGAGAGCTACATCTTCTTGGTGAATTAATTCTTTTTGTTATTATGTAATTTCCCTCTTTGCCTATAGTAACTTTCTTTGCTCTGAAGTCTGCTTTTTCTGATGTTAACATAGCCACTTGTGCTTCCTTCTGACTAATGTTTACACGTTATATCTTTTTCCATCAATTTGCTGTCAGTCTACCTATATCATTGAATTTGAAGTGAGTTTCTTGTAAACAACACATAGCTGGGTCATGTTTTGTAATACACTCTGCCAATCTCTGCATTTTAATGGATGCATTTAGAACATTTACATTTAAGATAATTATTGATATATTAGGACTAAGTCTGATATTTTATTATTATTTGTTCTCTGATTGATCCTTTTGTTTATTACACTTTTGTTTCTTTTTTCTTGCCTTCCTGTGGTTTACTTGGACATTTTTTGATGTTTCATTTTGATTTAATTGTGATTTTTTTTTTCGGCATATCATGTTATGTTGTTTCCTTAGTGCTTATTATGTTTGGAAACTCTGTAGATGGACAGCCTTCCATGATGGGGAGGAAGCTGCAGGGCCTGGGTCTCCTTATGCCACTGGATGGAGTCTGGGGAGACACAGGGCTTCACAGTGGCTGCTTCTGTGGGTGAATTAGGCCATGTGCTGTGTCTAAGTTGTGGACTGGGGGCCAGGACTGTCCAGGGCTTTGCTGCTGCTACTATTGCTGCTGATGCCACTGCTGGCAGATCAATCTCTCTGCAAGGACCCTGGGTTGTACAAAACAGGGGCTAGAGCTTCCTACTGGGTCTCTGTTGGGGCTCCCCTTTCCTGAACTTTGGCCAAAGACAACAGGATATTCTTGGGGGTTTTGTTGTTGTTTTGTTGTCATTTTTTCTGTGCCTGTTGGTGATTCCAGCACAGCCCAGCGTATATGGGAGACAAAAAGAAAACTTAGAAAACTTACCATGTTGCTGTTACTCAAGTCCTGAGGTTTCTTGCAAGTACACCTTTTCTTCTAGCTTTCAGAGCCCTTTATCATTGTCTGCTGAATAGTTTCCAAGGTACTTAGTTGTATTTAGAGGAGCAGAGCAGGGAAAAATGAGTTTAACCATCTTGTTCCAGAACTGGAAGTCGGCAGAGCCTGTTTTAAAAATAATGTTTAAAACAAATTTTATTTCGTGGGTGATTTTCCAGAAAGCAGAAAAAGTACTATCGATGGCACTTCCTATAATAAAAACTACACCCTATGCTTTCTTGGAAGGAATCAATTGCATTATTCAACAGTCGTCTTCCTCTGAACCTGCTCTGCATTTAGTCAACAGGATATTGAATTCCTTTTAAAAATCTAAACAGATTATCACTTCTTTCCTGAACCAAAAGTTGATTAGTAATGTAAATACTTGTCTGTAACACAGAAAACTGTGTTTTCTTTGAGCTCTTCCTATTCCGTATCCCTTGTCTTGAATGAGGAGTTTTTCCTTTGGCACCAAAAGGTTACAACTACATTTATCTACAAATAAACTACCATAGAAGAACTGGAACTTTCCTAATTATCAATGTTTAGCTGCACTAATAAAGCTTTCTTATATCTGTGTTCTCCTTGTTTCTTGTCTTGGACCCTTGCCTGACACAGATAGGATGGGCTTTCAGCCCAGTGACTCACGGGAAACTACTACATTAAAAACTTGGAGCTAATGTTTTAAATTAACCAGAAAAAAACACAAAAGGCAGAACACTGCACCAATGGATAGAGCCCTGGCCCTTTATAACAGAAAAAAAAATACTGCCTTCTATACACTTTCCTTCACCACGAAGATAATCCTCTGGTTTTCTCTTAAGTAACCAGAGAGTGGACCCTCCCACAAAAAACAAGTTCAATTTGTTAAATATCTTTTGTCTTAAAGATATAGCTCAGGAAAAAGTAGACTGCACTTAACATGATTTATGTCATTCTTTTTTTGTGTGCCTTATATGATATCTCATGACTTGGAAAACTCCTATAAATATGTAAAATATTAGAATGTATAGCAAAAAATTGTCAGTTTACGTTATTTTTGGCTTATCTCAGTACAAAGATTAATGTGGTAAAATTGAATATTTATATCCTTAAGATAAAATTGAATGTTCCAATGTGAAGTAACATATTTTCAACTACATTTTTTTTTTCTGAAATCCCTTTATCACCACAAACTCTATCTTTAAAAAAAAAAAAAAGTTCACAACATATACCATTTTCTGGCTCTACATGAAAAGTTTATTGTTTGTGTGCAGGGTTAAAGAGAAGCCAATAAGTTAACATGTTATATTTGACATGGGAGCTGTTCACTCCAAATTTTAAGAAAAGCCAGAAAAATCACGTACAGGCAACCAACCAGAGCGTTAAAATGGCCTTTTGTTAATTGTTAAAAATCTGTATAGAAGTACATTTTTTTTTAATTTGTAAAAGTGGAAGCAATTTGAGTCACTTTAATTTACAGCATGAATGGAAGATTCTCGGAGTCATCTATAACCTCAGCAGAAAATGTGATTATAAAAGTTTATAAAAACCCCAGTTCCCCAGAGAGCTATGAAATGAGCAGAGTGCAGAACATATTCTATCAGTCTCTTGAAATATTATTTGCCCTCTTAACTGATAAGGCAATGGAGGAAGAAAGTAAGAATGTAATACAAATATGAAAAAGTGACTACCTTTGCCTGCCTTCAACAAACCTAACTTTAAATAAAATAAGAATAATGAACAAATCAGCTAAAAAAGAAAACAGCTTTTCCCCTAGTTTCTTTTGAAGTGAATCTCCCTTTACTTTTTTTAAATTTCTTGGAATCCTACAAATTAAGGCTTCCTTGGAAATGAATGAATTTTTTAGAATTTCAAGACTCAAAAGATAAACAAAGAAGTCTGTTTTTCTTCTCTCACCCACCCCAACCCTGTGAATAACCCCAGGTTACAGCCTGGGTTTCCCTCTGTTCTTTATGTCTATCAGGGGTTTTAGAGCTGGGGAGGTCAGTGGGGGAAGGATGGGGAAGAGGGGGAGGTGGGGAAAGGAGGGAGAAGGGGAGAATAAGTGGGGTGGGCTCATCTCAGAGTGAACCTCGGCTGTAGCTGGGTACAGGATGTCACACGCATGCCTGCACACACAAAATGTACACAGTGAAACCGGGCAATAGAACTATTAAAAAAAAAAAAAAGAAAGAAAGAAAGAAAGAAAATGTACTGCTACATCAGCTAAAAACAGTCGTGTTCTTTCCTGGTTTGATGTCAGCTCCCAGTACTGGCTTGGAATTGCCCACAGCGATCTTGGGCCCCTGCCCACTCAGCAGGCAGACGGCTTTCCCTGCCAGCAACAGGCTTTTAATAAAACAGGATGCTGTCCCACTACTAAGGCCCAGCCTGAGAATGGATCCCAGTCCGTGTGAACTCCCTCTCCAAGAAACAGCAGTTCTGTGTTCCTTATCAGGAAACCCCACTTTGGCGTTCCTGGCCTGGGAGAAAGGCCCCTCTCCCAGGGACTTGCTCAGCAAGTGTTTGCAGGCAGCCGCTGGCCCCTGGAGCTGTCTGCTCTGCAAGGTTCTCACCACAGTGAGCTTGCTCCCGCAGGGACTTCTCATTCTGTGCGTGTGTTTCAGCTTTTAGGAAGGCTCTGTCTGACTTTGATAGTCAAGCAGGATGGGATTTAAAATAAGGAGCTGGCTTCTACAGGCAGGATGAGGACATTTCGCCCCTATCTTCCTGCAGCAAACCCCAGTGAGTCACGCCAGGACTGCACTTGAACTGACTTCTCATCTTAAGTGTGAAGAGTTTTATCATTTTGGGGAGGCTCACCCGTCTATTTGTTTACTTCTCATTTGGAATGAAATGGAGTATGTTCCATTTGGAGCAGCAATTTCTAATTTTTTTCCAGCTGCAGTTTGACAAAAGTCCAAACTAAGGAGTAAGATTCCACGGCACCTTCCAAACCCTGGAGCTCCATGGCTGCAGAGCCCAGGACCACCTTTCCTTGGCTGTATACCACCCTCTTGTCCTAGGGTAGAAGAACTGTGATTCTGAAAGTTGTCCCAGAGTATTAGCCCCAGCCCCACAGGCACCAGCAGGATCCCTTTCGTGCCACACTGTCCTGTACAGAGGTGGCCGAGTATAGCATGACATCACAGACTGGGAGACACACATGCTGTCAGGAAGTGGACTTAGATGACATCCTATGACAGTGAATTCCAATGGGAAAGAGAAGTCATTGTTGTTGATAGAGAAGGCTGGACAACCTGGATTCTACCCCCAAATCTGCCCTGACTTCCTGTGTGGCCTTAGACAGCTTGATAGATGTGTGACTCAGTTTCCCCATTTTGTAAAACACAGAGCAGATTGTTAAAGGACGGGCAAATAACTAGCTCATATGCTGTCACTCCCCCTTCCCTCATCCACTCAGACATTGGGAATCACTCCCAGCACTTTTCTTCCTGTGTCCAGATGTGACAACCCAGTCAGCCACAACCAAACGATCAGAGACAGCCCTGGGAGCAAAGGCTTGTGATGGTTTCTAAGGCTTCTTCCAACTCTGACCATCCATAAGTCCCAGTCTAAGCCCAATACATTTCTGTTTACTTTGAAGTTCTGGGGAGGAAATTGGAGGAATTGGTGTTACAGGTGGTGTTTTCATTCCTTCTCTCACTGGAAGGTTGTGAGTTTGGAAAAGAAAAGGAGAAAGAGGAAGTACATGGAGGGAACATCTGGGCATGTAGATGGTGTCACAGTGGAGAATTTTGTCTCCTGGACTGCAGCCCAGATCCACCTCAGAACAGCGGGGGCCTGGCAGGAAGCAGGAAGTGCTGGCCCAAAGCTGGGAAGAGCAGAGCATGCTGCAGGAGGCCAGCCCATGAGACCAGAAAAAGTGCAATTGGTAACTTCAGAGGGAGGAGTGAAAAGAGCCCAAGTAAATCTATAAAGCCAGGGAAGATAGAGCACAGCACAGGAATATGAGCTAGGACTCTTGAAAGCAGAAGGAACGACCCTTGCTGACTCAAGCAGGGAGGGGAATGAATTGGAAGCTATGAAGGAGCTTGTGAGGTCAACAGGGGTGCTGGATTCTGAGCTGGAGAACCAGGTTCAACTGGGACAAGAGCGCTCCACCATCAAGCGCCTCTACAGGGAACAAACAGCCTGCTGTCCCTCCCCCTGGGACCACTCAGCTCAGCTCAGCTCAGGACCACCCTGGGGCAAGGGAGGAGACACTGTGGACAACTTTCCACTTCCACGCAGGGGGAAAAGCACCTGGATTTACCATGAAGACGGCGCCCAGTGAGAGAGTAGTGCCACAAAAGGACATCGAATTGGGGAAAGAAGAGGCAGTGGATTCCAGGCTGCTGAAAAAGCAATGCCCGGCACTGTGTATAACACAGAGGTGTCACACACAACCACAGCAAGTGACCAGACCAGGTCAAGAGTCAGAGAAGTTAGCAAGCAAACATTAAATCCAATCCAGCAGGCCTGTGGGACAAAGTTAGGAGTAACTCCAAGGTCATTTGCCAGGTGTGGAAACCCATCTGGGAGGCTCAGTGGGGTCAGAGGGTAAAGACAAGGCCGATTAATTACCAGCTCTCAGGAGCGAGCTGAGTGGAGCATGTGGAGGAGTGCAGAGGATGTCGCAGGCAAGAGTCAAGGTCAGGAATGTTCAGACCGAGATGAATGAGGGAATAAAAGCAGGCACCTGTGCACAGGGCTCGGGGTTACCCATCTCAATTCTGGTGGGGTCTCCCTTGCTAGAAAAGAGCTGCATTGAAAGGCCCAGCTGCCCCTTAGCTACAGAGTGGAGGAAGTGTCCAGTTTGTGTCAGCAATATCACTCGCAGTCAGGAAGGCTCATGTGCTCTCTTCTCTGGGAAAGCAAGTCTTCCAAATTCAGTTTGGCAGAGCACCAGTTTGCTGAGATAGGAGCCAAACCTAAGCGCTGGGGTCCTGCTCCCCACCATGGCTATGCCAAGCTGGAGGCTGCTGCTGCGCCACCTCCTCCTTCCACACAGAGCGTCAGAGGAACCAGATGGACACAACTGAGTCCTGAGGACATTACCAGGGCTGTGAACCCAGCTGTGCCGAAAGCCAGGTCTACCTTTGGATGTTGCTTGATGGTAATTCCTAGGGGAAACTTCTCTGAGCAACAGATTCTCTTTTCGTGTTTAAGCCAGTTTGAGGTAGTTTTCTGTCACTTATAACCACAAAGTGTGTCAGGAATAGGTAGATAATAATATTAATACTAACCACAACTAAGCACTATTTCCTTCAATCCTCATAACAACTCCAGGAGGTAAATTCTGTTATCATACACAATTATATCAAATTGAAGAAACTGAGGCTAATGTCCTAGTGCCACACAATATTAACCTGGAGGGCTGGGGCTAGGGAGTCTGAACACACACAGATCCCAAGTGAGAAAAGAGATTAGGAGAAAACCCCAAATTCTGCATATGTATCGTCAATAATCCTGAATAAGCCCAGTGAGGACCAAAAAGAGGAAATAGTTAGAAAAATCCAGTGTGGGCCACACAGGGTACCACTGGTGATCTCAGACTTTCAGAAAGGCATACCCAGAAGATAAGAAGTTGACATGGAGTCAATACCGGGGTTGGGGGGGCCTGAACCTGTGAGAACCACACTGGGAAACCAAAAGCCCACACCAAGCAGAGGCTGAAAATAGGCCCGTGATCTCAGAAGGGTTTTCAAAGCTATTTGAAGAGTGGGACAAGAAAGGGATTACACAGGAAAGATGCTAAAATGTAGAAACTTGAGAAAAAAAAAAAAAAGGAGGCAGAGCCAAGTAATTTCAACTTCACGTCTCTCTCTTCTAGTTAGAAAGATGCTCTTCCAAAAGGTGGACCCCTGGCCTGGTGAGAAGACAGCAAGGTGGTGCTTGGATGCCCTACACAAGTTTAACAATGAAAACTCTTCGATGACCTGGCAGCAACACAGAAACTCAACACAGGGAAGCCCTCTCCTGGGCAAACGGTCCATTTCTAACATTTATAAAAATGGTCAATTGTCGATGGCAATCCCTGAGGGAATATTCTAGAACTACTGACCATCTAGATTGAAAATATTTCAGAAAAAACATAGGGTACAACATGGGTTCAGTACCCCCCAAACAACCATAAATCTTTCATGATGGGGTGATTAATGCTGACCAGGTGACTCTGGTAAGTACTGTATACCAAAAATAACCTCAGCAAGCAGCTGACAGTTTTTCAGGATAGTCTTGTTTTTGAAACGGAGGAATATGGACCAGATGAAAATAAGATAAGAGGGATTCCTAGCAAATTGTAAAATGATGCCCAAATGAAATGATGAACTTTGAAGTCTTATGAAGGGGGACAGTGCCAGGGGTCATATTCCTTCCACTGGCCCAGCCTTAACAGTGTCCTTGAAGGTGAACTTGGAGATGTCCTTTCAGACGCTACTGATGGGGCAGGAATCAGAGCAGTGGGGGGTTGTGGTCAGGATTGAGTGAGCTGGGTGTGTGACATACATACCATTGTTAGGCTGTTGCTCTGGTACTGGCCACCTCTACGCTGCCTGGTGCCCTGTCTTTGGGGGCACAAGACTTGGATCCCCATCTCATCTCCCCATTATAGTTTTGCAATATTCGTCAAATCACTCCACCATTCTGGGATTCAGTTTCCTCATCTGTAGATTTGAAAAAAGATGCCAAAGGCACTTGTGTCTACTGTGTGGGTAACCAGAAGCTGAGAAGGACAATGAATGCAATAAATAACCAAATCATGAATGATTCAAATTCATTTCAATAGGACCGAATATGAGGTCAAACCAACAACACCCAGAAGAATTTAGTTGGAATATATGTCAAGAAAAACACAGTATTAAAAATGCAGCCTGGCACAGTGGCTTACATCTGTAATCCCAGCACTTTGGGAGGCCAAGCTGGGTGGATCCCCTGAGGTCAGCAGTTCGAGACCAGCCTGGCCAACATGGTGAAACCCCATCTCTACTAAAAATACAAAAATTAGCCAGGCATAGTGGCTGGTGCCTGTAATCCCAGCTACTCAGGAGGCTGAGGCAGGAGAATCATTTGAACTTGGGACTCGGAGGTTACAGTAAGTCAAGATCTGTTGCAGTAAGCCAAGATCATGCCACTGTACTCCAGCCTGGGCAACAGAGTGAAACTCTTGTCTCCAAGAAAAATAAAATAAAATAATAAAAATAAAATGCAATCTTAAAGAACATGCCAGGCAGGGCCATGGCTATCTTGACTTGACAGCTGCCTACGTGAAAACAAGATTTGGGAATAACCCAGATGTCCAACAACAGCATGTGAAAGCGCTTAAAAACCAAAGTGACCTGGGAAGTAGCAGATAGCTCTGAAAGCTGAGAATTAGGGGTCAGTTTGAATATTTTCACACCTGGAAATATAAAAGAAAATTATGCTACAAGATGAAACAGCAGACGGTAAATACTGCCTACTCGGTAGATAAAGTTATGTAGAAGTGTTAGATGCAAATTTAGAGTGATTGGCAGTCTTAGGGAGAGATACTTTCTCTAAAAGTTGTACCCTCACCCCCAGAATAAAAAAAAAAAAACAACGAGATTTTAGTTGCCATGGGTTTAATGTCAGTCAATAATATGAGTACTAAAAGTCAATGTGGCTTTATTTTGTCTCGGTGGAAGTGTAATGTCTCTGCTGGTATGTTCCCCACAGGGCTCATGCCGGTACCAGGTGTGGCAGATCTGGTACCTGGATAAGGATATAGGAGCTCATCCAGGTAACAGGTGTGTTAGAACAGGAAAGGAGTGTAGCCATCCCACACAAGCTTGTTCCAGTACATCTGGACTGCATTTTTTTTTTTTTTTTGAGTCAGGGTCTTGCTCTGTCACCGAGGCTGGAGTGCAGGGGTGCAATCATGGCTCACTGCAGCCTCAACTTCCTAGGCCCCAGCAATCCTCCCACTTTATCCTCCTGAGTAGCTAAGAACACAGGCATGTGCCACCACTCCCAGCTAATTTTTGTATTTTTGATAGAGACACAGTTTTGCCATGTTGCTCAGGCTGGTTCTTGAACTCCTGGACTCAGGCCTTCCAAAGTGCTGGGATTACAGGTGTGAGTCACCACACCCAGCCTGGACTGACTTTTTCAGAAGGAAACTAATGATAACATCCAGATAGATTAATTAATTCAATGCCAAAAATGAACCCACTGCACAATTAAAATAAAATAGTAGAACTGAACATTTATCTATACTTGATAGGAATGAAAACTTTCTAAGCATAAAAATAATGGGAATAGTCACACAGTAAAATACTGATAGGCATACAAGATTTAAAACTTTCTAGTCCTAAATGACCATAACAACATTAAAAGGCAAGAAGAAAACTGGGGAATTTACCTGACAGATAGTGAACTAATAATATACATGTGTGTATACATAGGACAAGGCTAACAGAAAAATGGGCAAAAGCCATCAACAGGCATTTTGTAGGAAAACAAATGCAAATGGTCTATAAGAAATGGAAAGATGCTCAAACTCAAAAGCAACGAAATAAATGCAAATAAAAACAGTAAGCTAACATTTCTCTTTCAAGATGAATAAGAAAATCATGTATGCAAGGGTCCAAGTATATGAGCAACAGTGCAGGGGAGCACAGATTACATGCACTGGGCTTGACTGTCCATGCTGGTCTCACTAGCTAGTTGTCTTTGGGTAGTTTATTTATCCTTCCACACCATCATGTCCCTTGTCCATTAACTGAAGATTATCATAACTCTGGTCTCACAGTGCTATTAGGAGGATTGGCTGAGATTACTCTAACCCAGTGGTGACACTTAGAAAAATTGTTTTTTCTAGTTAGAAGCAAGCAATCAGGGAATACTTAAATAAATCATGATATATTTGTTAGATGAAATATTACACAGACATCAAGCATATTGTTAAATGCATATTGTTGAAGGCCATTTCCTAATAAAAAATGTGATAGATGTCATGGTCCCAATATTGTTATGAAAAATTCCACACACACTTTTTTTATATACAGAAAAACATGGCTAAAATGTTGGTTTCTTTCTAGTGGTTTTGTCTGGTGATGGGATTATAGGTGATTTTTTTTTTTTTAAGAAAAACAAAATATGTAAGGACAAAAGAATTTGGAAAATGGTATGGATACCGTACAAAGCCAAAACAAAGCAAAAAATCCTCCAACGGGTCCTGAGAATGGCATTTGACTTGTTTTGATTGCTAGAAACTTTGTAATGTCTGACACAGTTGGAGGAAATAGCTATGTGTGGCCTAGAAGAGATAAGCTTTTTCGGGGGCTGTGACACCTATCTGTATATATTTGATGGATGTCATATCAGGACATGTCCCAATTTTGTTTTCTGAAACAGCACATCACCTGCCTCTCAATGGCAAGACCCTCTAGGGAAAAAAAGACTAGTGAGTCCTACGGAACTTGGAGCCACAATCAGGCCTTCGGGGAGACTCTCACAGCTACTGGTGGGCATCTTCATCCACCAGGAGAGCAGCAAGAACCTATCTATTCTAGGGGTCCCATGGAAACGTCTCCTGCTCTGCACAGAGCTTGGGTTTGATAACTTCCTTCCCTCTCTTCTTCCCTCCCTCTCTCGCTTTCCTTCCTTCCTTCCTTCCTTCCTTCCTTCCTTCCTTCCTTCCTTCCTTCCTCCCTCCCTCCCTCCCTTCCTTCGTTCCCTCCTTCCTTTCTCTTCCTCTTTAAGATGGGAACCTGTGAAATGATGGGGCAAAGAGGAGAAGCCAGTGTAATCATCAGCAGACTCAACAGTATGGAAGGGAGTTTGACACCATCCCCAGGAATGTTCTGCTTTAACTAAAAAAAAACCATTGGATCCACTTCTGAGATCTGCCACCTTGCCATTCCATGACACCTTGTAGCAGGACAAAATTCACCCAGAAGTTGCTTTATCACAGTTCAGTAGATTTAACACATTGCTCGAGGGACTAGCTCTGTGAACAGTCATCCCCATGGCCTCAGGCATCTTATGGAGGTGCCTCCCACCTTCTTAGTTGCTCTTCCTGCCTGTCTTTCACCTGCCATTTTTTCTGTGCTGGGTCACACCTGCAGCTACAGAGGGGGAGGTCTTTCTGTCCTGCAACACTGGGATCAGAACCTTTTTACCTGGTTGAACAAGTAAGCGGTGAGTTGCTGAATGCAAGTGCCAGATATTCTTGTATTATTACGGTTAATCCTCACAACAGCCCTGTGCAGAAGGTTCTTTCAATATCCTCGTATGAGACTCAGAGAAGTTGTCACTTGAACAGGGTTGTAGGTTCAGCAAGGGTAGCACTGCAACTTGTACCTCTGAAGGCGTAGAAGGTCCAGAGCAGAGCAGTCTTGGACCCAGGCACGTGGAGGGGGACACCTGCGGTTCCCACCATCCAGGATCCAATCCCCTTTCTCCTGGCCCAGAATGCTCCCATGCCTAGCCCGACACTGTGTAGATGGAGCTGCCAGATCCAGAGATGGACAAGTGGCCCAGAACCACTAACCAGCCCACTCCACATCTGAGTCACAATGACCAGCCCAGGATGAGCAGCTGGTCTCATCATTGCCACTCCCAAGACACCTGCCACCTGGGCTGCTGAGAGGACAGGCTGTGCACCAAACTGCTGGCAGCCACTTCCCAGCCCCATGTCTAATGAGTTTAATGATGCCATTAAACTCAGCTGGTCTTGAGCTTTTCAGAAGTAAACCAATATCTTTCTTTCTTAAGCTACTCTGAGGTAGGCATTTCCCCTCACAGCCCAACTGTCTGGACTTTTATACAGATAGGGCCAGCAGTGTGACCAGTCGTCATCAAACCATGCAGGTCTGCCTGCGAGGGAATGGGCAGTGTGGTGTGGAGGAAGGTTTAAGAGGTTATTTGAATGGGAAGTTGCTGGCAACTCTTAGGTATTCTGGAGGTGTTAATTGATGGTGAAGCATTTATGACCAGGACACATTTCACAGCTCTGGGCCACCTAATGTTACTTCTCCTCAAAGCAGGTTTGAAATAAAACCCAACCATTGGCCTTTCTCACCCCACTGCAATTAAATACAAACACCCACAGACACTGGGCCCTCTCAGGCCCGGATTGCGGCTGCCAGGGACACAAGTGCACGGTGGCTGTGTGCTGTGTCACAGCACCACCACACTTGAATTTCCAGCCTCAGAGCCTGTCTTTTGGATCAGCGAGAAGTTGTGGGTGACAGCCTCGTGCCAAGCTCTTGGTGGGCTCAGCTTGGCTCTCTGCTTCTTGGCTTTTACAGCAGGACCCCAGAGTGGAGAACAGGCTCATTCTGGTTTCATGGAGCATGCTCCCTGCTGTCACCATGAAGAAGGTGGCATCTTGGCTCTCAGGGGCCTGGCCAACTGCCCGCAGACATTACCAGTGAGTTGCCTTGTCCCTGGGCACAGGCACTGGAGGCTGCCCTGGCCACTCAGGAAGGGTTTTCATCTCCCCTCTTGGCCCTCCCTCTGGATTCTAACGTGAGGCAGGCAGTCAGGCAGTCCTAGCAGAGGGCCGGTCCTGTCCTCCCTGCGGGGGCCTGGGCTGTCACACAGGCAGTGGTGGTTATTCTTACAAACGGCTAAGCAGACTTTTTTAGAAAAGTGAGCTATTAATAGCAAAGTGCTGAGTGAGAGGCTTGGAGCTACTCCCGTGCATGAACTTGTGTGAGCATGTGTTCACGAGTGTGTGTAAGTCTGGGGGAGCGCGTGCACAGGTGTGCACATGAACACACGGACACCAGGCAGACAGACGCATCCCCTTGCAGTTGTTCACATGCACTCCTAGTCTCCTGGTCTGCCTGGAATCCCATTCTGGAACTGGCCTGCCCCTCTGACTTTTGGGACAAGAAAAGGCCGGGAGAAAGTGGCTGCCTGCCACGCAAGACCAGACATCTGGGTGCCCAGTGTAGTAAGCGCGCTGCTTCCTGGGGCAGAGATGCTGCCCAGCGAGATGTGTGTGGATCCGTTGGTAGGCATGGAGACAGTTGCTTCCTTTGCCTGTGATGCTGTGGACCCTGAGAGGCCCAGCCTGGACATTGCTTTTTGTGCTTTCTTCCCTGGCTTGGGAGGAAAGGACCCTGTTGGCTAATGCATGGCAGAAAGCACAGCTTACAGATTTTCTAGTTATGCCCAAGATGAAAGAGGACTTTCTGAAAAGAAGGAAAAAGATGGAGAGAGAGAGAGAATGAAAGCGAGAGAGAGAGAGAAAGAGAGAGATTAAGGGTTGGGGGAACTGGAAGGAGCCCTGAGTAATGTATGGAAAGTAAAAGCACAGAACACTCAGCTCAAGCAATTGTTTTTCTCCTGGAGGCTAAAATTCATGGGCAGGTAGCCAACAGCCACATTAGGATAAGAAATATAATCTGTTTATAATAAGTTTGCAAAATACCGCTCGTTGGCACAGTGAATGTGCAGGACCCCCTAAACTGCCGTGACACTAGCCTTGGCCTGCTGTCTGAGGCAAACACACCGGAGCTAGTAGGTCACTGCTGGTAAAGCCTAAGTCCCCTGGTTGCCTCCTTTCTCAATCATCTATTTCCCTCTGGGGCAGATAAGCACATTCCCAAAAATGACAGCTGGAGTGTCCAAGAGCCAGTGGAAGCCCCTTTTCCCTCCCTTGCTGGAGCTACCATCGCTACCATTGCAGAGACTTGAAATGACCTCTCCAGGTCGGAAGGCACTCCAGAGATCACTCGACCCCACTGATGCAGGAAGTTGGGTGTCTGCAAAAATCCTCCTGCAAGGCCCTGGCCTCTGCCAGATCACTCCCACTTCTGGGCAGGGTGCCAGCCTGGGCAGCTCTGGGCTGCCTGGCCCTAAAACACATTGTTGTCTTTCCACTCTCTGCACTTTGTATGTCTGTAGTGCCTGCCATTTTTCAAAACAATAGCGAATAAAAACAACAGCCAGCATTTATTAGGCATTTACTGTGAGCCTGGTATTGTCTAAGTACTTTATTTGCATCATCTCATTGTACCTACCCAGCAACCCTCTAGGGAGATACCATTATTATCCCGTTTTACAGACATGGAAATGGAAGCTTAGAGGGCTTCAACAATTTGTCCAAATGTCCTCCATTCGTGGGATTTGTGGTACAGTGTGGATTTGAACACAGGATTTTTCAATTCCAGAACCCATGCTCCTCCCATCATACCCTGCTATGCTCTCCCTCCTACATGGTGGTCCACAGAAGGCTTCCCTCCCAGCTACACATCCCAGAACTGGCACAGGCATATCACTACCTCCATTTCTGTCCTGTAAACTAGAGAACAGCTTTATTCTAGAACCTCCCTCTGACCTCTGCAAATTCTGTCCGTCTGTTCAGAATTGAACAGATGCTAAAACATTGTGGCTAAAAGCAAGAGCATCAGAATCAAACAGATCTGGTTTAGAATTCTACTTTAGCCTCTTGCCAACCTCGGGCAAATTACTCAACCTCACTCAGTCTCCAGATTTCCATCTGTAAAAACAGAGAGAGCACTTTACTACCTAACAACTCCATGGGATTGTTATAAGAATTAAAATTAGATAAAACATAAAGAGCTCCCAGGCTGTATTTGCAGATGAAAGGCAGCTGTGCTAAATACATGGTGACAAACGTGGTAAGTCTCAAAGGACATGTGAGCAGATGTCCTACCATCAAGATTTCACTCCTTCCCCAACTTCAGGGGTAAGAATCCTCCAACATCAGGGGAGGACTTGCTCAAAGTCACACAAACCAGAAATCCTCAAGAGGCCATACTATGGATGTGGCTTTCTAACACTATTCTACCAGTTCCCATGGGGAAGCACCTGAAGAAGTGGGGACGGAGTGGGCAGGGAATCGGGGAAGTGCAGGGCCATGACAGGACTGAAGCCGCACTTAGGAAGCAAAGGACGAGTTCTGTCCACCAATAGCTGAATGCTGAGTACAGACCTCTAATCTCGGCCTTGCCACTGAAGACTCATCATGCAACTCTAGGGCCAGTTGCTCCCTCTCTGGGCCTTGGGTCTTCACTACCATCAACAGCTGACTTGGAAGTTGCCTCTAAAGTGTGCTGAATTATCAGGAATGAAGATGATTTAAAGACATAAGCTTTTTTCTTTGTACCTTCTTCCAACCTTACCTTCTCCAAGAACTCTCCTATGACTTCCTCCTAAAAGGTCCCTGTATTAGTCCACTCTCACATTGCTGTAAAGAAATGCCTGAGACTGAGTAATTTGTAAAGAAAAGAGATTTAATTGGCTCACAGTTCTACAGGCTATACAAGAAGCATGGCTAGGGAGGCCTCAGGAAACTTACTCATGACAGAAGACAAAGCCAGAGCAGGTATCTTCACATAGCCAGAGCAGGAGGAAGAGAGAGAGGGGGAAGGTGCTACACACTTTTAAACAACCAGATCTTGTGATAACTTACTCTTACTATGGCAATACCAAGGGGGCTGGTGTTAAGCCATAAGAAACCACCCCCATGATCCAATCACCTCCCACCAGGTCCCACCTCCAACACTAGGGATTACAGTTCAACATAAGATTTGGGTGGGGACACATATCCAAACCATATCATTCTGACCCTGGCTCCTCCCCAAATCTCATGTCCTTCTCACATTGCAAAATACAATCATGCCTTCCCTACAGTCCCTCAAAGTCTTTTAACTCATTTCAGCATTAACTCAAAAGTTTAAAGTCCAAAGTCTCATCTGAGACAAAGCAAGTCCTTTCTACCTATGAGCCTGTAAAATAAAAAAGAAGTTAGTTACTTCCAAGACACAATGGCGGTATAAGCATTGGGTAAATATACCCTTTCCAAAAGGGAGAAATCAGCCAAAAGAAAGGGGCTACAGGCCCCATGCAAGTCCAAAACCCAGCAGGGTAGTCATTAAACCTTAAAGCTCCAAAATATTATCCTTTGGCTCCATGTCCCACATCCAGAATATGCTGGTGCAAGGGGTGGGCTCCCAAAGCCATGGGCAGCTTGGCCACTGTGACTTTGCAAGGTTCAACCCCCACAGCTGCTCTCATGGACTGGCATTGAGTGCCTACGGCTCTTCCAGGCACAGGGTGCAAGCTGCTTGTGGCTCTACCATTCTGGGGTCTGGAGAATGGTGGCCCTCTTCTCACAGCACTACTACGTAGTGCCCTAAAGAGGACTCTGTGTGGGGGGTCCAACCCTACATTTCCCCTCTGCACTGCTCTAGTAGAGGATCTCCATGAGGGCTCCAACCCTGTAGCATGCTTCTGCCTGGACATCCAGGTTTTTCCATACATTCTCTGAAATCTAGGTGGAGGCTTCTAAGCCTCAACTTTTAAACTATGTGCACCCACAGGCTTAACACCTCGTGAAAGTCATCAAGGCTTATGGCTTGCACCCACTGGAACAGCATCCAGAGCTGTACCTTGGGCCCTCTTGGCCACAGCTGGAGCTGTAGCAGCTGGGATGCAGGAAACAGTGTCCCAAAGCTGTGCAGGGGAGTAGAGACCCTGGTTCTGGCCCCTGAAACTATTCTTCCCTCCTGGGCCTCTGGGCCTATGATGGGACGGGCTGCCATGAAGCTCTCTGAAATGACTTCAGGGCCTTTTTCCCATTGTCTTGGCTATTAGTACTTGCCTTCTTTTTAGTTATGTAAATTTCTGCAACCTGCATGAATTCCTCCCCCTGAAAATGGGTTTTTCTTTTCTACCACATGGCCAGGCTGCAAGTTTCCAAACTTCTATGCTCTGCTTCCCTTTTAAATGTAAGTTCCAATTTCAGATCATTTCTTTGTTCATGCAAATAAGCATAGGTTATTAGAAACAGCCAGGCTACATCTTGAATGCTTTGCTGCTTAGAAATTTCTTCTGCCAGATACCCTAAATCATGACTCTCAAGTTCAAAGTTCCACAGATCCCTAAAGCAGGGGCACAATGCAGCCAACCTCTTGCTAATGCGTAACAAAAGTGACCTTGCTCCAGTTTCCAATAAGTCCCTCATTTCCAACTGAGACTTCATCAGCCTAGACTTTACTCTTCATATCACTACCAGCATTTTGGTCATAACAATTTAACAAGTCTCTAGAAAGTTCCAAATTTTCCTTCATCTTCCCTTCTTCTTCTGAGTCCTCCAAACTCCTCCAACCTCTGCCCATTACCCAGTTCTAAAGCTGCTTCCACATTTTCAGTATCATTATGGTAATACCCCACTCTTGGTACCTATTTTCTGTATTAGTTTATTCTCACATTGCTATAAGGAAATGCCTGAGACTGGGTAATTTATAAAGAACATAGGTTTAATTGGCTCACAGTTTTACAGGCTGTACAGGAAGCATGGCTGGGGAGTCCTCAGGAAACTTTTACTCATGGCAGAATGCAAAGCCAGAGCAGGCATCTTCACATGACCAGAGCAGGAGGAAGAGAGACAGAGGGACATGCTACACGCTTTTAAACAACCAGATCTTGTGATAACTTACTGTCACTGTGACAACACCAAGGGGGATGTTGTTAAAGCATAAGAAACTGCCCCCATGATCCAATCACCTCCCACCAGGCCCCACCTCCAGCATTGGGGATTATAATTTGGTGTGAGATTTGAGTGGGGACACAGATCCAAATCATATAAGTCCCTCCCCTGACCATCTCCCTAAGTTCCTCTCCCTACTTCCAGAGCTAAAATGACACCCTGCCTACCTCTGGACCAACTGTAATGCCCTACCCACTTACCTGGCTTCTTTTCCGTCATAACAGGTATTCACTAACTGATGTTTTTGTCTTTTCCCTCACTAGCATGTCAACTGCACCAGGCCGACTTACATTTGTTCTCTTCCCCACTGAGCCTTGAATGATTCCTGGCACAGGGAATAGGCCCACTAAATAAGGGTTGAGTGAACAAATGAATGGATGAAGAAATGACTTCTTATATCATTTACGAAAATTACAAACTCGGCACGTCAGAGCTGGAGGTGATATTTTCAAAAATTATTACCACGGAACCCTGTGTTCAGATGAAAGTTTATTCACACCATTTTTTAAATGCCCCAGATTAAAATGGCTCTCTTTGGCTTTATTCATACTAGCCAAAACCTGGAAACAGCTCAGATATCCATCAATAGAAGAATGGATCAACAAGCTGTGGTATATGCACACAACGGAATACTACTCAGCAACAGAAACGAATGACTTATAAAACTTGCTAAATATGAAAAACATTAGGCTGAAACAAAGAAGCCAGACAGAAAAGAGTGCATGATATCCCTTCTATTCATACTGCATTCTAGAAAAGATGAAACTAATCTAGGAGGTGTAAAAAAACAAAACAAAACAATGTTTGTCCCCGCGAGGTGGCTGGGGAAGGGATTAGACTGTGAAGGAGGAAGAAGGAACTTGTGGGGTGATGGATGAGTTCTGTATCTTGACAGAGGGGTGGGTGGTACTCATCAAATGGTGCACGTAAGAATTGTATATTTCAATGTACCTAGAATTTTCTTTTTATTTTTTGAAATTTGTTTTCTTTTATTTTACTTTTAGTTCTGGGGTACATGTGTAGTATTTGTAGGTTTGTTACATAGGTAAACGTGTGCCATGGCAGTTTGCTGCACCTATCAGCCAATCACCTACTTATTAAGCCTGACATGCATTAGCTATTTTCCTGATGCTCTCCCTCCCCTGAACCCCCACCTGCAGTGGCAGGCCTCAGTGTGTGTTGTTCCTCTCCCTGGTTCCATGTGTTCTCAGTCTTCAGCTCCCACTTATGAGTGAGAACATGTGGTGTTTGCTTTTCTGTTCCTGGGTTAGTTTTCTGAGGATAATGGCTTCCAGCTCCATCCATGTCCCTGCAACGGACATGATCTCGTTTCTTTCTACGGCTGCATAGTATTCCATGGTGTATATGTACCACATTTTCTTTATCCAGTCTATCACTGATGGCCATTTTGGTTGATTCTATGTCTTTGAACATTTGATTTTTTAAAAAGCCTTACCACATCCATTACAATTGTAAGGTTGCTCTCTAATATGAATACTCTGATGTTTCCATTTTGATGTTCAGGTAAAAGCCTTAGCATGCACATTACATTTCTGTGGTTCCTCTCAAAGATGTATATTCTGCTGTCTAGTGAGTTCTGATGCCTGGGCAAAGCCTGACGGCAATGTATGTATAGTTTTCATCTCACACAAGAAAAAGAAAAATATAAACTAATGTTGAGCTGTAGTTAATGATATGCATACTGAAATGTGTAGGGTCATATATTTGCAACTTCTTTTGAAATGTATCCAAAAAAAGAAATGAGGAGCTTCTCTTCCAGAAAGCTGCAGTAGACATACTTGTCCCATTGCTTCTGCTAAGCGCCACTAAAAAGTGTAGATGTTATATAAAAAACATGCACAAGAAGACTCTGAAAGATGGAGAGAAGACAGACTGTCTAGAGATCTTGAGACTGGAGGAACAACATGGTGGAGAGTGCCCTGGTTTCTTTCTGTCTTGTATATCCCAGATATATAGTTGAAGAAACTGAACTCAGAAATTCCAAATGAGACCAAGAAGGCCCCAACAAAAGCCTGCTCTCTCCAGCCTAAGGAGCTGGACAGTGGCAGCCCAGCAAGACAGAAAAGCTTTGGGCAATAACCGCTCCACTCTAGCCAAACACCACTTAAAATACCACAGCCCCACCCCAATCACAGGTCCTTCAGGAATAAAATGGAAATAAAGGCATTCTCAGGAGAGGGAAAACTAAAAGTGTCTGTCACCAGCAGACATACTATAAATGAACAGCTAAAAAAAAGTTTTCTAAACAAAAAGCAAACAGTAAAGGAAGGAATATTGGAGCATCAGTAAGGAAGAAAGAACATATTAACATATTAACATAATAGTAAGCAAAAATATTGGTATGTATAATAGACTTTCCTTCTTCACTGGACTTTTCTAAATTATGTTGACAGTTGAAGTAAAAATTATAACTATCTAATGTGATCCTAAATATATGCAGAGAAAATATTTAAGCAATTATATTATAAACAGAGAGGATAGTAGGACGTAAAGAAAGGTAAGTGCCCTACACTTCACTTGAGCTTGTAAAATGACGGCACTAGAAGATTGCATGTCTCAATAGATGCAGAAAAAAATTTGATAAAACTCAACAAACGTTCCTGATAAAAAGTCTAGCAAACTAAGAATAGATGGAAACTTCTTCAACCTGCTAAGGGAACATCTATGAAAAGCCTATAGGTAACATCATTCTTAACGGTGAAAGACTGAGTGTTTTCCTCTTAAGATCAGAAACTCTCACAAATTCAACATTGTACTGAAGGTGCTATCCAGTGCAACAGCAAGAAATGGAAACAAAAGAGATTGAGATTGGAAATAAAGAAGAAAAGCCATCTTTATTTGTAGATGACATGAGTGTGTATGCAGAAAATCCTATGAAAAAAAGACTACTAGAACTAAAAATGTGACTTTAGCAAAAATATAGAATATAAGGCTAATGTACAGAAATCAATTATGTTTCTATATACTTGCAATGAACAACCGGAAATTGAAATTTTAAAAATACCATTTATAGTGGGTCAAAACGTATAAAATAGGGCAAATGTGATAAAAGATAGAAAGATCTATACATTGAGAATTATAATGTAATTGCTAAAATAAATTAAAGAAAACCTAAGTAGGTTCATAGGTCAAAAGACTCAATATTTTTAAGGTGTAAATTTTCACCAAATTGATCTTAAAATAATTTGAATTGTAAGTTCTCATTAAATTGATCCATAAATTCAATTCAATCTTGATCAAAATTTCATAAGGGCTTTCTTTTTGGTAGAAATTGACAAACTGATTCTAAAATTCAAATGTAAATGGAAGGGACCTAGCACAGTCAAAACAACTTTGTAAAGGAAGAACAAAGTTGAAGGACTAACATTGCTTGATTTTGAGACTTGTTATAAAGCTACATTAATCAGGACAGTGGAGCCTTCTATTATTGGCATTGCTTATACAGAAGCAACCAACAATCCTTCCCTCTCCGTAATAATGCTCCTGAAATCGAGAGGTAGAGTCTCATACCCTTCTCCTTCAACCTGGTCTGGCCATAGCAACTTGCTTTCCTTACAGAATATGGCAAAAGAAACTATAGGATGTGTAAGCTAGGTCACAGGAAACTTTGCAGCTTCTGCCTGGGTCTCTTGAAACATGTGCTTTTGGAAAAGCCATTCTAGGGTAAGCCACTACTAAGAAGTCTGACTTTCCTGAGAATGCCGTACTGTGAAGAAGTGAAAACTAGACACATAGATAGGAGGTAGGGAGAGAATTAGAAGCTCAATCATTCCCCAGCTGTTCCAGCCTACTCCACTGAGGTGCTAGATATGGAAATGAAGGAGTCATATGGGGCCTTCAGCCTCCTTGAGCCTCCAGATTGCTGCTCCAGCCATCATCCAACTGCAAATGCATGAGAGAACCCAAGTAAGAATTGCCCAGCTGAACCTGGCCAACCTCCAATATCATGAGAGATGATAATAAATTGTTGTTTCAAGGCCAAAAAATAAATCAAGACAAACATCAATGGAACTAACAATCAAGAGTCCAAACATACACTGATTTTCGACAAAGACATAAAACAATGCAGTGGAGAAATGTCTTTTCAACAAATGTTGAGGGAACAATTGGGTAAACACATGTAAAAAAGTAAACTTTGCTCCATGCCTCACACCATATTTAAAAATAAGTTCTGGGTCGGGCATGGTGGCTCACGCCTGCAATCCTAGCACCTTGGGAGGCCGAGGCGGGTGGATGGCCTGAGCTCAGGAATTCGAGACCAGCCTGGGCAACATGGTGGAACTCCGTCTCTACTAAAATACAAAAAATTAGCCAGGCGTGATGGCACACACCTGTAATCCCAGCTACTCAGGAAGCTGAGACAGGAGAATCGCTTGAACCTGGGAAGTGGAAGTTGCAGTGAGCCAAGATAGTGCCATTGCACTCCAGCCTGGGCGACAGAGTGAGACTCCATCTCAAAGAATAAATAAATAAATAAATAAATATAAAAACGAGTTCAAAATTGATCATTACAGATTGAAATTTCTACAGCTTCTAGGAGAATATTGTTGTGACTTAGGTTAGGCAAAGATTTCTTACATCAAAAGCATAATCTGTAAAAGAAAATATTGACAAATTGGATTTCTTTGAAATTAAAAACAAAAGACATTGTTAAGAAAATGAAAGAACAAGCTACAGGCTTGAAGAAAATATTTGCAAATCATATACCTAATAAGGAACTTGTATCCACAATACATAAAGAACTCCCAAAACTCAATAATAAGAAATCAAACAATCCAAATAAAAAAAATGGACAAAATATCTAAACAGACATTTCACCAAGGAAGAGTTATGAATGACAAACAAGTATATGAAAAGCGTCCCATCATTATTAGTCACTAGGGAGATGCACATTAAAATCACAACGAGATACGGCTATGCACCCATTAAAATGAATACAATAGAAAAGACTGACCTTAGGAAGCACTGTCGAGGATGCAGCGCAAAGGAATCTCTCATACAGTGATAATGGGTTTTAGAAATGACAGGGCTGTCATTAACCAAATCTTTTCCAATCCTAGTAAAGGTATTACTGTCTAAATTTCAGTCTTCCTCTTCATAGGGCCACGGTAAAACCAGCTTTCCAGTGTCTCACAAGGGTACCCCCAACAGCAGTGAGCTTTGCACTTTAAGCAATCTGGGGTGGCTCTAGCTTAGAAACAATCTTTCTGGTGTTTTCTTTGAGGCACCAGACAACGAAAGCCACGAGACACAGCCTACTGTGTGTTCAATGGTCTGTCCAGCTCTCTTGGATTTGGTTGTTGGTTCCTTTAAGGCGTCTTGAAAGGCAGCGTGGTGCCCAATTAAATGAAAACCAGGAAGGCATAATGCACCACGACTATCAGCAATCAGCTCTAGACAGTTCGTTGAGGACAGAACAAAACTTTGTGTTTCAGCAAGTGCTTTTCTGTCTGCCTCTCTGCCTGCAGTTAGAGGAAGGGGCCAGGTTAAGGCCAGAAAAGATTCTGCTTTAGCTGATAAAGGGAAAGCTCTGTGCCAGGAAGCCTGTGGTTTTCTGTCTTTGGAAGTTCTCCCCTCCGGGGCTTAGGAGGGAGAGACACCTTCCTCCTAAAGCATCGTATCGCCTATTGCCCAGGGGAAGCAAGTCTCACACATCCGGGCCGGGAGACCCTGATCACCCCGGGCTGCGTACTCGATTTCAGGCCAGCAAGACACTAGGTTTTCTCTCTTAAATGTTTTAACTGTCGAGTTCCATGCTCCGCCTCCTCGGGCTTCTTATCCTGCAGGCATAGGCGGAGGGAGGCAGCTTCCAGGCTGGGGTGGGAGAAGCACCGGCGGCGCGCGCTGCGGTCGGTGCGGGTCCGGGAGCGCAGCGCAGGCAGCGCGGGGCCTCGCGGTGAACTTGGCCGCCGGCGAGGCTGGGCTTCTCGGGCGCGGGAGCCCCAGATCCTGACAGAGCCAGGCTGCCGGCTCAGCGTTGTGTTGTGACAGAAAAGGCTGCCTTTTACCTTTCCTGAAAACAATTCCCGGGATCTGTTAGAGGGGAGGTTCAGTCACTCTGAAATGACCAGCGACATCTCTTAGAGCCAAAATCAGTCAACGCGGAAAAGACACTCCAATTTTTAAAACCAATAGGTAGTTGATAAATGGAGCTGTCAGTCTAGAAGCCCCTGGGCCCAGCGTGCTTCTGCAGAGCCGGGTAGTTTCAGAGTCGGCGCTCTCTGAGATTCCAGCTGGTCCACCCGGCGGGGCTCCTGTTGGCCTCACAGAGCACGTGGCTTTGCGGGATGTGATGCGACCCCAGCGTGGGCTTAACTGATGCTAGGCACCAGGCTGTGGATCCAGGGACCCCGGGACACACAGAAGTCCAGCTCTCATCCCTCATCCAATTTCACTTTTTTTTTTTTTTAACCCTCAAAAGACCCAGATGCCGTTTTAGGGGGACAGGATGTATTGAAGATTTATAAATGGAGCAATCTCCTAATCAAAATAAACATCATCCAATCATGCTCACAGGGTGGTGGCAAATTAGTGGCAGCATATTTTGTTTTCTTTAGCGGTGATCCATGATTGATTTATGGATTAAATTGTGCCCTGTGAAGTACATATATATCTGTGAACTGTCTCCCTAAGCATTTCCTGTTCACCTCTGTGCCACATGCCTGGCTGAAGGAGAGAATTGTTTCTCCTCTAGGCAGGAGCTGTCTGCATAGCTCCTTGGGCTGGGATAGTGTCTGCTTAGGGCTGCATTCGGCTTTGTCTTCTGCTCTGTCCTCTGAGCTCAGCAAAAGGCCTATAAAAAGGAAGGCCGACTCTCCTACACATCCACAGGGCCCCCAAGCTCTTCATCTGTGAAGTGGGACAATAATGCTTGTCTTACCAGTCTGATAGTGTTCTTTTGAGGATACAGTTCATTAAGGTTGGAAAAGATGCTGGTGACTGCAGCCTTTGCTGATCCACTTTGCTTGTCTGTGAGATAAAGGAGATGATACATCTTTATCAGTAATGCTTCAGTTACTTTATTTTTAAAAAATAAATTGCAGTAAGCATTATAAAATATTACAGTTGTTACTCCCAGAATGTGGCTACACAGGTATTTATGTTATTCTCTGTGTTTTTCTGTGTCTTTCAAAGTCTTCTCATCCAATAAAAAGAAAAGAAGAGGCAAGAAGAAAGAGGAGTTATGCAAAATCTGGTACCCTTAACTTAGACTTTCTCTGGTTCTATGGACAGGAAAATGCTCACAAAACCTGAGTCCTGTAGGAATGAGAGGTATGACAATTATTCATGATATTTCTGTTCCTTCCATTGCTCTGGGAATTTACTAAAATCCTGCAGCAGGTTTCACCCCTACACTCAACCCCATTTGTCTAAGGCAGCTGTTTGCTCACCGGGCTGATTTGCTGGTGGGATAGGAATTTTCTAGCTGAAGAAGGGTAAGCCCAGGATGATGTCATTTATAAGATTTTGCTTCCATCTCCTCCTCCCTCCCCAACAATCCCAACCTGTACCAAATAGGAACATACACCTGTAGGAAGAGAAACTATGATCTCTAGTCATTAAAAATGTGCTTTGTATGATGCAATCCCAAATGCTCTTGGGCTTAACAAAAACACATTGCAAGACTCACATTGACATTGACATTTCCACTCCTCTAACTTAAAAACAGCCAAACTAAATTAAGTAACAACAACAACAAAAGTTGTTTCCCACACAGTTTGACCAGATCTTACCACCAGTCTTCAGCCTTAAAACAATTTTCATGCTTGAGTTATTAACTTATGAAAATAGGCACAAAAGGGGGAAAATGTGCACAGATCCTCGCTACTTTATTAGTCATTGCTACAGCTGAATGCGTTCTGGTACAAAGGCATGTTATTCTGCCTGCCAGTATCTCGGTTTTGAACAAAATGCAGCTCACTAATGGGTTCTGCCTCATATACCTTTCTGTAATCATTACTTTGCCATTCTCTGTAATTTATCCTGTTTTTCATGAGGAGTGTGTCCATTAGTCAGGCGTGTGCACACACATGCACACACAGCTTTTAAGTCCCCTTTCATTTGTAGCTGAAAAGAAAGGTCAGAGAGCTGCCAGTCTTTCGGGGGGAAGCACTACTGCGCTGATTGTGATAATATTTGGAAAACAGAGTGGTGGATGTGGTGGATGGATATAAATAGATCCTGAAAATCTAGTGAATGGAGGGCAGCAACATGAGTACATGAAGGGGATCTAGAAGCAGACTGGCAAAGGTGGAGACAGAATGGGAGAGACTGACCTGTCCCGTGTTGATCTCTTTATCTGGGAGGGGCAGTGTGGGGCTGACATCTTCCTGGACCAGACAGAGACATCTTGCTCACTTGCTCAGTAATCTCAAGTTTGGGGGATGAGCTCCAAGATTCCGACAGGAACCCCCTTTTGGCAATTTCTGGCTTGGGCTCAGAGGTGCTGCCCCAAGCCAGTCTGAGCCAAGTGAATAAAGGAATGGAGTTTTGAGCCTATTGATTTTTGCTTCTGTAAACTCCAGAATTAGTTATAGAAATGAAGGCTTTTGAGTGTTTACTTTTGAAAAAAAAAAGAGCAGGCAGGAAAATAATTGGGAAAAAATACGGATGAGATTTTTTTAAAAGCTTGATGAAGATCAAGGTTTTCACAAACAAGTGTGAATCACTAGAACCAGCTCCTCACAGATCAGAGGTCTGCAGGGGGCTGGGGATCTGGCAAACAGGCCCTCCGTGGGCAGGGAGCTCCCCAACAATTCTCAGCCAGCAAGAGAAGCCTTTGGCATCGTCCTCTTGAATTAGGATAACAGGATTCTCCATCATACACTTGCCTGGTTAGGGAGGCAGTAATTGTGAACCGAACATGTTCTTTTATCCTCTTTGAAGTGTTAACGAATGCTTTGATTTTGCTCTTTTCTCCTCATTAAGACAAATATGGCTCCTTTTTGCCCCCAGGAAGCTAATCTCACCTCCCAAGCCAAACAGGCATCCTGCTGCTCAGCTGAGTCCAATCCCAAGGAGGTCCTCTCCTGTCCTTGCCAAAGACCCCTCTACCAGGATTCTGACCCAGGCCCAGGTGCAGGGCATCTCAGTGCTTCACATTGTTCTGGGAGCCCAGGGTGCATCACCATGGAGCCCCAGCTCACGTGACAACATAACAGTGTTCGCAGTAATTCTCAACCCTAGATATCCTGTTCACTACGAAACACAGGCATGTTAAGTTTCCCTGATACTCTCCTGCAGAGGCTAGCAGGCTGCACAGAATTTAGGAAGACAGAGCCCCTCAAAGATCTGGAATCTTTGGCAATTACAAAGCCCAATCCTGCCCACAGCCTTCTTTTACCAGAGACAAAGCAAAATGGTTTGCCCAGAGCCTCACTGCCAGACAGTGGCAGAACTGAGTCTGGAAGTGGCCTTGCTTCTCCCAGCTGACATTGAACCCCTGAGGCTCATCTGCCATCAAACTCCTACCTGCAGCCCTCACTTCCCCCCTCCCAGTGCCAGGGCAAAGTCAGTGAGATGGAAATCTGCAGACTGGAGCAGGTGGGTTACTCGGAGGCCACTGAAGGTGGAATAGGTCCCTTTTGCACTGTCTTCCAACCAGAGAGGAACACAGGCCAGTGGGTCAGAGTGCTAGGCCCCAGAGTCACAGACACAGGGCATGGCCCAAAGGGCCCAGTGAGGACATTCCTGCAGATGGCTATAGGCTGGTAGAGAGCTAGGAGGCCTGGTGAACTCTGTCGTGTGGGCAATGGGAAGGTGGACAGAGGAGTGTTCTTGAGAAAGAAATTCAAAGCTGAGAAAACCTAACCCCTCCTATCTCATTCCTCTTAGGCATAATCCCCACGGGCAACAGGCTCAGTGTCTGGCTGAATGTGCACCTCTCTTTTGAATCCCTCCCCCATCGATGAGGTTGGTGTCACAAATTAGACCCTCTCCCCTATTTTCTTCTTTTCAACAATCTTAACCATTTTAAGTGTACAGTTCAGTAGTGTTATGTACATTCACATTGTTATGTGACCAATCTCCAAAACTCATTTCATCCCCCAAAACTGAAATTCTTAGGCATTAAACAACTCTCCATTCCCCAGTCCTGGAAGCCACCATTCTTTTTTGAGACAGAGTCTCTATCACCCAGGCTGGAGTGCAGTGGTGCGATCTCAGCTCACCACCACTTCTGCCTCCTGGGTTCAACCGATTCTTATACCTCAGCCCCCCGAGTAGCTGGGATTACAGGTGCACACCACCACACCTGGCTAATTTTTGTATTTTTAGTAGAGAGGGGTTTCACTATGTTGGCCAGGCTGGTCTCGAACTCTTGACCTCAAGTGATCTGCCTGCCTCGGCCTCCCAAAGGGCTAGGATTATAGGCGTGAGCCACCGTGCCTAGCACACCATTCTGCTTTCCATCTCTATGCAGTGGACTACTCTAGGTACCTCATATAAGTGGAACTATAGTGTATTTGTCCTTTTTTGTCTGGCTTCAGTCGCTTAGCATAAAGCCTTCCAGGTTCTTCCATACTGTAGCATATAGCACTGTTTCTTTTCCTTTTAAGGCTGAATAATATTCCACTGTATGTATAGACCACATTTTGTTTATTCATCCATCTGTAAACACTCGGGTTGTTTCTACCTTTTGGATATGGCAAACAATGCTGCTATATTGGAATAAGGATGTGCAAATATTTATTTGAGATCTTGCTTTCAATTTTTTTTAATACACACCTAGAAGTGGAACTTCTGGGTCATATGGTTGTTCTATTTGTAATTTTTTGAAGAACTGCCATCCTGTTTTCCACAGTGGCTGTAGCATTTCATATTCTCACCAAAAGTGCAGAAGGGTTCCAATTTCCCCACAACCTTGCCAACACTTGATATTTTCCGTTTTATTGCTATTAGCCATTCTAACGGTGTGGGGGTGATGTCTCATTTTAGTTTTTATTTGCTTTTCTCTAATCATTAGTGATGCCAGTCATCTTTTCACATGCTTTTTGGCCATTTATTAATATATATCATCTTTGTAGAAATATCTATCTAAGTCCTTTGCCCATTTTCTAATCAGGTTGTTGTTGCTGAGTTATAGGAGTTCTTTATCTTCCCACTCCCTGGACCTTTTTTTTTTGTTTGCAACTGAAAAACTAAAGGCTCAAAGAGGCAGACGGCCTGCTGAAGCCTTTGCCCAGGGGCTGCTTAGCAGCAGCAGCAGGGAAAAACTAACCCTGGCTGACCCTAGCTTAGGTAGCAACTACAGAGCTCTCAGCCCATTCTCCCAGCCACACAGCCTCAGAGCAAATACTGTCCATCAAATGCACACTCTGTGTTCACAGCCTCATGTGCCAAATTGCTGTTGGAAAACCAATGGCAAACACTGGTTGCAGAGAACACAGAAGCATGTAATATCCACTTTAATGGTGGTTCCACTTTCATATTTTTTCTCCCCTCTAAGGAAAGGGAGAGAGAAAAACCTGTTCGTGGAAAAAATATATTTAAATGGATCAGTGCCAGGGAACCATTGGCACATCTGTTCTTAACAGGTTTCAGCTGAAACTACTGAAAATATACATAGATCTGTTTATGTGGAACCAGTTAAATATGATAAGATTACAACTTGGAGGGTAACTATGGATTTGGTGGTGGAAAAAAAAAATCCCCTCCACACTTGGTCTCCGCAAGCACTCATAACATTTTACCACAGATGTGTTGAGGGAATCAGATTTGCTGCAAATGGAAAAGACCTGAATTATTTGAGATTAGCTACAAACAAACTCAAGATGTCCCCACCGCCTTTCTGCAGCACATAATTCCTGCCTCGTCTCTAATCTGGGCCCAGTCCTTTGTTATCAGAGAGGAGACTGCAGCCAGGGAATCACCCATTTCTGAGTGAGTCTGTCTTCACTCCTCCAACTAGCCATTTAGGAGGAAGACAGTGTGCACACTGCTTACACAGAGAATGCACAGTTGTCTTCCTTAAAGTTTTCAGCATCCCAAAGGACTCCATGTTCTCTTGAGGTTGTGCAGGCAGCAAGGAGGGAGTGTTGGCTGAGGGGCTCCCAATGGAGGCCCTGTGCTCCTTCTGGAGTCTTTTTCTATGTAGTACTCACAACCACCCTATGAGGTTGCATTGTCACCCCCCTTACAGAGATGAGCAAATTGAGGCTCCAGGCTCTAGGATAATTTGTCCAGGGCCATGCCGATAATTAGATGCTCTAAAGGAAGAAAGATGTTTCCTCCCATCTAAATATGCCTTAACAGGAGCATCACTTGAGCCCAGGAGTTCAAGGCTGCAGTGAGTTATGATTGTGCCACTGCACTCCAGCCTGGGCAACAGAGCAAGACCCTTCCTATATTAACAATAAATAAATAATACGTGAATAAGCCTTGAGGCAAGGTCATGACTCAAATATCCACAGAGTCTAGCAGGAGCAGGAGTGAGGGGCCCTAGGCAGCTAATATGGGGCCATAGCAGACTGATACTGGGGAAAATGCAGACCTTGTGGCCCAGATCTTCTGGTTTTTGTATAGAGAATGAGAAATCACTAGATTTTTGTATGATGGCTCAAATATTGAAAACAAACACAAAGCACAGCCCCTGCTATAGTTTGCAATCTCCACTGTGGGTCCTTTGCTGCCCCCAGCGGTGGGAGGAAGGGGCTGCACTGGCTTTGAACCCCCTCTTGTTGGGGACTGAGCATCTGACCATCAGGATCCTTGCCTCCTGGTGCAGGAGGTGTCTGTCACAGGCCACAGGCACCGCAGCTCAGCACCCTCATCCCAGTGTCCCTTCTAAACTTCATTAGACTCCTCAACTCTGGCACACTGTGAAATGTATATTCATCTATAAACATTTCTCTAATAATTTATCTCAAAAAAGTGACATCAGTCTCTAAAATGCACCACGGGACACAGGAATGGCAGTCTCATGGCCTCAAAAACAATCAGCCAAAATTGACATCTGACAACACCTCCTCCCGCACCCCCAGGGGCCGGGCTGTGATCCGTAAGGTTTTCATTCTTGCTGGACCCCACGCTGTGAAAATGCACCTATTTTTATTCATCAAAATCATTTTTTTAAAATAAGCAGCCCAGCGGAAAACAATTGTGAATGGCAGCTTCATTACATTTGGAGTTTTGGAACAAAGACAATATTGCTCACACTCTATGACCTGTTCAATGATACTGAAGTTTAATTAAAAAAATGTTAACGTACTAAACTGACAACAAGGAAGGTGCAACATTAGGGTTTCTTTGAAAAATCAGGAAAGCAAAATATGCTTGACGGATTGTCTCAGTTATCAATTCAATGTGATTTAACATTTGTCTTTTGGTTTTTATTTGAAACTTTCAGTTTTGAACTAGTAGGGCAATAATCCAAGCTGTATGGAACCAAAGTGGGGAGGTTGGTGGGACTCGGAGGGAAAGTTGAATAGAGGGACCCCTATTGGCCCTTTAGAGGGCTCAAATATCATCCTGGGCAAAGTTGTTTCTTAAAGGTCCCACTAGAATTGGCTACTGTTCCGGCTCCCCTAGAAAAGCCCTTGAAAGGGTATTTTCTGAGCAAGAAACATGGTGATGCTTCCACCACGTGACTGGTTTAAGACAGTCATTCTAGTAGACCTGATAAGTGAAAGCCAATTATTTTGAAGCAATAGAGTAAGTGGTGTGTGGGCAGCCACTGCATATTTAACCCAGCCTGAGATTCATTAATTATGAAAGACTTTTCTTCTGAGATGATGCGATAATAGAATACGAAAATTTAAGTGCTGAAAGTATGTCAATGCATTGATTTTAAAGAAGGTGATCTAAAGCAGCAAAAAGTGATCCACATGCTCTCTGGATAGTCTCTAGGACATGTCATGTCAGTTCATGTCTTAAAGCCCCATAAAAGAGAGCCATTTTCCCCCAACCACAGAGCCCTGAGATCTGGCCAGAGGTCCCATGGTGGAAGACTCGCTCCCACTGTAGCCTGTGAAAGAGGAAAGCCACTGGCCCTCATCTTGGGGACCCGTGAAGACCCACCTCCCACTTGGAGCAAGTGAGGGAACTGCAGGGTATTGGGTGAGGCCTGCTATACTTCCTACAGGCTTTGGGTCTTGGAGGTAATGGTACCAGCCTCATAGTGTGGGAGTTGGAGCGTCTGCTTCCACCCTGAGAAAATAGGTATGGGAGCAGGTCACAAGCTAGGACAGTGCCTCGACCTCCCTGAGGAAAAGACCAGAATGTATTCAGAGTCCAGGGTCCAAACCAGGGTTCTGGAGTGGCAAATTTAAGGCCTTGAGGCTGGACTGGACCAGTGCAGAGTCAGGGAGCCACAGCTGTGACCTCAGGGAGGTGCTTGTCATGCACAGGGAGGAGGCTGCATTCTGTTCTCAGAGTGACAGGAAGCCACTGTTGAGTTCCAAGGGGGAGAAGGACATGGCTCAATGTGCCTTTCCCAAAGATCTTGCCGGGTCTCTCTGGAGTAGGAGTCTGGACAGGTAAGAGTCTGGACTGTGGGCCAAGTGGGAGACATGGGATGGGAGACAACAGGATGGACTCTTGAGACATTTCACAGATAGAGTCAGCAAGGCACAGGGAGGCACTGGGTGAGGAAGGTGAGGGCAGGGTCCATGGATAAATTTCACAGATAGAGCCAGCAAGGCACAGGGGGGCACTGGGTGAGGGAGGTGAGGGCAGGGTCCATGGATAAGGCACCTAAAACCCCTGGTTTCCCATTTAGAGAAAGAATCCAATAATTCCTACCCGTCTGAGCTGTTGTGAGGACAGAGAATGGTGCATGCCATGAGTGGCTCACAACAGGGCTCCAAGGAGTGAGGGTCTGGCTGTGCTCCTGTTACCTCCTTTTGTCATCACAAGCACAGATGATGGACATCTGTCTCTAGCTATGTTACTTCTGACCCCCCAGCCCCAGCAAAGCAGGAAGTGGGGCCTGGGTGGAGAGGGGTGACAAGGCGGGTTTGAATTGATCTTTCTGAGAAATCATGTGCAACTTCACAAGCAAAACAGTTACGCAATAAACTTCCAGGTTCTTAAAACCATGCTGAGGGTTACAAAAAGAAAGTTAACGGGATGCTGATGTGGACTGTGCAAATCGTTAACATACTGAAAACCTCTGTGTCCATGGTGACGTATGTACAAGTGAGCTGGATGAGTGACTGCCCCCTAAGGCCAGGATCCCTGTGTCCACTCTCTGCCGTGCCTGTCCCCATCATCACTCCTGGTGAAGCAGGGACGATAGCAGAGTTCCCACTGGAGGACCAAACATGCATCCAGCCCTGGAAAACAGTGCCACACTAGGCACACTGGACCTTCCCAGCCCTGGGCAGTGGGACATGCTAGAGAAGTTGATTCACAGGGGAAACTGGGTCCTATCTGTGGGGTCTTCCCACTGGCTGGAAGGGTTCCTGGAGGAGGAGTTTCAGGGCTCTGTGAGGATGGGTAGGAGGGCCTATGGGGCAAGGTTCATAGCATCCTGCTTGGAGAAGGACACATACCCTGTTTCCTCAGAGCCAACACATTTTCCATTCTAAATATAGCCTAAGATGACCCAAGACATCTTGAGTCCCTTGCAGGGAGACCGCAGTTTTGTAATTTTCGGCACTTCTATGATTCTGAGGAAATGAACAGTAAAGCCCGAAGCCCTTTCACTTGCATCCCCTGAGCCTGGGGACTGGCAGACAACACTCCACCCTTTGAAAGAAGAGCCCAGGCAAGCTGGCCCTGGTGAGAAGCTCCCTTTAGCAACCAATTTTAGGAGATTCCACAATAGTTTGTCAGCCTACTGTCTCCCTCCGGCAAAGTGAAGTGAGGCTTCTGTTCACCCAGCATGGGTCACTGTCACCCCAGGCCCACAATGAGTAGCTCTTTCCATGACCCTTGGGATGGTTCACCTCCTGAGAGAGGCCCAGCTCTGACAGGCTTTCAGTTGGACAATAGATTTCAGTCTCCCCTGAAATCGTTGCTGCATCACCAGCTTTCGTAGCATTTCTGCAAAGTCTAAGATACAAGACTTTCAAAGAGGGAGCGCCCACTACATGCCTGGGGCACAGCGGTGACTCTTGGCTTGGAGGCGCTTCTCTGCTTGTTTGTAAGCCAGGGGATATTTTTACTATCTGAGTGGGGCCCTGTTAATTGCTTCACAAGCACTTCTGGGGAAGTTCACTTTCCAGGGGCCAGTCGTTAACTCCAACAGTGCCAGCGCTTCCCAGCCAGGGGCCTACATAAAGAGGTGCATTAGTTATCCCTAAAGGGTTAATGACTGGAGATGCGAGGACAGTCATGTTGAGTTATATATAGCAAACAGTGAGCAAAGCAGGCAAGCACAAAAAAAGGAAGACAGGAAAAAAACTGCATGGATATACTCCCCTCCCCCAACCTTCCCTGGTCTACCCCCACCCTCCCACAACACTATATATACAGACCACAGTTAAATTTGGCACAGAGACTATAGCCAAGAAGGAAAACAGATCGAGTTACACAAAGTCCTATTCAGATTTGGGCCTGGGCCTCATGGGGACAATGCTCTGCTGAGGAGAACAAGGCCATGGTCTGTTGTCAAAAAACGCACACCCGTGCGCTTTGCTTTCCTTCCAAGCATTCGCTGGCCTGGCCCTGGGCAGCAGGTTAATTCCCTGCTCCGCAGGTGGAGACAGATAAAACAAACTGAAATGGTGTAATGGGCTACAGGAAACCTTTCTTTCAGAACTTGATTCATCTCCAGAAAGGAAACACACGAGGACTTTGCTCTGGACGGTAATCTGTTTTCTTAGGGCAGCTGAGAGAGGCCTGGCAGCCAGGGTAAATACGGCAACTGGTAGAGGGGCTTTTGGCAGATGGAGCTGCAAGAGAAGTTTGAAACGATCACTTCCTACACTCTGTTCCCTACCAAGAGTGAGCTGTCAATCTTGCAGGATGGAGGTGCTCTGGAAAACAGCAGTGGGGAGAGAGCGGGCCACAAGGGAGAAACCTGAGCCACAGGTGCGTGCCTGGGATACCCCCTACTCCTGCGGGCTGGCTCACCTGGCAGAACTCGCAGAAAGGCTGCTCCCAAGCTCACTGCTCGAAGCTAACCATGTGGAGAAAGCAGGCCAGGACTTCTGGAATGCAACCTGGGTGCAAGTCAACCTCTGCTTTGAGCAGACAAGCAGGCCCGCAGCGGGCAGGCTGCCATCGAGTGTGGCCTGAGCCTCTACTGGATGTAAAGCTGGGCATGGAGAAGGCCAGGTACCTTTTAGTCATTGGAATCATCCCCATCAGCAGGCACGCAGGACACCTCGAGGAGATGAGACAGCCAGCTAGCACGTAACAGTCAGGGCTGCATAGAACATGATAGTCATAAAGACAATCCCTCATGCCACCTTCGTGTGTGGGTCTTTCAAAAGACATTCTATCTTATTATCCCATTTGATCTTCACCTGACCCTAGATGGGTCGGGCAGGGCAGAGCATCACCCTCGTTTTACTGTGGAGGAAGTGGAGGCCCAGCAAAGCCACTCTTGCCTGAGTGGGAACAGCTGGTTCAAAGATAGCCCTTTGCCCAGCCCTCTGGGAAGATAACACCTCCGGGCCAGTCTCTGTGGTGCAGGCAGTAGTTTGTACATTTGAGTGTGCACCCAAATCAAGGGGGCCATCCTCGGCCTGGTATAGCCTGCTCCCCTCAGGTTGGGCCTGGGACTTCTGTGTGGGCCCCGGCCCCCAGCACCAAGGTGGGCATCCAGTGATCTTAGTTCACACTGGGCTTTTCCATGGACACAAGCTTAGTCTGCATTGGCAAAGTGGGGACAATAGCTCAGCATGTGTCTAGGGCTGCCTCAAACAGTGACGGACCCAGAGGATTTCATCTCCTTTCCCTGCATGATTTGATGGGCTCTCTAACTTGAACTCCCTGTGTAGAAAGAATGTGGTTATGGGCTGAGTTGCGTCTCCTCCCCCACATTCATGTGTTTAAGTCTGAACCTTCAGTTCCTCAGGATGTGACCTTATCTGGAACTAGTACCATTGCCGGTATAATTAGTTAAGATGAGATTATACTAGAGTAGGGTGGGCCCCTAATCCAACATGACTGGTGTCCTTATAAAAGGGGGAAATTCAGACACACACACAGACAGGGAGAATGCCCTGTGAAGATGCAGAGACAGGTTGGGGTGGTGCTTCTGCCAGCCAAGGAACACCAGCGGCTGCCAGCAAACACCAGAAGCACGAATGATTCTCCCTCATGGCACCCGGAAGAAACCTACGCTGCCCAAGCTGACCTTGAACTTTCATCCTCCAGAACTTCCAGGCAATCAATTTCAGTTGTTAAGATCCTCAGATTGTGGAGCTTTGTTATGGCCTTCCTGGAAGATGAACCCAGATGCTAAAAAGGCTGAGGAGTGGAAAACTGATGTCTGTGGTTAGTTTACCTTGAAAACCAACCATGAGGCCCCTTCCAGCTCTGTTCTACAGACATCGATTCTGCTTTATTGTTTTTACCAAGAGTAGTACTCCACAATTGTAAACACAGTCCACAAGTTTTCTACTCCAGACCATCTCTTTAGCAGAGAGAAGGAAATATCTGTCTTCCTTCTCCAAATCCTAACCCTACTTTGTTCTCAATAGAAATTATATTGTGTCTAAGTCTCCCAAAATGTCTCAAAAGCAAGACAAACACCCACTTCCTCTTTTGGAAACTGATGGGACCCTCTACAAATTACATGTGGAGACATCACTCTTTCCCAACCAACATAGAAACTCAAACTCTTGTCAACTTTCCTAGTATCCCAACTTGCTTTCAAGAGAAAACTAAAAACTCATTCACATGAATAAAGTATAAATGACAGTCAAGAGCTTAAAGTGTTAGCTGTCCTAGGTGGGGAATAAGCTCACAAGGAACATCGGTAAAGAGGAACATGTCAGGAGTGGGAGCCCACTTTGCCTTATACCCTGACCAGGTATGTAGTCCTCAATGTAAAACTCTCCCACTGGGTGGGAATTCCTCCCACCCCAACAACGCCAGCCTCCCTGTGGCTTTGCATCAGGCTCCATCTCCTCATCGCAGCGTGGAACTCTATTCCTGTCTCTCCAATGTCCTCACACCCCAGTGACTCCAACGTCCTCTAGGACTAGGGAAGTCTGCACGGAACCTACCAAAATCCCTGGCACTCTGACAGCCCCTTCTAGTGACAGGAGCTTAAAGTGTAGCTTAAAGAAGCAGCTTTGGACCTGGTAGTACCTAGGGCTAAATTCTGCAGTACTCAGGTGGACCATAAAATAAGGCCATATTATTAGACTTGATGTGTGAATGCCACTCTCCTTTTCTTTGATTGTCCTGTTCCTGAAATCTACCTGCTCTAGAATTGCCTCCCAGATAATGTCTCTTCTAGCCTTGCTCTTCCCCCAGAGTTTCCTATTGTTTATACAAGTCCTGGGTTATTGTTCCTCCACCCAGCATTACTTAATACATCAATTAATTAGACTATAGGCTTTCCAGAGAGAGAATCGTACTTTTATCCATTTCCCCTTCCCAGATTTTGGTGACTTACATGTAGAAGTTACTCAATAAATATCTGTTGAAGGTTAATTCAACCTGAATTTCTTGTGTTCGTCTACTCTTGTTACCTGTTTTGGTCCCCAAATCCTTCCCACTTCAGACATTCGGTCAGCCCATCAACAGAGGTTGTCTCCTAACATAGACCAAATCTATAAGGAGCTGATTTCCTATTAATTCAGTGACAAGATGTCACAGATCTTCAGAGTTGGAAGATTCTTTAGAAAGTATTTCATCCATTTCTTTAATAAGAGGCCATGTTACTCATCCAAGGCCACACAGCTGGGGAAGCAGCAGCAGGGCCTGGCAGGAAGATGTTCTGGTGGAAGTGAGGCCATTCATCATGTCCAAGAAGCTGTCATCTGGGTGGCCAGCGTTGGGTGAGAGGCCAACTCATACACTTGTTGGAAGGTTCCCTCTATTGGACCCTGGGCATTTCTATTTAACCCAAACACGCCTCTGCATAAGTCCAGGTATCTCCATCAGATCTTCTCCGCAGGTTATCCTCATAGGCAACTGGACGAGGGGCCCATCCCCAATACAACCAGGCTGCACAGACTCCTGCTCCCACCGCTGGGTAGCAGAGACACAGCCTCCTGCCCTATCTCACAAATCCATGGATGTGACCCATGGGAGTGACTTCCATTTAAAGTTTTGGGCAAATCTCGGAGATTGCTGTTTTCAACCACTGGGGAAGCTTAAAGCCAAACAGTCCTACTGGCATAGAAGTAAGCCTCATTTGTTTTCTATCTGAACACATGTTTTACATCAAGAGAAGGGCTGTGGTTGGGGTAGGGAGAGCTGAAGGGAGATTCAAAGGTTCTTCAGCTCTCACAGATCTCAACCTCTTCAAAGTTTCAACCCTCAGAGCACTTAAGATGTTTCATCCCACTCAGCAGAAGTGCCTCTGCCCACACTCTCGTGTGCCACAGTGCGTGCGTGGGAACTCAGCTGTGGTCCAGAGCCAGTAAAGGAAACGGGACAGTCACCTCACTGTACTTTTCCTAGAGGATGTAATTTCTCCTTTGGGATTTGATAAGCTTCCTAAGGCACATTCACATGCACAGGGCAGATGAGACCTGCTTGTTAGTGAGGTCACATCAAGCCTCACATGGTGATGTGTATGAATGAACTCATACTTAAAGGAATGGGCAACTCCTACCTGGGACCTTGAGCAGGTGGGTATGGGTCAGAGCCCAGAGTCAGGGTGGATAGGCAATGGGAAAGAGAGAAAAGGTTTGCTTTTAGTGGTAACCACTCTCTAGCCTCAGCATTCTCAACTGCAGACTGGAGATAATAATAATGTCCTTCTGTGATATTTGGGGGGTTGACCAAATAAGATTTCTTGTAAAAGTGCTGTGCACAGGGCAGATGAGCATCAATTCTGTGACCAGGAAGGGATTCCAGTGCCATTGCCAGCTCCTGGTTGCGTTCTTTTGAGATGATGTATTTTTTTTCAAGGGAAAGGAGCAACAAGAGGGTACCTGCAGTCTGTAGGACAATACAAGTCAAATTCTGGAGTAAAATTGTAGCACTTACACTGTGTGCTGAGTCATTTGTGATCAGAGGGAAACTGAAAAGTGGCATAACAGGGTGACGGACAGGCCCAGGAGAATTCACTATGAGTCTTGGGAGTGCTGCTAGCACCTCTGCTACCTCCTAGGTGGGTCATTTCACCTCCCTGGCCCAACTGTGAATTCAAGAATACCACATCCAGCACTGCACTGTGGCAAGGGCTCCTGCAGAATAATGCAAGGGAAGAGAGCTGGAAACGACAACGTACTGGTCACATGTGTGATGCCATTTGATGTGGTTTGGCTCTGTGTCCCCCCTCAAATCTCATGTTGAATTACAATTCCCAGTGTTGGAGGAGGGGCCTAGTGGGAGGTAAGTGAATCACGGGTGTGGACTTCCGCCTTGCTGTGCTCTTGATAGAGTTCACGAGATCTGGCTGTTTGAAAGTGTGTAGCACTTCCCCCTTATCTCTCTCTCTCTCCGGCGTGAAGATGTGTTAGCTTCCCCTTCGTCTTCCGCCATGATTGCAAGTTTCCTGAGACCTCCCAGCCATGCATCCTGTAAAGCCTGTGGAACTGCAAGTCAATTAAACCTCTTTCCTTCATAAATTACCCAGTTGCAGGTAGTTCTTTATCACAGTGTGAGAATGGACTACACATTATTGTTATTGTTAAAGGAAAAGAGGAGGGGGCAGGAGGAAGAGGAGGAAGGAAAAGGGAGAAATGAGGAAAGAGAGGGAAAGGAGAAAGAGGGAGGAGAAAGGGGATTGCCTTCCTTTTTAAAAAAATAAACTTTTTATTTTAGAATAGTTTTAAATTTCCAGAAAAGTTGAGAATAGTCCAGAGAGTTTCCCTAGATATCACACCCAGTTTCTCTCATTGTTACTATCTTACATTAATGAGGTACCTTTGTCACAATTAATGGCCAATGTTGATGCATATTAACTAAAGTCACCCTTCATTCAGATATCCTTAGTTGACCCAGCTGTCCTTCTTCCACCATAGAACATCATGTTACACTGAGTTGTCCCATCTCCTTAGGCTTCTCTTGGCTGTGACAATTTCTTAGACTTTCCTTGTTTTTGATGACCTTGACAGTTTTGAGGAACACTAGTCAGGTATTTCGTAGAATGTCCCAACATTGGGATTTGCCTGGTGTTTTCTCCTATGATTATTGGGAGAAGACCACAGAAGTAAAGTGCTACTTTCATCACATTCTATCAGGAGCACATCCTATCAACATGACGTCACTCGTGATGTTGACCATGATCATCTGGCTGAGGCAGTGTTTGTTGTACGTCTCCACTGTGAAGTTTCTCCCCTGCCCCCTTTCCACACTGTACACTTTGAAAGGAAGTCACTGTGTGCAGCCCATATTTAAGGAGGGGGAATTATGCTCCACCTCCTTGGGGGTGCAGTATTACATAAATTACCTGAAATTCCACCACTCTGGAGATGTGCCTATTCTCTGCCATTTACTTATTCATATGTATGTGATTAAATAAATATATAAATGTAAATCAGTATGGAATCATGCATATTTATTTTATACTTGGGTTATTTATAATCCAATACTACTTTATTGCTCAAATTGTTCCAGCTTAGGCCATTGAAAGCTTTTTCAAGTGGTCACTGTGTCTCCTTGACCTGTGTGTTATTGTTTGTTCTTCTGAACACGTTCTTACTTTCTGGCCCTGTAAAATGCTCCTCCAGGCTCATTTTGTACATTCCCCGCCTGTCCTAGAATCAGCCATTTCTCCAGGAAGGCTTACTTCCTTTTATTAAATGGTATTAAGAACAGTGGGGGCGGTGGTGGGGGCAGTGGCAGTGGTGGCACAGTGACGTCAGGGCGTTGGGGCAGCTCCTGTGACAGACAGAGCTGGAGCGGCGGGGTGGTGGCAGAATCCAGCGGCCGGGAGAGTGGAATGAATCTTACTTGTTGAATATCTTCTGGTTACTAGTTGGATTCATTTGTAAAAGAATCATTTTCCGCTGAGTGGAAGACACTTAGTGTCATATTTATATTATACGTCCACGGATCAAAAAGCTTTTTGATTTCCCAAAGGAGGGACATACCACTATATGAGATAAGCTTGACATTACAGCCAAGATGGTGCTGTCCCAGAGACAATGAGATGAACTAAATCAAGCTAAAGCAGATTATCTTCGTTCAAATGGCTACGAAGAGGCATATTCAGTTTTTAAAAAGGAAGCTGAATTAGATATGAATGAAGAAATAAAGTAGGCTGGTGTTTTGGGGGAAAAAATGGACATCTGTTATTAGATTACAAAAGAAGTTTATGGAATTAGAATCAACACTAAATGAAGCAAAAGAAGAATTTACGTCAGGTGGACCTCTTGGTCAGAAACAAGACCCAAAAGAATGGGTATTTTCTGCCAGAAAAATACACATTGAGTGGTCACAGGAGTCCAATCATTCGAGTCATTTTCCATCCTGTGTTCAGTGTTATGGTCTCTGCTTCAGAGGATGCTACAATTAAGGTGTGGGATTATGAGACTGGAGATTTTGAAAGAACTCTTAAAGGAAGGACACACAGACTCTGTACAGGACATTTCATTTGACCACAGTGGCAAGTTTCTGGCTTCCTGTTCTGCAGCTATGACCATTAAACCATGGGATTTTCAGGACTTTGAATGCATCAGAACCATGCATAGTCATGGTTCCCCATGACCATAATGTTTCCTCAGTAGTCATCATGGCCAGTGGAGATCATATAGTGTCCGCCTCAAGGGATAAAACTATAAAAATGTGGGAAGTGCAAACTGGCTACTGTGTGAAGATGTTCACAGGACAGAGAGAATGGGTACATATTGTACAACCAAATCAAGATGGCACTCTGATAGCCAGCTGTTCCAATGACCAGACTGTGCGTGTATGGGTTGTAGCAACAATGCAATGCAAGGCTGAGCTCCGAGAACATGAGCATGTGGTAGAATGCATTTCCTGGGCTCCAGAAAGCTCATATTCTTCCATCTCTGAAGCAACAGGCTCTGAGACTAAAAAAAAGTGGTAAATCTGGGCCATTCTTGCTGTCTGGATCCAGGGACAAGACTATTAAGATGTGGGATGTCAGTACCGGCATGTGCCTCATGACCCTCGTGGGTCATGGTAACTGGGTATGTGAAGTTCTGTTCAGTTCTGGGGGGAAATTTATTCTGAGTTGTGCTGATGACAAGACCCTACACGTATGGGATTACAAGAACAGGCAATGCATGAAGACCCTCAATGCGTATGAACACTTTGTTACCTCATTGGATTTCCACAAGACAGCACCCTATGTGGTCACTGGCAGCGTGGCTCAAACAGTAAAAGTGTGGGAGTGCCGTTGATTGTGTCTTCTTCGGCCCTTCCTCCCTCTTTTCCTCTGGATGCACTCTGATGATACCATGGCTACCCCACTGAGCTCTGTTTAAATAAATATTGTCCTTTCATGTAAATTATTCTGGATGTAGATTGAGCTTATTAAATGTTACAAAGAAAAAAAAAAGAACAGCATCAAAAACTAAGACGTAAACAGTAGGTGTGCTCATTGCTACTGGGATGACACTTATTCAGGCCCTGTCAGGAGACAGAACAAGGAAATATATACCAACCCATATCTGTAAGTGTATTGTACATATCCGTCTGCATCTATTTTGAGCTGAACTCGATTCCACGTTGATGTCCCCAACACTAACCACTGCCATATGAATCACTGCAACCTTTCCTGCTTGCTTGTTGGTAGCCTCCCCTCCAACAAAGAGAAACCTGGCTCCCACCATCCTCCATCCAGTGACTTCACATTTCAGAGCGTGTGACTAGTGGCTTCAGAATTTATATCCTTTTGGGAAAGAGCTTTATCTACTAGAATACAGGGTTGTGGACAGTTCCTTATGCCTTAATCTTACAGTCTCCACTCACTTCCAATGCCACTTGGTCAGTACGCTTTCCTCCCACCCCTTCAGTGGAATTATTTTATACATTTGTAATACAGTTAGTCTTCTGTCATACTCAGCACCCCATCTTGGAATCCCCCAACATCTTTAATTATTTTTTTAATTTGCATATGTTAAGGTTCACTCTTTGTGATGTAAAATTCCATGGGTTTCGAAAAATGCAGTGTCATGTATTCACCACCACAGTATCATACACAATAATTTTACCATTCTAAAAAAAAATCTCTTGTGCTTTGCTGACTCTACTCTTCCATCTCTACAGGCCCCTGGAAACCACTGATCCGTTGACCATCTCGATAATTCTACCTTTTCTAGAACATAATATAAATGGATAAGCTTTTTTCAGTAAACAATATCCATTTAAGTTTTATCTATGTTTTTACATAGCCTGATAGTTCATTTATTTATATCTCTGAATAGTATTCCTTTATATGCATGTACTACAGTTTATTAATCTATTCACCTACTGAAAGACATCCTGGTTTTCCAGATATTGGTGGTTATGAATAACGTTGCTACACACATTTGCATGCAGGTATTTTGTGGACGTAGTTTTCAATCAGTTGGGTAAACATCTAGGAGTATGCTTGCTGGTTCATACAGTAAAATAATATTTAACTTTTTAAGAAACTTCCAAACATCTTTTAAAGTAGCTGTACTATTTTGCCTTCCCACCAGAAACGCATGTGGGTTCTTATTCTTCTAAATTCTCATAGCAATTGGTATTGTTGGTTTTTTGTATACTAGCCATTCTAATAGGTGTGTGGTGAAAGCTCATTGTTGTATTCATTTGCATTTCTTTAATGACAGATGATGTTTCACATGCTTATTTCCCATTTGTAAGATATATATATATACATATATGTACATATGTATATGTCATATGTATACACACACACAAATATCATCTTTGGTGGTGATTTGGAGGTGTCTGTTCAGATTTATTCATTTTTTCAATTGGATTACTTATGGTCTTTTTGTTGACTTTTAAGATTTCTTAAAATATTTTGGATACAAGTTTCTTATCAGGTTCATGTTTTGCAAATATTTCTTTTCAGTCTGCAGCTTGTGTTTTCATTATCTTAACAGAATCGTTCATAGAGCAGAAGTTTTTAATTTTAATAAAGTCCAACTTCTCTATTTTTTTTTTCTTTCATGGTTCATGCTTTTGGTCGTGTATCTAAAAATTCCTCACCAAACCCAAGGTCACATAAATTTTTTTCTTATGTTTTCTTCTAAAAGTTTTATAAATTTGCATTTTAAATTTAGGTTTATGATCCATTTAGAGTTATTTTTTGTGTAAGTTGCAAGTTCTGTGTCCAGATTCATTTAGCCTATGAACATCCAATTGTTCCAGCACCACTTGGTGAAAAGACTTCACTTGCTCCATTGAGTTGCCTTTGCGCCTCTGTCAAAAGTCAGGTTATTATATTGTGTGGGGGGGTCTATTTCTGGCATCTCCATTTGTTGATTTATGTGTCCTTTTTTTGCCAATACCACACCATCTTGATTATTATAGCTTTATAGTAATTCTTGAAATGAAGGACTCTGAGTACTCCAACTTTGATCTTCTTTAGTATTGTGTTAGCTATTCTAGGCCTTCTGCTTGTTTATATTAATTTTAGAATCAGTTTATCAATATCTAAAAAATAACCTGCTGGGATTTTGAATTGGACTGCTCTGATCAAGTTATAAATACTTCACATCTTAACAATACCAAGTCTTCCAACAGATAAGCAGGGACTATCTTGCCATTTATTTGGATTATTTTATTTTGCCAGTATTTTCTAGCTTTTTGCCTACAGTTTCCATAGATTGTGTCAAATTTATAACTAAATACTGATTTGGGGGGATGCTATTGTAAATGGTAATGTAAATTTCATTTCAAATTCTAATTGTTCATTGTATATGGGAAAGCAATTGACTTTGGTATATTTTCTTTGTATGCTGTGTCCTTGTTATACTCACCTTTTCCAATGAGGTTTTCACCTTTTTTTGTGTGCACAGATTATTTGGCATTTCCTACATAGACAGTGTATCTACTAATAAAGACCATTTTTGTTTCTTTTTGTCCAGTCTGTATATCTTTCTTTTAATTCTTTTTCTTATTGCTGTAGCTGGGACTTCCAGTATGATGTTCGATAGGAGTGGTGAGAGAGGACATCCTTGCCTTATTCTTGATTTTAGGGGGAAAATGCCCAGCCTCTCACCAATAAGTATGACATTTAGTGCAGGCTTTTTGTGCATGTTCTTTATCAAGTTGAAGAAATACCCTCTGTTTCTAGTTTGCCGAGAGATTTTATTGTAGATAGGTATTGATTTTTTTGAAATACTTTCTCTAGCAGTTGATATAGTCATGTGATTTATCTTCTTTAGCCCATTGATATGGTAAATTACGTTGATTTTTGAATGTCAAACCAGCTTTGTACACATGGAATGAATCCCACTTGGTTATGTTATATAATATTACTGAATATGATTCAATAATTTTTTCAAAGATTTTTTTGTATCTATGATTATGAGAGATATTGGTCTGTAGTTTTTCCTTTCTTAAAATGTCATTAGCAGGTTTTAGTGTTAGGGTAATATACTGTGCTATGGTCTGAATGTTTGTGTTCCCCCAAATTCATATGTTGGAATTCTAACTTCCAAGGTGATTGTATTAAGAAGTGGGGCCTTTGGGAAGTAATTAGATCATGAGGGCGGAGCCCTCATGAATGGGTGATCCCTTGTAGAAGAGACCTAAATGCCCTTATAGTAGAGGCCTAAGGGAGACTCCTCATCCCCTCTACCATGTGAGGACACAGCTAGAAGGAACCATTTATGAAGCAGAGAGCAGGCCCTCACTGGATACCAAATCTGCCAGTGCCTTGCTCAGGGACTTCCCAACCTTCAGAATTGTGAAAAATAAATTTCTATTGTTTATGAGCCACCCAGTTTGTGTGGTGTTCTGTTACAGCAGCCTAAACAGACTAAGATAACTGGCCTCATAAAATGAGTTTGGAAGCAATGCCTCTGCCTCTATTTTTTGGAAGATATTGTGGAGAATTGTTATTATTTCCTCTTTAAGTATTCTGTTGAAAGTACCAGTGAAACTATCTGAGCCTAGTGCTCTCTTTTCTGGAAGGTTTTAAATTATTCAATCTCTTCGAATATAAGACTACTCTCTTTGGGGGGTTTTAATAGTTTGTGTCTTTCAAGGAATTGTTGCACTTCACCTTAATTATATTTATGAGCATAAAGTTGTTTGTTGTATTACTTAATTAACCTTTTAATGTCTATGGGATCAGTTGTGATGACCTCTCTTTTGTTTCTAATGTTAATAATTTGTGTCTTTTCTCTCTTCATTGGCCTGACTAAATGTTTATCAATTTTATTGATCTTTTCCAAGAACCAGCTTTTGTTTTATGATTTTTCTCTACTGTTTTCCTGTTTACAATTTTATTAATTTCTGTTCTAATTTTTAATTACTTATCTTATTTTCCTTGCTTCAGGCTTAAATTAAATTAGGCCTCTTTCTTTAGTTTCCTAAGATGGAAACCTGAATGATTGACTGTAGATCTTTTTTTTTCTAATAAACATATGTGTTTAACATTATAAATTCCCATTGTTCTGCTTTTTGTCACTATAGGTTAGTTTGCATTTTTAAAAATTTTATGTAAATGAAATCATGCTGCTTGTATGTTTTTTCCTCTGCTTTCTTTCGCTCAGCAAAATTGTTCTCAGATTCATCCATATCCTTGCACGTATCAATAGTCTTTCTTTTCTTTCTTTTTTAGACAGAGTCTCACTCTGTCACCCAAGCTGTAGTGCAGCAATGTAATCACAACTCACTGCAGCCTTGACCTCCTGTGCTCAAGTAATCCTCCCACCTTGGCCTCATGAGTAGCTGGGACTACAGGTGTGCACCTCCACACCCTGCTAATTTTCTTTTCTTTTCTTTTCTTTTCTTTCTTTCTTTCTTTTTTTTTTTTTTTTTTTTTTTTTTTGAGACACAGTCTCTCTCTGTCGCCTGCCCAGGCTGGAGAGCAGTGGCGTGATCTCGGCTCACTGAAACCTCCACCTCCTGGGTTCAAGCAATTTTCCTGCCTCAGCCTTCCCAGTAGCTGGGATTACAAGTGTGCGCCACCACACCTGGGTAATTTTTTGTATTTTTAGTAGAGATGGGGTTTCACCATGTTGCCCAGACTGGTCTCAAACTCCTGAGCTCAAGTGATCTGCCTCAATCTCCCAAAGTGCTGGTATTACAGATGTGAGCCACTGCCCAGCTGTCTGTTTCTTCTTATTGCTTGATAGTACTCCATTATATGGATATGCCACAGTCCATTTATCTGTTGCTATACCTTTGGATCATTTTCAGTTTCAAGTGATTGAAAATAAAGCTGTTATTAACAATCATGTAAGAATGTTTGTGTGGACAAATGCTTTCATTTCTCTTGAGTAAATACTTAGGAGTGGAATGGCTGAGTAATATAGTAAATGTATGTTTAACTTTTAAGAAACTGCCTATCTGTTCTCCAAAGTGGAGGTACCATGTTGCATTCTTACCAGCAACATATAAGAGTTCCAGTTCCTCCACATCCACACCAACACTTGGTGTGGTCAGTATGTTTAACTTTAGACATTGTAATTCAGACTGAACACATGAATGTGGTATGTTATTTAAGTTTTATTTAATTCCTCTCAGGAATACTTTGTAGTTTTCAGTATACAGGTCTTCCCCATCCTTTGTCAGGTTTATTCTAAGTATTTTATATTTCTGATACTATTATAAATGACACTCTCTATTTCACTTTCTGATTGTTCATTGTTAATCATATAAATGAAATTGACTTTTTAAATATTGATATAACAGCTTGTATCCTTTCTAAATTCACTTAAGAGTTCTAGTATCTTTTCGTAGATTCACATATTTTTGCCATTTTTTGTTTGTTTCATGAAAGAGGATATATTTGGTCTCTACTACTCCTTTTGGCCTTAATTGAAAATTGGGAGGATATGCATTTTAAAAGTATATCTTTCTAAGGTCAGTTAGCTCATGGATGGAGTGGTTATTTGAAATCAGGGCATGGTGGCAGCAAGAGCCAGCAGGCATGGAAACAGTGAGTCTGGTCTGCTCTGGTGGTGGCCCATAAGAGGAAAATTCTTAGAACACTCTGCCCTAGTAATGAGAGCAAGATATGTGAGGACTGGCTTGGGAGTCCCTTCTGTGGATGAGAGTATTAAACCCCATGATGATTTAGTGTCCATCCTTAAGGGATGCTTGCCAAGGTGTGAGACAACCATGTAATGGGATACTCTGCAGTCACTAAACCAGATGGCAAAAAGGTCATTGGCATGGAAAACGCTTGTGGGTTATGACTGCATTAGTTTTCTAATGTTGCATTAAATACGTAGTCATGAATATGATTGCTCTTTTTAAGCATAGGCTCTGAGGCGTAGGCACAGAATGTTGGGGATGATATTTAAAGTTCTGCCTTTATATAATTGCCAAATAAAAATTGGCATGATTCAAAACACTATGTGCAATAGAGTAACATTTTTATAAGAAAAAAAAGTGTATACAGTAAAAAATTATGGGCAGTGTTTGTTCTTTACCCTCCAAGATTTTTTACCATAAACATGTATCACTAGGATACTGTGAACAGCTTACATGAAACCTAAACTGTTACAAATCCATTTGTAAGATGGAACTCAAGGTGCATTTTCCCATAGACACAATGTTTTTGGGGTGATTGGAGCCCTGTGACTTTCCACAAAAGATTTTAATAATAAGACTCTATGCCCCAGGCCTTATTTCTAGTGGGCAGTAATTTCAAGTTTAATTCAAGATGCCAGGAATAAATGGCTGTGTCTCCCTCACTCACCGACCCATGAAGAGGCATCAGTGGTCAAGGGGGCTGGTGACCAGGAGTTGTTCACATTACATCGACATAAGAAAATGCCACTCTCTATGTTCACAAGAACGTATGTTCCATTCTAGGAGAGGAGGGGCAGAGCCCCCTCACAGCTGCTGTACACTGGGGTTGGCCTCTTCACAGGCATGTCTGTGTGTGTGTGTGTGTGTGTATGCATGTGCAAAAATGTGTACACATGAGCACACGAGGGGACATATCAGTATGCACATGTGTATGTGGCAGGTGATCTGCGTCCATTTATGTTGCCTCTTTTCCCAGAAGAAGAAAAGAGTCCACCAAGAAAGTTTTTGTTTGAGAGTATAGGTTTTACTGCAGATATCGTGAGACATCTCTGAGAGGGTTTTCTTTCCCTGTCCCGACCCCTCCCCTCTCTCATCTGCCATTCTCTCCAGCCTCACTCTGTGTGGTCGGTGACTGATTAAATAAACTGTGGAGCATTCACTCCATAGAGTCCTACTCAGCAAGAAAAGGGGGCATTGGATAATGATGTGCCCAACAGTGTGGACAAATCTCCAGAGAATTGTGCTGAGCAAAAAAGACATGCACACCACGAGTCTATTATTCCTGAAATGACAACATTATAAAAATGAAGAACAGATTATTGGTTGCCAGGGGTTAAGGAGAAGAGGATGGAAGGAGGTATGGCTATAAAAAGGCAGCAAGAGGAACCCTGTGGTGATGGATACACAGACCCTACATGTGGGATAAGATTGCATGGAAATAAATACACATGCATGTGTGCACATACACACAATGAGGACAAGTAAAAGTATATCAATGCCAATATTCTGGCTGTGCTATTATACTATCATATAAGATGTTATCTTTAGGGGAAACTGGATAAAGGGCACACAGTATATTATCTGATTTATTTCCTAAAACTGCAGAATAATTTACAATGATCTCCAGATAAAAAAGCTTAATTTTGGCCTGGGCGTGGTGGCTCACGCCTGTAATCCCAGCACTTTGGGAGGCCAAGGCAGGAGGATCGCTTGAGCCCAGGAGTTTGAGACAAGCCTGGGCAACATAGCAAGACATTACCTCTACAAAAGTAAAAAAAAAAAAAAAAAATAGCATGATGTATTGGCGTGTGCCTCTGGTTCCAGCAACTTGAGAGGCTGAGTTGGGAGGATTGCTTAAGCCCAGATGGTTGAGGCTGCAGTGAGCCATGTTTGAGCCACTGAACTTCAGCCTGGGTGGGAGAGTCAAACCGTATCTCAAAACAAACAAACAAACAAAAAGATAATTATAGTAAAACAAAACAAAACAAAGCTTAATTTTTAAAAAGTGAGACAGAAATAAATATTTTTCTCAAACAAAAACTGAGGGAATTCCTAGCGAGTAGATCTGTCCTAAGGACAGCTTTGCAGAAGCTCTTCAGGCAGAAGGAAAACCTTATTAGTCAGAAACTGGGGTCAGCATCAGGCAGAGATGCAGGGCAGAGAAAGCATAAATGAAGGCAAAATAAGATCGTTTGTTTTGCTTATTTTTTTAATTTAATTCTTTTTTTATTGAGGTAAAATATACATATATGATTTACCATCTTTACCATTTTAAGTGTATTGTTCAATGGTAATAAATACATCGTGTTCCTTTTTTTCCCTACTTCCCCTACTCTCTTCTTTATAGTCCTTATTCTTTATTGATCTAAATTACTAATTATGGTTTTGCAGCTTTCTTCTTATGTTTTGGAGCCAATTTTTGTTCAAGTGTCAAGCATGTTTTTTTGAAACCTTGCAGAGCTGGGGTAGGCCTTATGCCCATGGGTGGGTGGCTGGAAGGGCCTGGAAAGAACCCTGATGACACATGGTTCTCCCAGGGTACCCCTGCCTCTCCCAGCCATGGACTCCAGTCTCTCTGAGAAGCCATAACAGCTTTTGTTAGAGGGGACCACTGACGCCTTTAGCATGTGGGTGTTGACTAGGGCTATGGGCACGAGTGACAGATGCAAGGGCATTGGAGTCAGGCCGACGTGAGTCCAAACCCCAGCTCTGCCTCTTAGTAGCTATGTGATCTTGGGCAATTTACTTAACCTCTCTGGTCTCCAGTCTCATATGCAATAATACTTTTCAGGGCGGCTGTTGTCAGTTACAGGACCTAACACATGGGATAGACGCCATCACATAATGGATGCTGTTCATTTCCTTCCCTATTATGATATGTATCACTGTTCCTTCCAGTGAGTAGACAGTTGCCACACTCACATTGGAGACTCCCTTCCTTATCAACTTTCATAGGTAAGAGCTGCAGTGCTCCATCCTCTCCTGAGAGTTTATTCTCTGCAGGGAGGCAAACATAACTATCACTTCTCAGTTGTCCTCCAAACTTAGGTGAGGATCCAGTTTTGTAGGAGATCTTGCAGCTTAAGAAAACAGGTCTAAATCCAAGCAGCCTGATGAAACAATAACCCCACCTTCTTCCATTCCCCAAATCCCTTTGAGAGTAGGCGCATTGTGTTGCCTTCCTGGTGGTTCCAAAAACTGGACCTCTGGACTTTAATGCAATTCCATAGTCCATTCTTTGTCCAGCAGTCAAAATGGTGTCTTTAGACATTTAAAGTAAGTTAGCAAGGATTAAAAATCTCCCATGCCTGACCCAGCCTCCTGTCTCTCCACTCTCCCCATGGCTTACACTGTCCCAGCCACGCTCATCTTGACAAGTTTCTCAACTTGACAAACTCATTCCACCTCAGGGCCTTTGCACTTGTTGGTCCTGCTGCCTGGAAGGCTCTGCCCCTGATCTGAGTATGCAAGCCCCTCATCATCCTGTCCCAGCTCCAGGATCGCCCCAGCAGGCAGCCTTCCCTGAACATTGTTGAAATGAGAACTCCTCCCTCCTCCTCCCTTGGCAGCCCTCTTAATTTCTCCGTTTGCCCCCCAGCATTCACCACAATCTAAAACCACCTCACTCGTTTACAAGCTTTCTTGAGTTTTCTCCATTTCCTCCTTCAGGAACATCAGCTCCACGGGACTAAGAATGAGAAATCCCTGGTGCCCTGATCTAGGCCCAGCACTCAATTTGGGTGAGTCCCAACATCTGTTTATAAGTGAATGACTGTCCCTTCCCTCCCTGGCAAGGGGACTCACACCCTGCAACAGCAACTCTGGTCCGTGACCCCCCTGGAGAGCTATCTGTGGATCCCAAGCCATTCCCAGACCACATAGCTGGTAGCTGGCACAGGGGGAAGCATGCCAGGGTCCAGTGACCCCAGACAGTCACTTAGGATGTGATATGGTTTGGCTGTGTCCCCATCCAAATCTCAACTTGAATTGTATCTCCCAGAATTCCCACGTGTTGTGGGAGGGACCCAGGGGTGAGGCAATTGAATCACGGGGGCCAGTCTTTCCTGTGTTATTCTCGTGATAGTTTATAAGTCTCACGAGATCTGATGGGTTTATCAGGGGTTTCCACTTTTGCTTTTTCCTCATTATATTCTTGCCACTGCCATGTAAGAAGTGCCCTTCATCTCCTGCCATGATTCTGAGGCCTCCACAGCCATGTGGAACTGTAAGTCCAATTAAACCTCTTTTTGTTCCCAGTTTCAGGTATGTCTTTATCAGCAGCGAGAAAATGAACTAATACAGAATGTTAGCCCCAAGGATAACATTTTTGCAAGCTCAGCTGGCAGACCTGGGCAGGAAATTCTTTTCTTTTCTTCTCTTTTTTTTTTTTTTTTAATTTTTATATTATATAGAGAAGGGTCTCACTATGTTGCCCAGGCTGGTCTCGAACTCCTGGGCTCAAGCGATCTGCTACTTGGCCTCCCAAAGTGATGGGATTACAGGCATGAGCCAACGTGCCTGGCCATGAAGGTTCTGAATAAGGAGTAACGGGGCATGTCTCCGCTCATATGCAGCCATGTAGCTTGATGGCTTGGGATTAGGGAGCAGTGCTAATTCAGCAGACACCAAGGCAAAGAAATTACACCTAGGGAAGATTTACTTCTTATCCTCTGCATCCCACGTCACCCCCACCCCCCCCAGCTGAGCTGCACCCCACGCTCCCAGCAGCCCTCACGCTGAGGAATAAGCAGCTCAGCTGCCTCTCCCGCATCCTGCCGAGCTGCAGCCAAGACCAGAGGGACTTTCCCCACCCCCACCACACATGTGTGTCTATCCACAGAGGAACATCTATCAGGGGCTCCTGGAGAGAAATGACTATTCCATAAAGATTTCATTTTTGTTGGAGTCTATCCACAGCTCTATATAGTCATAAAAATTTAATAGGAAACTTCCATAAAAAAAGAGGCATAATTAAAAAGAAATAGGGACAGCTCCAGCAGAGGTTGAAGATTAAAGACCAAGAGGCCCAGCACAGATAGGGGAATTTTATGAGCTACCAAAGAAAGAAAAACATACCACACAGAAAATGCATGCAGTAGAGACGGTCCTGCCACTTTGAGTGAGGTGAGCCAACCAGACCCGGGTGCCATTCTCTGAAGATGGGGGCAGGCACTCAGGCCGTGTGTGACACAGTAGTGCTCAAGAAACACTGCAGCTGCAAGTATTGGGAGCCAGTGAGATGTCAAGTCTCCACTGCCGGACAGCCCTTCCCTTGTTGGATCCACAGAAGTCTGAGGCTCAGGACAAAGATAACCCTCTGAAATTTCATGGCCTGAGGAGTTGAGTTGTTACCCCCGTGGTCATAGGGCTGGAGGAAAAGCTTTTAACTAACCTCTGGGGGACTGGATCCTTAGCCAACATTCAACCAAAACACTCAACTTCAAGGCACCAACTTGCTTTTCATTAGACTATTTTCTCTTTTTTTTTTTTTTTTTTTTTTTTTGAGACGGAGTCTCGCTCTGTCGTCCAGGCTGGAGTGCAGTGGCGCGATCTCAGCTCACTGCAAGCTCTGCCTCCAGGGTTCATGCCATTCTCCTGCCTCAGCCTCCCGAGTAGCTGGGACTACAGGCGCCCACCACCACGCCTGGCTAATTTTTTTGTATTTTTAGTAGAGGCGGGGTTTCACCGTGTTAGCCAGGATGGTCTCAATCTCCTGACCTCGTGATCCGCCCCCTCGGCCTCCCAAAGTGCTGTGATTACAGGTGTGAGCCACCGCGCCCAGCCTCATTAGACTATTTTTCTTATTACAAATACAATAGATGTTCCTTGTAGAAATTTTGGAAATACAGAAAAGCAAAATGAGGATTAAAACTGACTGTCATCTTTTTACCTATCTATATGCATCTATCACCTTGACATTTTTGCTTCCCAATCTTTGGAAAAATACAGGTCATAAAGAAGAAAATAAGAAAATAACGGGCTTGGATACTGGAAATCTGGGCAGGATAAGGGGAAAACTGCCATCCAAAGCAAACCAGAGACACAAAATGGCTGAGTTGTGGACAGAGCTTAGCGCTTACAGAGCAATCCTGCCCATCAGAATCCCAGGTAGCTCAAAGGAGAAACTGAGGCTTAAACAATGGGGGTGGGAAGGGAAGAAATGCAGAGAGATCCTCAGGGTTTTACAACCAAAAAGAAACAGTAGATTTGATGGCCTCTCTGCAAAGCCCATGGGTATGTGTACATTTCTGTCCCCATTTCCAAATTCGACACAGTCGGTGATGATGGCGGCTTCTGGAGTCAGCACTCTTTGCCCCATCTAAGCTATGACTGTGGTGGTGGTACCCACGTTTCTGCTTTACCTGCAGTACTGGGGGCTGGGAGCCATGAGCCCTCAGGGGTCATTCCTAAAGAGAACAGTGAGCCCCAGATATCCATAAACATAATTTCACAACTGGGAGGAGGCAGCTCTTGTTATTGCTACTATCTTGTTATATCATCATCATCATCATCATTATCATCATCACGATGATGCTGAAGATGGCAATCAGAGTAAGTGAGCAGTGCCTTAGACCACGGCTGAACCACTTCTTTGGGCATAAGAGAGATTTAGAAAACCATAAAAAGTGCTTTCCAGTGACTTATTTTCCAGTAAAACTGAACATAGCTATGTTGAGTCCTAACGGGGAAGATTTGACTCATCTTATGACTTAAGAGCTCCTAATTTTTGGATAGAGGATCATCTATGGGGAATCTGGCATAGCTTTTATAATGTGACCCTTGGCTCATGCCTGAGAAATAACCCCAGGTAGCCTTCTGGTCCCTCCTGCAAGCAGGCACAGCCTACCACTGAGTAGGTCACCCACGGGGTTCCTGGGGCACTTGCTACTGGGAGTAAGGGAAGCATAACCAGGTGCAAAGCAGGTGAGGGACAGGCCAGAGGTGCCTTGCCCCGGGCTGCTGTGTGTTCCACTCCTGCGGAACGTGAGCTCCGTGGGGCAGGGTGGACTCTTGCTTACCCATGTCCCCACTTCCACCATGGCCATGGGCTCACCAGTGCAAATAAATATTTTTAAAAACATGTTTAGCTAGATGGACTCTGAGTAATAGAAAGAACTCTGGAGAAGGTTCAGGTGAGCCTGCTCTTTCCCTGCTTTTGAAATTAAAAGACCAAAGCCTGGAGCAGATGGGGAAGCCCAAGGACACGTGGTGGCCACCTGCAGAGGCCACAGATGACCCAGCCCTAGGTGCCTCGTGGCTCACATCAAAGGAGCCTGTCCAGGATGAAGGCCACTCTGTGCATTTTCTTATTCCATAAAAAGCTAAGAACTTGCTAGGAAGAAGGGAGAAAAAACCCTTCCTAGGTTTGTAGAAAGGAAATTTCAGGGAAAGTGGTTCTAAGATGCTCATAAATTAGTCCTGATGGAGTTTTCTAGATTCCAAGAGTGTGGACTCTGGAACTAGATATCCTTGGAGCAGATGGAAGTCCCCTATCTGTTAGTTAGGCCTTAGAAGGACACTTCCGTTCTCTGGGCCTCCACCTGGGCATCTCCATCCCAGGTCGCAGCAGTAGCCGCCTCGATAGCTCATCACAAAGATCACGAGATCCCTCAGGCAAAGCTCCTGGAAGGGTGCCTGGCAGACAATTCCTGCTCAATAAAGGTTGACCACCATTGCTATTATTTCATTGCCACCCACTCTCCAAGAAACAATCTTCTCCTGGAACTGTTTGGGATTGCCAAGACAAGTAGGAGGAATCAAACTCACCCAGTCACTTGACACTCATTGGTTTCAAGCCTTATGTCAAAATTGGCAAGCAGTGGCGTCGGCCCTCAGGGGAGGGAGACTAGCCATCAGACAAGGGATGGGGAGGGGGTTTCACTTGAAATTGTTTACAATGTGCATATATTCATTTTCAAAAAAGCAGTTATAACAAAGGAATGTGGTGGCTAGTAATGAAAAATAATTATACAGATATTTTATAAGTTAAAAGACAACACAGGGGCCCAAACCACAGTCTGGTAAATACATCTGCCCTGAATCCCAACACCCCTTCCCAGGCACAGGGACGAGAATTGTGTGTCTTTGGGTCCAGCAAGCAAAGCAAAGGTCTGGGGGCTGTGAGGGGCAGAGCTGGGAAGAGGGGGAAGGTAAATTCAGGCTTTCCTCTCACCTTAATAATAAAGACATTGGAATCTCTTTTAGAAATTTAAGTGTGCAATGAACAAAAAGAAAGGAAGCAAAATAATCATTACAAAAGCAACGATGGCTGTCACTTACATAGTACTTTCTACATGCCAGGAACTCTTTAAGAATTATATAATGGCTAACATAATTCCAAGAACAATACTATGAGATAGGTACTATCACTGTTTTTTTTCATTTTTATTTTAAGTTCACGGGTACATGTGCAGGTTTGTTACATAGGTAAACTTATGTCATGGGGATTTGTTGTACAGATTATTTTATCACCCAGGTATTAAGACTAGCACCCATTAGTTATTTTTCCTGATCTTCTCCCTCTTTCCATCCCCTACTCACCCAACAGACCCCAATGTGTGTTGTTCCCCCTAAGTATCCATATGTTGTCATCATTTTGTTCCCACTTGTAAGTGAGAACATGTGATACTTGGTTTTCTGTTCCTGCATTAGTTTGCTAAGGACAATGGCCTCTAGCGCCATCCATGTGCCTGCAAAGGAAATGATCTCATTCTTTTTATGGCTTCATAGTATTCCATGGTGTATATGTACCACATTTTCTTTGTCCAGTCTATCATTGATGGGCATTTAAGTTGATTCCATGTCTTTGCTATTATATAACTGTCTTTTTTTTCTTTTCTTTTTTTTTTTTTGAGATGGAGTCTTGCTCTGTCGCCCAGGCTTGGGTGCAGTGGCGGCAATCTCAGCTCACTGCAACCTCCGCCTCCCACCTCAGCCTCCAGAGTATCTGGGATTACAGGCACCAGCCACCACGCCGGGCTAATTTTTGTATTTTTAGTAGAGACGGGGTTTTGCCATGTTGGCCAGGCTGGTCTCAAACTCCTGACCTCAAGTGATCTGCCCTCCTCAGCCTCCCAAAGTGCTGGGATTACAGGCGTGAGCCACCGCACCTGGCTGTATCACTGTCTTTTTTAACAGACGAGAAAACTGAGACCCAGATAATTTATGCCCAAGTCATACTTCTAATATGTGTTGAAGTTAGGACTAAACCAGAAAGTTTGGCTTCAGAGTCCACACATGTTTCTGTATACCTCTAGAATACATGGTCAATGTATTCAGATTATCAACTGTTTTTATTTGGAGAGCTCAAAGAAAAGTAGAGAAAATACAACTCATATCCACAGAGCCAAATGGACAAGCCTAAAGTCTAAGGGGCTCCATGGTGCTGTCCTCACCATACATAGAATTTCTTCATTTGTCACAAATGGCAATGAGGACAAAGTAGAGGCCAAAATCAAGCATCTTTCAGTTCAAGCTTCAGGAGAAGGGAGAAGGGACAAGAAAGAGGATAAGATGAAGTGGTGGGATCTAAAGCCCTGCAAGGCCTGAATGTGTCCCCTTGAAATGTATATGTTGAGACAACTACAAGTGTAATAGTATTAAGAGGTGGGCCTTTAGGAGATGATTAAGTCATGAGGGTGGAGGCCTCCTAGATGGGATTAGTGCCCTTATAAAACAGCTGCAGCAGAGCTTGCTTGCCCCTTCCACCTTGTGAGGACACAGCAAGGGGCACCATCTATGAAGTACAGAGTGGGCCCTCACCAGACGCCAAATCTGCCTGTGCCTTGATCTTGGACTTCCAGCCTCCAAAACTGAGAAATAAATGTCTATTACCTACAAATTACCCAGTCTAAGGTGTTTTGTTACAGTGTCTCTAGTAAACTAAGGCAAGCCCCAGCTGGAAACATCCATCTCTGCTAAAAGTGCCACAGGACCTGGAATGAGTAACAGACTCTTTTCACATCTTATCTGCAAGAAGCTGGGTTCTGTGTTTGTCTCAGCCTGGCCCTGCTCTCAAGGTTAGCATTGCACAACTGGAGGAGGTTTTGGTGACTTCTGTTGCCCACCTTGTTCTCTCAGTAGAAGAGCCAGACCCCAGAGAAGGGAAGAACACCAGGTTCACAGTGGAGAGAGAACAACCCCCCATTCTCCTGCTGAGGCTGCACTAGGGGTGAACCCCACCCCACCCTGTCCTCTGGGAAGCCCCTCCTGACTCCTCCCTCTGCAGTCAGGCTGTTTCCATTCACAGCATGTAGTCACAGCACCATTCCCAGTATATTTTTGGACACTAGTCCTGGCTGCATTGCCAGGATACGGGGCCCTTGGGTTTTCCCTCTGCTACAGTGCTGGCCTGGCTGGATGGAAAAACAGGTAGGCAAGGGTTCGCCCCTGAGGATAAAACGGATATAAGCCTGTGGCCATCCTGGGGGTTATAAGCCTCTCCACTTCTGTCTTTTTCTGTGGCATATAACAGAGCACTCGAAACCAGGCATTTATTATTTTCTTCTGGAGGCCAAGAAATCCAAGGTGGAGGGGCCACATCTAGTAGGGCTGTCTTGCTGGTGGGGACTCTCTATAGAGTCCTGAGGCAGCACAGAGCATCAAATGGCAAGGGGGCTGAGCATGCTCACCTGCTAGCTCAGGTCTCGCTTCCTTTTTTATGAAGACATCAGTCCCACTCCTATGATAACCCTGTGATTCATAAGGGAAGAACCTTCATGACTCAGTTACCTGTTAAAGGCACTGTCTCTCAATACTGACATACCGAGAATTAAATTTCAACACATGTTTTGGAGGGGACAAATATTCAAACTCTAGCAACTTCCCAGAAATTGACTCATTTCTGTTTCCTATGCAGCAGCTTCTTTACCTTTCAAAGGATCTGGTCATCCTAACTCCAGGCTGCTGAGACGGGTCTGAGCAAATCTAAACTGTGTCCTGGATTCCTGGAGACAAGCTTCATGCAAACCCCAGCATGAATGTCTCAGACTCGCCAGACCCTGCTTAGCTGGCTGGTTGTCTGAGAGCACAATTAGAAAAGAAATGGCTCTGAGGAGACAGAGGAGATGCGTAGCTAACTCTCACACACAATCTCACATACACCCACCTCACACCCTCACACACTTCTCAGACACTCACACACTCAATCTCCGACACACACACACACACACACATTCAGTCTCACACACACAGCGCATTGCACCAAGCATCTCCAGGTAGAGGTAATTAAAAGTTGATTTATGTCCTTCTGAGGCACTAAGACTGTAATGAATTTCTCCATGTTTCTGTGATTGCTTCTGTAAATGGGGATGCTGGCTTTTCTGGGGAAAAATATGGTGAAATAAATCTAAATTTTGCTGCAGTAAATATATATTAAGGAATATGTAACATTGGCCTGGATATTACAGGAGTTATAAAGAAAAAGCCACCTATGTGCTTGCCCTATACCATACATTTCCTCCATGATTACAGAAGGTGGGGAAGCACTTGCCTTTGTAAGTGTAGTGGATGGAGTTGATGTGAATCCAGATGCATCAGCATTGGAGACAAATAAAGGACAAACCTGGCAAGATATGATGAATCTGTGCTCAATCAAAATTCATTCGCCTGAATTCCAATTGGTTTATTCTTGCCGGGGTAAGAAATGGAACAGAAATCACAGGCATTTCAAAAGGTCATGTCCATCCAATCATCAACATTCTCTCTGGATGCCTCTCTAAAGTGCTCTTCTCTAAGTTTACCCTTTTATATTTTGTCTCTGAAACATGGTAGGTATCAGAATTAGTCCTTCACAGTTATAAATGCTGCTGTGTTCAGAACAAAGTCTGATCTTAGTTTCTGATCTCTGAACCCACAAGGGGTGTCAGTCTGTGTCACTCCAGGCAAGTGCTTTCATGTCTTGGGGCCTCAGCAAATAATGAAGCTAAAGCTATAGCAGCTCTTATAAACAAAGATAGATCCAATGATTAAATCTAAATTCATCAACCAGAAACACTCATTACTATTCAAAGTGCCCAGGGCCACCAAGAATTCTTCTAATAAACTTTCTTTCTGAGGTTCCTATGTCCTAAAAGCCACATGTCACTTATCAATAATAATAATACACCTTGCCATTTGAGGTTGACCAAAAATGTACTTAACTATAAAGCAGTGCTTCTGATGAGCAAGAGAAAACCTATGTCTGCAGGAAAACTATGATGTAATTCCAACCAAAAGTAATGACATTTAAGATTTGTGTTATGAATAACTGTATATTTTATGCTTGGAAAAATACATAGTGCTTATAACTTATAGAAGCTGCCATTTGACCCTGTGCTACCCTCATAAACGCTTTTGGGATTCAGGAGCCTTGAGCTGGGAAGTACTGGGTCTGGTGTTTTCTAAGGTTCTGGCATTCTATGCAATTTGGTCTAAGAAATTCTGGCTGCCAAGGGGAAAGGATATCAGGGACTCTCATTTCTTGCCAGTGAGAATGTCTAATCTTTGTGAAGGTCAATTTTGGAATACATTTTAAGAACCATAAAGTGGGTATAGAAGAAGTTCTAGTTTTAATGATGATGGAGTATCCTCCACTGGCCCAATCCTCCTGCAGATAAGATTTATAAACTCTGAACAAAATATTTTTAAAAAATTGAAAGCACTGGCAGAGAGAAACTGGAGTTTGACCTTTGAAAGAAGGAACTGCACCCGTGCTTCCTATGCTTACCCTGTTTTTATCTAAGGGCTCTCTCTAGTCCGCCAGGCAGAAAGCTGTGATCTTATTGCTTGAGGTGTCAGAGGACAGAGTTTGGGGCTGCCAGAGTGACTGGAAATTGAGGGGGATAAATCCTGGAAAGAGCTAAAGTTTTTAAAGCTGAATAATGATTTCAACCAATTGCCCATTGCTCAATGATTGGGAGACAGATTTTGGAGTTTAAATCCTATCAATTTTTCCAAAAGAGCTGTTTGGAAACATCTTGGGCATTTCACTAAAATCCTAGGAAGGGGTCATACCTAAGAGTAATAACTATGCCCCCAGGATTAAAGATCCTCCCTAAGACTAACGAAAAATCTAAATAGGCCTACCCTAAAGAGTATAAAACCAAGGTTCTGCAACTTTAAGGTGACATTCCATAATTAACTGATTGATGTTGCCAAAGGAAAACAATAGAATCCAGAATCTCTAAATCTATTATCCACAAAACACAGTATATAATAAAAACTTATAAACATGCAAAGAAACAGAAAAAAGTGACTCATACTCGAAAGAAAAAAAAAGTTAATAGCAACAAACTCCAAGGTACTCTAGGTGTTGGAATTAGTAGACAAGAATTTTTGAGTAGCTATTATAAATATGTTCAAGGACATAAAGGAAAATATTTTAATAATGAAGGAACAGATAGAAAATCAGAGAAGAAAATAGCAACAACTTGGGGTAAAACAAAAAACAAAAACAAATAGAGCTTCTAGAACTCAGAAATGAAAATTTCAGTGGATAAGCCTAACATTAGATTGGAGGCAACAGAAGAAAAGGTCAGTGAACTGGCAGAGAGCTCAATATACGCTATCCAATCTTAAGAACATATAGAAAATATTTTTTAATAAAAGAGTATCAGCGACATCTGGCATAATATCACATAGTTTAACATATGTGTAATTATAATTTCAGAAGAGGAATAGAGAGAAAATGTAATTGAAAATGTCTTATATTTGATGAAAAGCACTAACTTATAAACCCAAGGATCTCAAAACACTCCGAAGAAGATGAACACACACACACACAGGGCACACACACACTCACACACACATGCACAACACAGTCAAACTGTTGAAAAATTAAGAGAAAGAGAAAAATCTTGAGCAGCCAGAGGCACATTACCTGTGTGGGGCCAATGATATAAATCATATCGGTTTTTTTATCAGAAGCAATGAGGTCAGAGATGACAAAATTTTGTGGTAACGAAATAATAAATGCTGAAATTCTATGTCCAGTAAAATATATCATTCAAAAAATGAAGGTAATATAGACATTTTCAGTTAAGTGAAGCTGAGAGAATTCATCACCAGGATATATGAAAGAAAGTTCTTCAGGTTGAAGAGAAATGACATCAGATGGAAACTTGGGTATTGAGAATGGAAAGCAGATACCAAGATGTTAACAACCATGGATAGGTAAAATATGTCTGTAACCATAAAAGACTACTCTCTTTGTCTTTCTCTAATTTCTTTAAAAAATAATTGCCCATTGCTTATCCCTGTTGTCTATGTCATGTTATGCAAAGTGTATTCTCTAACTAAGTGGGTATTAGAAATCAACAACCATATAATATCTTAAAAATTTTCATGCAAAAATTAAGTAACACACTTTTAGGTTTATCAATATAGACTTAAAAATAAAAGCCTAAAACTATAAAACTTGTGGAAGAAAGCATAAACGATCTCTGCTACCTTGGGTTAGGCAAAGATTTCTTAGGATACAAAAAACACTACTCATACATTAATTATACATTTATTTTAGTAATAAATTTATTTTCATGAAATTCTTCTCTTTGAAAGAAAGAAAATGAAAAAGAGATAAGCCAAAGACTAGGAGAAAATATTCACAATATATTTATTTGGCAAAGGACTTATATCAAGTATACATGAAGAATTTCTATAAATCCATAATAAAAAATACATGGCCAAATATAAAAATAGGCCTGGAACAGCCTAGAGATAGGTCTAAGAAAAGGCCTAAAACAGACACTTTGCAAATGGTCAATAAGCACTTGCAAAGGTAGTCAACATAATGAGTAATTGGGGAAATGCAAATTAAAACCAGAACTAAATGCCGTTTCCCATGTACTAGAACAGCTCAAATTATAGAGATTAAAGACACAAAATGTTGGTGAGGACATGAAGCAATTCTCATACTTTGTTAGTGGGAACATACGCCACTTTGGAAAATTATTTAGTAGTTACTTATACATTAAACATCCACTTATGTATGGTTTAGCAATACTTCTACTTTCCAAAGAGAAGTAAAAACACTTGTCCACAAAATGACCTGTACTTGTTCTTACCAGCTTTATTCATGATACAGTAGTCCCTGCTTTTCCACAGTTTTGTTTTCCATGGTTTTTGCTACCTGTGGTTAATCATGGTCCAAAATTATTAAATGGAAAATTCCAGAAGTAAACAATTCATAAGTTTTAAATTGTGCCTTCTTCTCAGTATCATGATGAAATCTCGTGATGTCCTGTTTTATTCCACCAGGGACAGTGATACTCCCTCTGTCCAGTGTCTCCACGCCATATACACTTCCCACCCATTTGTCACTTAGTAGCCCTCTCAGTTATCAAATCCACGGATAGTGTCAATACTATCCACAGTCAGTGTATATAGGGGTCAGTACTGTCCACAGTTTTAGGCATCTACTGGGGAGTCTTGGAACCTATCCTGTGGATAGGAGGGGGACTACTGTACTACAAAATTGGAAATAGCCCAAATGGCCATCAGCAGGTGAATGACTAAACAAACTGTGCTATAATCATACAATGAATTACTTCTCAGCCAATCTGGGGACACATACAAGTCACCTCGGACCTTAATGCTGTGCCTGTGGTGAGAACAGGTCATGAGCAACCCCAGCCATAGACACCTAGGCAGGGACCCCATGAGGGTGGCACCTGAAGACCAGGAGGGAGAAGCTCTGCTTCCTTGGGAGGCCAGCCCCTTCTCCCCAGATGCCACAGGGCACACACACCCACTTCTCCTGGCACCTGGGCTGCATTTTGGGAAAGGAGGGGAGTGGGGAATCCTTGAGTGGCATCAGAAACTTAGAACCTTAATGAACGTAAGTTTTAATACAGTAGAGATTACTAATCTTTAGTTAGTAAAATGAAATATTTTGTTGCCACCAATAGAAAGGGGCTGATATGGTTTGGTTCTGTGTCCCCACCCAAATCTCACCTTGAATTGTGATAATCCCCATGTGTCATAGGAGGGACCCAGTGGGAGGTAACTGAATCTTGGGGGCAGGTTTTCACCATGGCATTCTTGTAGTAGTGAATAAGTCTCATGAGATCTGATGGTTTTATGAAGGGGAGTTCCCCTGTACATGCCTCTTGCCTGCTGCCATGTAAGAAGTCCCTTTGCTCTTCCTTCGTCTTCTGCCATGATTGTGAGGCCTCCCCAGCCATGTGGAACTGTGAGTCCAATAAACCCCTATCCTTTATAAATTACCCATTCTCAGGTATGTCTTTATTAGCAGTGTGAAAACAGACTAATACAGGGACCTTAAGTGTAAGACAAGTTTAGACATATACATAAAAAAATTAAAGTTAAATATTTTTGCACTTCTGACATGCAGCTGAGCTACGCTTGTGTTTCTAGAGGATCTAAATGTCAGCGATGGGCTCTGAGAGGAGGTGAAAGGAGGTAAGAGGAGAGACCTGAGTGTCCAGAGACCGCAAGCACTCCACGTCTAGATTTTCAGGTTCCTATTATTATTATTATAATACTTTTAAGTTCTAGGGTACATGTGCACAATTGCACATGTAATAAAAATGCTACAGCAGGTCTCATTGAGCTGTCTTAGCTTAAGGTAAGCAATGCTCCCTTTGTAATTCAAGTTAATCAGTGCAATTTTGCCTCCAGAGAAAGGCTGTTTTCCACACTGACTTAGTATGGGCTCTGAGAAACAATATGTCTGCATTTTCTCAAATATTACAATTTATGGTTAAAATAAAATCTTGTTATTCTCACGAAATCCTGAAGGTCTTTAAGTGTTTTCCTTCCATGTCAGAGTCCAAAATCCTGGAAAGGCCCTGGTCTCTTCTCCAGGAAGGAATGGCAGGAGGAACCTCCCCTTCACCCTCCCCTCACCCTACCCACCCCGCCCCCTTACCATCAAGAATAACCAGTGGATGAGAGGGGCATGCCAGTGACCTTAGATTCAAGATAAAAGCACGTGACATTCTTTCAAAGCCAGATAATTCTATAGACAAGTTGGAGCTTGGGTGAGCAACCATCCTAGTTTCCCCAGGGCTATTTGGGTGTTAACACTGAAAGTCCCACATCTCCGGAAATGTCTCAGACCCAGCAAGCAAACCAGGAATGGTTCTCCTGCCAGTAGGTCAGGACTTGTGGGTCAGAGGTCCTCCCTGCCCCCAGGGCAGCTGCCTCCTCTCCTGACCGTTGGAAAGGGCTCTGATGCACTGATCTACACCCTGGTTCTCCGGGCTGTGTGTTATCTCTGACGGCAGCCCCTGTGCCGCCAGCCTACCACCGCCACACCGTGTTAAATTTCAACCACAATCTGCTGCCTTGGCTCTTCTTGGTATCTCTAGCCCAACGACAGCAGGCTACTTCCCAAGAACACCGAGAGTTTAGAAAGTTTTTTGTTTTTTTGTTTTAACATCTTTGAGTGATCTGTAAATTTACTAACCTATCAATTCTGATGATGGAGTCTCTTTTCTTTGTTGTTGCTGTTGTCTAAATTAGAGCTATATAATTCCAAAATGCTTGAACATGATATGGCACCAACATTCACTTCACTACCCCAAGCTTTTACCCTCAAGTAAAAGATGAATTCAGGAACATGAGTTTTTTTGTTTAGTTTCTGGTCAGTGGGCATCCTGGTGGGGTAAAACATAGTAACAAGAAAAGGAAGAACATGTAGATGGTCATTGCTTTTCAGGTGCATTGCAGAGGCTTCTCTCTGAAGGGTGACTACAGTTCTATACGGCCATGTCAGTCCACCGGCATTCATTCATTCATTTATTCATTCATTCATTCAACACATATACATTGCTTGGCAAAGTGCTTCTGAGATGCAACCAAAATAAAAACCCTGCCAGGATTCATTATGGCTGTGGTCTCCCTGTACTAAACCTCACATCCATTTTTGTATTTGATGTGTCCTGCAAACTGCTGTGTAAATGGGAGTTTTATGAGCAAATAGAAGGACCTGGCAATAATGCTGCCGTCTTAAGGAATAGAAGAGCCTGTTGTTGCACAATAGAGAGCCAGGAACAGAAATCGGTGAAATCGGCTCCAACACTGCCCCTCCCCCAATACACCCCAGGCACACTTCTGCTTGACAGATGCCAAGGCCTTGATGCCAGGACTGGGTTTCCAAGGCACCAACCCATTTGTAAGGTGGCACTACAAGGATTCCTCAAGTTCTGAATTAATTCCACATAGCAGACAATCCTGCATCACAGATTTGGAGTGCAAGCAACAGAATTTGCATCTGTGAACTCCAGCAGAGGGCCTAGGTGCTAACAGTTCTGGCAGTTCTCTGAGCCATGCAAAAGACTGGGTCATCGAGTTTGGGAATGAGATTGCTAGGGGCCTGAGAATAGGAATGGCAAAATGTGGTCAGAGTTCATTGCTGAGGTGAACAAGTAAGCTCCCAAGTCTCAGAGAGCAGCATCCCAGCCACAGACCGTGCTGGCATGTACCAAGAAAGGAGAAGAAGCACTGGTCCTCTTGCTCCTGCGTAGGCTGGCATGTGGATCCACCCCTTCTCAAGGTATCACACAAGTGCAGGGGCCAGAGGAAACCAGGGGCTGCAGAGGTAAGGGTCAATGTGGGGTGGCCCCAAAAACAGCTCTCCTGACAAAGTTTTGTGGCTTTTTTTGTTGCTAGGCTGCTTCAAGTATCACTCAGGGATGTAGAAGACTGTCTCATAGGTCTTAACTATAACTATCTGAGTCTGAATAATGGCTCCCAAAGACATCCACAAATCCCTGGAACCTGAGAATGTTACCTTACACGGCAAAAGGGACTTTGCAGATGTGATTAAGTTGAAGATCTTGAGATAGAGAGGTAGTCCTGGATTATCTGAGTGGGCCCTTAACGTAACCACTGGGGTCCTTATATGAAGGAGGCAAGAAGGTTAAAGAAGGGATAGCCATGTGACGATGGGGCAGACACTGGAGTGATGGACTTTAAGTGGAGGAAGGGTCCACAAGCCAAGGAACGTTGGCCATGTCTAAAAGCCGGAACAGACAAGGAAGCTGATCTCCCCAAAGCCCTGCCGAAACCTTGACTTTAGCCCATTGAAACAGATTTCAGGCTTCTGGCCTTTGGGAACTGTGAGAGAATACATTTGTGTTTTGTGTTAAGCTACCAAGGATGTTAGAGCAGCCATGGGAAAGGGGTGCTGTTTGCATGAGAAAAGCAGGAAGACAGAGAGAGGAACTGTGTCAGCCTCCTGGTCTGTGGGGAGCCACATCCCAGGAACCCCAACCTCTGCCTTTTGCTGGGAAACATTCTCCCAGTCTCCCAGTCTGAAACACCTCCCTCAAATCCCAAAAAGACAATGGTGGGAATCCTCCAAGGTCCAGCAGAGCCTTGGGACAAGATGCAATCTTTCGCTAGCCCCAAGTGGGTGGGTTCACCCACCCTCAGCTCCAGCAGGTAGGCCCTTCTGAATCTCAGGCTGGCTGAATAGGTTCCAGACGCAGGAGGGAGCCCCCCCACCCCCTCTGGCAGCTGGAGTGTGTGCTGGAGATCTGGGCATGGGCTTGCCCAGGCAAAGAGTGGAGAAGCTTTTATAGGAAAGCTGTAAAAGCAAGCAGGGTTGACCTGGGCACTCCCCCAGTTCCCATGAGTCTGGGGCCCACGACTGGCTCATCGATTGCTTGAACAAGCACACATCAGAGACATCCAGATCAGAATGGAAGCTGCTCAAGGCTCAGATGATCCCTGAGCCACCAACGTTATCCTGGAGGTTCTTATCACAGAGTATGGGAAATGCCATACTGGGCTGTGGGTTTGCAGAAATCCTCCAAAAGATGCAGAAACAAGTCCAGCTGAAAATGGAATGCTTCCTGATGGCTCATTTTGTTCCAGCCTCAACCCAAAGGTATCTATCACAATATTTCTTGTACAATGGGTTGTGCAGCGGGGGGAAGGGAGATGCTTTACAGGCATAGTGTGGGGTGAGGTACATTTCGTAACAGCTCTTGTTTACTGAGATGGCTTTCTACTGACAAAGAAAAAAGTCCCGAAAAGAAGGGGGCCTGTTAATTGTTTGCTTCCTTTTGCTTTTTTGGTTACAACAGTAAAAACTGTCCTTCAAATTTAGTCCCAGAAGACATCAGAGTTTGACAATGACAAGTGGGGAATAGAAGTTCCTGGGCTATCAGCTTCGCGGCTCCCTCCTCTACATGTGGGCTCGGGGACACAGAGCTGGTCCCTGCCCAGTCTCGGAGGCCAGAGAATCAAGTTCTGGGTGTGTGAGACTGATGGGACAGGCTTCCTCTGACCGAGTTGGGCAACTTGGGGCTTTTAACTGCCTTGGGAATGAGGGTGGGTGCCTTAAATGAGGAACTAAGACAGGCCCTCATTTCCCAGCAGGGATGCCGCTCAGCCTGCAGAGTTCCCCGTTCCCAAGGCTTGTGAAGCAGGAGACAAAAGAGGGGCCTTCCTCAGGACACTGTTGTGGGGTGGGGTGCTCACTCGCTCTCCTGTGCCCATGTACTCCTCTCCCCCTCTACTTCCCTCTCTTTGGGAATCCCTATGGGGCAAGTACAGGGAGATGGGAAGAAGTGGGTGGGATGGATCTGGGCTAATGACGAGGGCAGCCTCTTCCCCCCTCGGGTCTCCCTCCACCCTCTTCAGTCCCTAGTACCTGCTGGGACCTGCCTCCTTAATAGGTAACCCCTACAGCTCTCCTCGGCCAGTCTCTGCACACTGCGCCCATGGGTTCCCGATGCCACTGCCCTCAGAACATGCAGTCAGAGGCTCTGGGGAGCTAGAGGTTCAGGTGGGTGTAGAGAACACCACACATATCCTCCCAGGGCAGCCAGGACATCCCACGGGGAGGCAAAGAGGGTCCTGTCCTGGGCTTCCTCCACACTCAGACCACTTCCTCACCTGCCCACCAAGCAGCAGTGTGCATGGTTAATGGAAATTGGCATCTCTTCTATCCATGTGAGGAACCACCAAGACCTACTAGCTAGGTTTACGATCCAGGTTCTAGATACCAGGGGTTAGGAGGGAAGGACCCCCAAGACCTACTAGCTAGGTCTACAATCCAGGTTGTAGATACTATGAGTTAGGAGGGAAGGCCCAGGAGTGCCATTCCCCAGGTTCAAATTCCAGCTCCAAGACTCACCCTGTGTGTGCCCTGGCATAACTCAAGGTGCCCTCAGCTTCCCCATCCTTAAATGGCAAGGTTTCGTACTTGCCTTTAGAGCTGCTTGTGGGGATTAAATGATACCTAGTTGCCAAGGGCTTTGCACCGGCCCTAGTATGCGGTAGTGCCAGTTACAGAGGAGGAAACAGAGGCTCAGGGAGATTGAGCACCTCGACTAAAGAGAGGAGTGGAATTTCAGTCCAGGAGGTCAGGCTGTCTTTCCGAGAGCCGACACCCACCAGCCTTTGGTGGGCTTGAGAACACGTGGGGCCTGCCATCCACGCTGCTGGCATGCATCAGGTGGTGTCAGGTGGGTCCTCGCACAGTGAATCCTGAGCAGAGGGCAGGGGGACGAGGGGGCGGCTGGAGCCCAGTTCGCTTTTGCGAAGCACTTCCTGAACTGCACATTCGGTTACCACAAAATGAGTCAAGGTCCCTTTTAAGTGGCTTGCTGAGCTTCCCTCTGATCTGGCACTGTCTCCCTGGGATGGCCGGCAGCAGGCTTCCCTGACGAGCTGTCAGGCCTGGCACCGGAGCCCCTTCCCTGGGCACCAGCTCTGCACGAGCACCCCTTCACTCTTCCTCATGACAATTCCATGAGGCAGGGGCTGGTCTTGTTTCCACTTTAAGTGGGGAAACTGAGGCTCAGAGAGGTTGGGTGAGTTGCCTTGGGTCACACAGCTTAGTCAGGTTCAGAGCTGCAACCTGAACTCTGGCCTGTCTGGTTCTTAGCTGTTTTGCTTGCTCTTCTGCCTGGCTCATGGCAGTGAGGAGACCCACGCTCACCTTCGCTGCCTGGGTCAAGTAGCTGCCTGGGACCTCTCTATGGACCCATTTGCAAATCAAGGATGGGGAAGTGAGGTTGTGGGGATGAACCATTAGAAGCAACTTCTCATGTCCCAGAAGGAAACAGGGGACTGTGCTTTCCAGGATGAAAATACAAGGGCCCCCTGATGGACTAGTGTCCTCCCTATGGATTGAGTCCCTCTAAGAAATGGGTTGCTCTCCCCACAAACAGGCTTAGCTTAAAGACCTTGTGTTTCCTGGGCAAGAGAGGCACCCACAAAAGGCCTTCACTAAAACCTGGCTTCAGGCCCAGGGCCCTGGTCCGGATGCAGAGGAGGCCTCAGCTGGGAAGGGTCCGTCCTCCTGGGGCTTGGGGGGTGGGGGTCATGCTCTCCTGGAAATGGGCTGCCCCAAGACCCACATGAGTCTTACCCCAGTGTCTCCTTTAGAGTCCTGGAGCAAGAAGGAGGGATTCCCAGTGATATCTGGTGAGTAAGAGAGAAAAGGAAGCGGGTACATCCAGAAACACAAGCACAGTCTGTGAACACCGTCAGACAAGAGGGCCTGAATGGCGCCTGTGGTGATTGGGTCTTTTTGTTTGCTTTTGTTTTTGTCATTGTTGTTTTGAGTCAGTTTAGGAGTTTTTTTTAGTAATGACTACTGGGAAACTCAGAGGGAAACACATACACACACACACACACACACACACACAAACACATGAAAGAACAACAATGCGGGGTGATGACCACGGCTCAACCAAACGACATTTTCATCATCCTGACACATCTTGTTGAAACGGAAACAGATCTGGGCCTAAGGTCCTCACATCATTTTTCCTGATTCTCTTTGTCTGTTTTTAAAAGTAACGTTCAATTAGAGAAATAACGCATAGCCCTCCTTGTAAAATACTACAACGTGATAAATAAGGCTCAAGAACTCCTTGGCTGCTGTCTGGACCGAGGGTCCCTCCCCAAGCCAGCCACTGTGCTCTATTTTCTGTGGGTCTTTGCAGTCTGGGTCGAACTTTTTAAGCATTTCATTGCTACTACTTAGCTTTTGAGAGTGGGTTCAGCGCTCGTGACTGAAGCATATGCTTAGAGAACAGTGTCCCTGAAGTCAAATCTCAAACTTTGCCTCAATGCCTCTTGCCTCAGAAGGGCCCAGAAAGGTCTGAATTGCCCTGAGAGTTTTCCTCCAGACAATAGCTCAGCCTTCTGTGCCCAGCCATGTTTGCAAAACTTTCTCACACACCCCTCAGCTAGTCCTTCACAGTCTAAGCCTAGGCTGCTGGGATACACATTTCTATTTTGCAGATAATGAACAGAAGTCTCCACAGAGTTAAGAGTCTTATACAAAACTACCTACCCTGGCTGGTTTTTCCACTATAGCAGGGACTCCTTTCCTCCAAGTCCCGCCTCCACACCGAGGTCTCAGGTGGCGAGGGCCTTCCAGGCATGAATGTCCCACACCCGTGCTCCTGTCAGAGTCCTCACACTCCCTGACCAAGCTGCCTAAGTTCCAGGAAGCTCTAGGCCTGTGTTCTCCCAGGGAGGGGGGCTTCCCATCTAGTCCCTCAAACCAGGAGCCCGGGGGTATTTGTGAGGTTCTGGGAGACTCTAGGAGACCATAAATACCAGACCTTTAAGCAAGCATGGTCAGCAGCTGGTGATAAAATTGAAGGAAAGAGACACAGCAGCCTGCATTTCAACCCTGCCCTCTCCACACCCTCCAAACTGAGTACCTGGGGTTGCAGGGAGGCAGGGCCACCAAAGTCCCCAGTGGGACCGCAGTGTGGCTCTGAGGACGGAGCTGGATATTGTAAGGTTGGCAGCAACTCAGGCCAGTACTCTCAAGTGGGAACAGTTGGGAAAACAGGTAGAAAGAAAAGACAGCATGAGAATCTCTAGGACGGGAGCCAGCGCAGTCTTCCCAAAGAATATCGTGCAGACATGCTCTGCACACAAACCTTCCCTTCCTAGAGATCCAGAATATCTAGGAAGATTCATGTTCATCAGCATTATGAAAGCCCTGAGAAGTCCTGCAGTCATGGAATAATATAATAATAACGATAATAATAGCCCAAGGTTTTCTAAACTTACTAGTCCAGAGAACTCTTTTCTAGCGAAATGCCTATTGCTGTCTCCCCATGGAGCACATGTTGTGACTGCTGGCCTGGCCCATCTGGGGTAAGGAGCGATGTTGGTCACAGTGCTTCTTAAGCAGCTGTGAACTTCCACAGCCTCACTGCAATGGCCCTGGCCCCCAATCTTACTTCTGATAGGTTAGACAGATGCAATGTCTAAAACCCTCAATTACTGATAACACTTTTAGTGATGACTTAGATCTCAAACTATGGGGTCTCAAACTATGGCCCGTAGGCCAAATCTGGCCCTCTGCCTGTTTTTAAAAATAAAGTTGTATTAAAACACACCTTGGGCCATTCCTCTATGTATTACCGGTGGCTGCTTCATGCTACAATGGCAGAGTTGAGCCGTTGTGATAGAGACCATGCAGCCCAGCAAAGCCTAAAATGTTTACTCTCTGGCCTTTAGAAAAAATGTTTGCTGAACCCTGGCTTAAACAGAAAATCAAAACTCACCTGAAGGACTGGTTCTGTAAAGTCTCAATAGCATGGGAAATTTAGATTTAAAATCTCTGCAATTTGGACCAATCCACGTTCTGCCGTGGTTGTGTTGTTGATGTAACGGGCCCAGACTACAGCTCAAGTGTAGACAAGGGTGTGTGTGTGTGTGTGTGTGTGTGTGTGTGTGTGTGTTCATGGAGAGACTGGGAATAGGAACAGGATGGGGAGGAAAGAGAAATGCTTTATGGCTTAGGAATATTGAATTCGGAGCCAGAGCAGGGGAAGTTGTGCCACCCTATAAGCCTCAGCTTTGGTTGTATGAGAAACCTGGAGATAATGTAGCTGATGGCACAGGGTTGTTGTGGGCAGAAAATGAGCTCCTGTGAGCAGAGCACCTCTGCTGTCTCTAGGAGACTCAGCAAGTCCTGGGGACTCCTCCGCATTTCTTCTTCAGTGCCCAGGGTGCATTAAGTGCTCAACAAACGGGCTCCTATTCGGGAATTACTCAAGCGACACACAATCTTATTTGGGGAACAGACAATATCTGGGCAAGATAAAACTTCCCTCTTTCCTTTCAAGGTTGGACATTACGTGCTAATTTGGGTCATCTCCTGAGTGTGACCTTCAGCCAGCCATTGGTCACCTTACGTGCAAGTAGGGCATGAGTGGCATTCCATGTATAAACCACGTGACAGCTCGGAAAGCAGACGGTCCTGTAAGTGTAACCCACAGACTGAAAATGACCCATGGCAAAGGGCAATGCGTGCATGATTTTTATGCTGGAATTCATGATGGAACATTCTGGATTCCTCCCAGCAAACCTGAGCTGGCCTGCTCTGTTGGGCAGCGAGGTCTGCTCAGAGAGACGCTGGTGTTTATCTGCCACATCCTTTAGTTTTTATTGCACTCAGTCGCCTTGTATATTTAATGAGGAAATTTGCTGAAATGGTTACTAAGCCACAGGGGGAAAAAAAGGAAGGAGGTGGGGAGCCACTCTCCGACCCTGAAGTTGGCAAAGTTGCCTCATTAATCAGACCTGTGCTGGGATACGACGTTATTCATGTTTAGGGCATTAAAACTTGAAGCTAAAATTGTAGCAGGCGGTAATTTGAGTACAGGCAGCCTGTCTCTCTGCGATAGATTTATGATGTTTACTCAACAATGGATGGGAACTTTCAGGGAAAGACTGACCGCCCCCAACCCCCGCCTTTTCAAAACACATTGTCAGGCCACAGTGATCAAGTTCCCGATTTTTGTGTGAGTATGCAGAGCCTTTTTAAAAGTCTTCAGGGTGATAAGAGCAGACTGTATTCGATCTTCTCCATTCTGAGCTCAGCGGAAGTAGGAAAATATGCAAGGCAGATGGAATGAGCTGTCTACCAGGCGAATGGTGGTTGCCATGCTCTCTGACTACACTGCTCTTCCTGAAGTGACCGGTGCAGTGCCACCCCCACCGGCCTTGATGTTGAATCTGGAACATCTGGTCACTGTGTCACCTCATCAGGACCTCAAAGAATTCCCGACAAAAGCTTTCATGTTCCCGGCTGAGGGTCTTGCTTTCCTGTGCTTCAAGGTTACAATTCTTGGAACTGATTGCTGGGAATTTCAGGAAAGTGAGGGTTCCCATTTTCCAAGTTTTCCCACCTCCTTTCTGTCATGACACACAGACAGACGGAGGCCACATCCATCTCTGTCAGTCCAGGCAGACTTTGCCTTCAGGTCTCACATAGCAAAGGAAGAGGCATCAGCCTAGCCTTGGGTCTTGCCACTCAGATGGGAAGCCCTTTCTGTAAGAGGATTCCTTTAAGATGTGGCACAAAGAACATTTATACTGCACTTGGACAGGAAGGCCCCCAAGTGCATGAAAGCACTTTACAGTGTTCATCTCCTCTCCCTGGCACAGGTGTAGCAGAGGTGAGACCCAGTTCTGGTCACTCTGGCTGTTAGCTTTGCTTTTAGCTTTGCCCTGGGCCTGGTGTGTTGGTGATGAATTGCAGATAATACCACCAACCACATAGGGCTGTTTTGCAAACTAAGTTGACATTTTAAGCAGTTTGGTTAAACAAACCAACTTTGAGTATGGGCTCTGCCACCTCCTAAGGGAGTCATTTTGGGTAAGTTACTGGCTCCCTCTGATCTTTATTTCACCATTGTGAGATGGGATGAAGCTATTATCTGCCTCACTGGGCCATTGCTGAGTATGTGGAAGTGCTTTTTTTTTTTTTTTTAAGACAAAATATGCTAGTAGATTTTCAATAAATGTTAGGTTCTATTCTCAATATTATGGAAAGATGCACTTCTTGAATTTGGGGAAGAAACAAAGGAGATTGTATTTTATGCCAAAGTCATAAGCGCTGACGCATATCAAACCACAAATATTTCTATCATCCAGGCTGTGGGGGGATCAACATGTCACCCCATCATGTGACAGTTAGATAAAGGATATGAAAGTCCTGCCTAGAGTGGACACTATAATTTTGTAAGCTTTTCTTTAAGAGGGTCTCTGACTTTTCAGTCTTCTGTGTTTGTTTTGTCATTTAAGTTCATGTGCTGCAACGGATTTAAAGTAGACACTACTTCCCTCTGCCCTGCCCGGCAGTTACACATGAGAATTTTTCAGTTTGAACTAAATACAAGGAATATTAAGTTAGACTTAAAGAAATAGCCCCCAACTTGCAACAAGTGGGGCAGTAAATAAAGGGAGCCCTTTTCTACAGGGGCTGAATGGGAGAGGAGAGCTAAAGGAGTTTGGGAGGTGAAAGCAACTGTAATGATTTATCATCAGGGAAGACTTATTTACCCATGGAAGGAATACTTTAAAATCTACCTTTCTCATAATAAGGTATGCTCATATGCACAGCACAACTTAAATACAAGTATTTATGTAGTTTTGCAAGGAGCTTGCAAGGTTAGAAACACACACACACACACACATTTGAACTATGTTCAGTAACACTACCTATGCAGTCTTTGAAAAACTACTATAGATCATCTGGCTAGGGAACTGTGAGTCTCATCTGTACCCACATGATCCCAAAGAGGAGGGGCCCTGTAGAAACAAGAACCAACCAACAAAAAGCAGTGACAACAGGCACCATGACAACAAAAGGAGTTTTAAAGTGCATCTTCAAATAGCACACAATTTTCCAATTTAAATAGTTTGGAATGAATCAAAGGGAAAAAAGCATTAATTAGATACAACTGAATTTCTCAAAAGTATATTAACACAGCCTACAAATAAATCCTCAAATGTACCACTCTCAACAAATCTTGTATTGACTGACATTCTCTGTCAACTAGAGAGGATGCAGGCAGGAAAATGAATGAAATTTCCATTCTTCAGTGTTTACCTGATGTCTCAGGTTGTTTGCTTTGGGGGAGTGGCTGTTTGCAGGGCTATGGGAATTTGTGAAACACTTTGCTAGTGAAGCCAGCTGAGGCCTTCGGGACCAAATCGCCAAATGAATGACAGAGGATCCTTGCAGTAGCTTTGTCTGTCTGCAGAGCGGACTCCTGTGAGTGTTCATCACATTTAAAGAAGTAACATGCCGGGAGAACGGAAAAGGGTGCTAATGATTTACAAGCGAAGATAAGATATTATTAGGAGTACGAGGTCAATCAGATAAAGATACCATACACACAACTTGGACTTGGGCCCATTCTTTAATTTATTCTGAAAGGAAGAGGAGGAGGAAAGGATGGGGCCTGAGAGTGTTAGCAATTGGCTTCCCGCAAGCTGCCTGTTTTAACACTCCTTGTGATTTATTTCAATCTCATCTTTTACAAAGGTACGGCAATTTGTTCCATTTTCCTGCTTCCTTCTCCTCTTCCTCCTTCTTCTAAGATGGCAGAGAGAAACTTTCTTACAGGTCCCAGCAACACTGCCGTATAGCTTAGAAGACTGGAGATATTTATTCTCAATGTCCTCAGTTTACTTTGCAACTGGAGCATTATTTGAAAGACGGCCTGCCAGCATTCAACTGAACAGACACAAATGCAGGTATGAATAGTGAGGGGAGAGAGTGGTTTGAAGGCTGGGGTTGCTGTCAGGTCTGATGAACCCTCCAGCACTCGCCATCATCGGCTACAATGTTGAGGAGACTCCATCACAACCTCAGATCAAAAGTGTTTCTTTGTTCCTCCAAACCTTCCAAAGCACTTTATGGACCTTGTATTTGGACAACACCTCCATGAAGCTTGGAAGCCAATAAGTCACATCTTCATTGAACAATTCATGAAATTACAGGGCAGACGTGAAATATGACCTTCGAGGGAAAAGCTGGCGGTGGAGCCCAGAACTTCATTTTGCTGGGATGGTTCCCTGCCGTTATTCTCCTTTCTCACGAAAGGATCCTGCAGTCAATTTACGGCATTTGTAAATAAAGGCGGCTGTGTCAGCCTCCTGCCTGGAGAAAGGAAGGCAGCACCTTGAATGCTGAGAGTGTATCTCAGGCTTACTCTATACTTCCATTACAATATCTCAGAAGTTATAACAGATGAAGATGGGGCGAGGTGGTCAAGGTAAGACCGGGGTCAGCAGGGCAATGGCGTGTGAGGAGTTTCTCATTAGAAAACACAAATGGGGATTTGGATTGGTTGTTTTTCTTGTCTCAGAAATCTTCTTCAGAATGACCTCCCCACCCCTGCTTTGTCTTTGAAAGTTTTGCCATGTTTGAATTGGCATACTTACACATTGTAATGATTTTTCTTCCATCAATTAAAAACAAAGCTATTTTTTGGCCAAGTGTCTCCTGAAGCAAAGTTAAGAAACAGAATAAGAAGGTTTTGAGTCACGCACAAGACTGAAAATTAGCTAATAAAAACCCTTTTCCCCCCATTTCCTCAAAACTCAGTTCTCAGAAAAACAATTCTGGATGCACCCTGTTTACCAGCAAGGTTAAAAGTTCAAGAAAAGAAAGACATCACAATATTTACACTCAGGCAAATCACTGTTCATCTACCGCGTCTGACCCTGCAGATTTGGGAGCGGGCCGCTGTCCTGCCTGTCAAAGGGAGAGGAAGCAGTGTCTGTCTGGCTGGCCCTATATTTGCTCCTGTTGTCTCACTCTCTGCCACCAGTTTTGTTTTTTGTTGTTTGTTTGTTTTTGTTTATTTGTTTTTTCTAAGACTGCCGGCATCCCTTCTTTCTAGATCGTCTTGTCTTTCTTTTGATATTTTATTTTCATGGATAAGATCGCTAGGACCCCATCAGAGTATTTTTCTGATGGCACGATGCTACTACTTTCTGATATATTTATTTCATTCTCAATATTTGAATCTATGAAATAAAATAATAGTGATAATAGCCACCATTTATTGGGTTTGTGCTTTGTGCCACGCATCATGCTGAGTGGGTTTGCACATTATTGCAAAGATCCCTCTGTGCTGCTGGGGTAGGTGTCATTCTCCCAGTTTATGGGTTTGGAAACCAAGGCTCAAAGAGCTCCAACAACTAGCAGGAGGCTAAGCAGACCAGACCTGGGCACTTCTCCACTTCCTTGGCCTTCCAAGAGGGGCCCCAGCACTGGTCTTCAGTCTTCAGACCTAGGTCATTCTTGCCTCAGGGAGAGACAGATCAAGGAAAGTCAGGTGGTTGTTAGCTAACAAGAGCAACGTTCTTCCAGAAGGGCAACAGGTGAGGGCCAGGGCTGAGGGCCATGCGGGCAGTGGGCAGGGAGCTCCTGCTTCTGGAGGCCAGGTGGGCCACCCCTCCACCCATCAGCATCTTGCAGCCAGGCAGATCCCTGTGGAGGCCCGACAGTGACAGAAGGAAAAGCCCCCAGCAGCCTGGAATTGGCCTCACTGAGAGTGTCTCCAGGGAGAAACATACTGGGGATGCCAGCAGCCCAGAAGGCTGAAGAGGGAGCTCATCACTTCTCCATCATAGTCACTGCACACAAAAGTTGGAGCCAGAAGCATCCACAAGTGCCCCTATCCAAGCAGGGCAGGAGGAAGGAAATCCATTCAGTGATTCCTCCCTCCCAAGGCCTGACTATGCAGTAGGAGCTAGCTGGGCTAGAGAGACACAGCCAGGGCCCATCCTCAACAGTCAGGGTGCTGGGTGGATCTGGTCTATGCTTGCTGCCTGTGGGCCTGAGGCCCCGTCCCACACAGCAACACCATTGCACCCAGTGGCTTCCCAGTGCAGCCATAGTGGATGCCCAGGGACAGACAAGGGTGAGACCCTCCTCCCCACCAGCTCCCAAGGCACAGACATACCGCAAACATACATACTGCATACACACAGAGGCTTATCCTGTGGTGGTGCCATGTGGAGCCATGCTTGAGTCTGCAGTGGGTCTGGGAACAACCACAAACAAGCTCAGGAAGCACACATGGCATCACATGTCACCTATAGCCACTCCACACACCAACACACATGCACACAGGTACCAGCATATACCCACCGCACACACCCACACACATCACAAACACCTCACTCCATATGCAACATATGCAACCCACCCCCAGCCACACACAATGCACATGTACCACAAACATACATACTGCATACACACACGTGCTACAGAACCCTACTCTCATACTGCACACGTCATACCCACATCCAGCCACATCACATACTACATCCATGCACACATCCACTAAGACACCCACACTTATATCCGCCCATGCATTCCCGCACACCATACCACACCACACATGCAAACACACAGGCATGTATGCACAAGCATACACACATACCATAGATGTGCACTCACAGATGCACGCAACCACCCCACGTGCATACAGGCACCCATGCACCAGACACCCCGTGTCCTCTTCTGCACCCACACCTGTGTCACACATGCAGGTACACAGAACCCATATGACCATGTCTCACACCCATACCCACACACCCCGAACACACACATGCTTGAGTGCACACTTTTGTTCTCACCCCCCCATGGCTGACTCTGCTTCTAGTAAGGCAGCCTTTCCAGAACTGTCGAGGAACTGCCAAACACCCTTTCTTTTAGAGATGACCGTGTGTTGAGGAGTCAGTGTTTGTAAAGCAACTTCTTGGGGAAATATAATAGCAGATATAAGGTAATATAAGTGAGGGTATCCAAGCCAGATAGGAATCATCAAGCAAGGGCACGCTCGAGAGTGAAAGGCGGAGCTGAAAGGAATTATGAACTCATTTCTAATAGGCATGGACAGGACCACCTTGAGTGAACTTGGGTACATGGTCACCTCGCCTACAGGGACTAGGGACAATGCTTACAGAATCAGTGTGTCTGCTGCCTATCAACCCTCTCGGATATAAAATAATGGGATAGGAGTTGGTGGCGAGGGCTGGAGGTAGAAGAGTCGTAGTTTTTGATGGTATATTTTCCTGATTTGTGCATTCCCTTCTCAGATTCCCTTCTGGCAGGTGGAACTCATTTCTCACTAATGTCCTTGCTGCATGTTGGTGATTCTCAAATGTTCCATCCCCCGCTCCATCCCCCTGGAGTCCTGCCTGGGGGCCCAGGAGTCCCTGTCTGATGTTTCCACCCTCTGACCAGTGCCTCTGAAGAATAAAGACCGAATTCACTCCTCTAGCAGGTACTCGGCACCTAGCTGAGGCGAGCATAAAGAGCAGAGCTAGCAACTGTGACAGCCCCCTGGGATCTTGCTGAAATGCAGATTCTGGTGCTAGGGGGTCAGCGTGGGGCCTCTCCCTTTTTGACCCAGCAACATCTATTTATTTATTTATTTATTTATTTAAATTTTTTTGAGATGGAGTCTCCCCTGTCACCCAGGCTGGAGTGCAATGGCATAATCTCGGCTCACTGCAACCTCCACCTCCTGGGTTCAAGTGATTCTCCTGCCTTAGCCTCCCAAGTAGCTGGGATTACAGGCACACGCCACCAAGCCTGGCTAATTTTTTGTATCTTTAGTAGAGACAGGGTTTCACCATGTTGGCCAGGCTGGTCTTGAACTCCTGACCTCGTGATCCACCGGCCTCAGCCTCCCAAAGTGCTGGGATTATAGTTGTGAGCCACCGTGCCCAGCCACAACATCACTTTTGAGTAGTGGACAGTTTTCAGAGAACAACATCCACCCTCATCCCAGCCCATGTGGATCCTCACACAGCCCTGGCGGGAGGCAGGGCCAATGGAAGCCACCAGTGTCCCCTTCTGAGGAGACTCCAGTGGGGTCTGCAGCAGGAACGGATGCCAAGCGCTCAGCACCCATCAGTCAACTTCCAGTCGCCCTGTTTTCAGCCATTGTCTGGTGTCACCCTTCCCAACTGTTGCTTACCATTCACAGTCCTTTTTAAGGAAGAATGACATTTGATTTTACACACCTACAAAATACAAAATGGCAGCATAATAGAGGGATAGGGAGAAGCTCACTGCTCTGGACTTAAATATGGGATGCAGCATCACATGACCAGTTTTGTGATATGGGAAAAATTGATTGTCCTCACTAAAACTCAGTTTTCTTAACTGAAACAAAGAGGTGATCACCTTGCCTCTGGGGCCTGCTATGCGCACTGGAAAATAACATTGTAAACCACCAAAAATGTCTCCAGAGAAAGCTAGAACCTTAGATGGTAGCTGGGATGATTATAAAGGTGCATATGTATTAATCCATCTATGTAGACAATCATCACTGAACACACTAAGTACCCTAGACCTGAGTAGAGTGAGGCTGAGGTTCATGCGGGAGTGAGGGAGAGGGAACTGAAATCTACCCCATTCCAGCATGGGCACTCAGGACAGCTTTCAAGGTCCTGCTAAGTCACGTAAAGCATGAAACAGACCATGATTCCAGCAACAAGAGCATCATGAGGGGTAGGTGGATCTCTAAACGGTAATCCAGGTCTTGCATTGGAGACAGCAGTCCTCCCTAAACACCTGTGAGGCAAAGCCAGCTATTCCTTCCCATGGACTCTCTTCTACTTGCTTCTACTACATAAAAGCAAATATGACTCAAAAGTACTTTAGTTTTAATAAAACAGACATTTAAATCTGGAAATTTCAAGTAGAGCCATTTGTCAGAAAACCTCAGCAAAAATAAGCATGATGCAGCTTGTCTAGATCTGAAACCCTTGCCGCTTTGATAACTAAGTTAAAGAACTCAACACGGGGGTAGGCTTAGGTGAAGCCAGATAGGGCTGTCTCAGCCACAGTGCATTTCTGAGCCAAGTGCTCACACACGGAGCAGGGGAGGAAAGCGGAGTGTTCCCACTAAGTTTCATCTCCACCAGGTTAGTTTTCTCTTCCTGCCGTTTTTGATACCGTGAGAACATGTGGATCCAACAGCTTCTCAGGGGAAGGAGCTGCCTAAAGCCCATGCCAGAGAGCCCACATGCGGCCCTGTCAGCCTGGTCGTGGGCACAGAGCATGTGGGTCAATCCCATTCTTGCTGTAGTTCAAGTATGTGCAGATCTCACTTCAGACAAACTTGCAAACATCTTAGAGATACTGGAGAAAAAGGGAGAGAGTCTGGAAGGCTGGGAATAAGCAAACACCACCACCATTTTCCAGAGGAATGGATTCTAAAAACTACAGAAGAACAGACTTCCTCCAAGTTCCAAGAAAACCCAAAAGAGACACGAAATAAGGCTCACAAGCTTTTGGGAAGAAATTGGTGGTCTCAAGGAAGCAACATAAGTTCTCTAAGAGAAAGTCATTCCATGCTAACCTCATTTCCTGTTTTGACGAGCTTCACCAGAACAGTCGATTAGGGGAATGCCCCAGAAAGTGTGTCTTGATTTCAGTAAAGCCTTTGAAAACCTCTCACCCTATCCGATCTAAGATACAAAAGATGGGCCAGATGATGGTGTGACCAGGAGGACTTGCAATTGGCAGGACACTCATCTCCAAAGAAGGCCACCTCCTAACTCATGGAAGTCCTGCTTGCCTTTGCTCCCTTTGCAGCTGCTGCAGACAGCCAGGCTGCTCCTGAGTCCCCAGTTGGACAGACAATTCCGTGCTTTCTGCCCACAGGCAAGTGTGGTTTGAAATGACTCTCTGCAGCTCTACCCATGAGAAGGTTGGGGACCCAAAAGTGAGGATGTCAGCCTAGCGTGGTTGGTTCTGCACAGGGGACATCCTTTGAAGTGACACAGGACTTTCTTCATGGAGAGCCATGGGACTCTGTCCTGTGTTCTGTCCCATTCACCATTTAAAAAACACCTTGGAGGTTGGGTGCGGTGGCTCACGCCTATAATCCTAGCACTTTGGGAGGCTGAGGTGGGTGGATCACGAGGTCAAGAGATCAAGACCATCCTGGCCAACATGGTGAAACCCACCTTGGAAAGAGACATGGTAAATGAAGGCATATTTACCAAATTTGCAGAACACACAAAGCTCTGAGGAAGAAAGGGCCCCCAAAAATTTAGGCACAAGGTTAGAAACCTGGGATGGAACCAAAGAGAACAAATGTGAAGCTCTAGTGTCTATTAAAAACACAGTCCACTGTAGGATTAAACATCTATGTCAATTTGCTTCAAGTTGTGCCACTAAGTACTTGAGTGTGGCCAGGGATGAGAGAACAAAACCTATACTTTTCAATGCCTTCAGCAATATTAAGCTCTGTCTTAGGGTGTTAGACAGGCTCTAAAAAGCCCTCCCTTCCTTATCTTATGGCCTTGTTAGGAGGACAAAATAAGTCAGAGGTGGTAAAGTGCTTTGAAAAAGGGAAAGCTCTGAAATTCAAAATAGTATTATTATTTGTTGTAAGGTGCTTTCCCTCCAACAAAAAAAGAAAATCTGGCAGTCTATGAGTGATAAGCAGAAAGTGATTCAGCTTTGGTTCTAATTCTCCATCTCTAACCCCAACGAGTTGAGTTTGCTGGGTCACCTGACTAAATCCGTGACCTCCGAAAGGTGGCACTTCTAGCGCTCTGCTTTTCCAAAAGTCTCATAAATTCTTGGATTACACTAATTAAACAATAATTTAGAAAGCTCCTTTCTAGGACTGGGTCTTCAACGGTGCAAACTGAGTAAACCAGCAGAATGAACACCAAAAGACTGAGGTCTGGGCCTTAGATTTTTACAGATACAATCATGCATTGCTAATGAGAGGGATACAGTCTGAGAAATGCATCGTTAGGCAATTTCTTTGTGATGCGAACATCACAGAGTATACTTACACAATCCTAGATGGCATAGCCTACTACCTGCCTAGGCTATATGGTATGGCCTATTGCTTCTAGGCTACGCACTCGTACGGCATTTCAGTGCACTAAATACTGTAGGCAATTGTAACACAACGGTAAGAATATGTGCATCTAAACATGTCTTCACACAGAAAAGATAATGCATTGTGCTACAACATTATGACAGTTGCAACATCACTAGGTGATAGGAATTTTTCAGCTCCATTATAATCTTATGGGACCACTATTGTATATGCAGTCCATTGTTGACTGAGACATTAGTGAGTGCATAACTGTATTTTCAATGCTTTTCAATCCTACAGTGCAGTGCTTTGAAAGTTTGTCACCCTTGCTGCTGCACAAGCCCTGGCTTGAAACATAGATGAAAAATATACAACAAACCCAAGACAGGAGGGCTTGTTAGTGAAGTTAACAGACAGAATTACCTTAAAGTCCCTTCAGGATCAGCAGGATTTCACTCGGCAGTTATAGGACTCCAGGTTCCCCTGGACCACACTAGCCAGTAGAACTTCCTGTGACCGTAGACATGTTCTGTACCTGCACAGTCCAATATGGCAGCCACAAGTCACATGTGGATATTTAAATTTAAAATAAAAAGGAATTTAAAAATTCAGTCCCTTGGTTGTACAAGCCACATTTTAAAGGTTCCATAGATATCTGTGGCTAACAGCTACTACATTGGATGGTACGTTGAGAGACCAATGTTTCTCAGTCTTGGCTATGCATTGAAATTACCTGCAGAGTTGTAAAAAATACGGATGTCTACACCCCCTCAATCCCCAGATTCTGATGTGATTGGTCCAAGTGGATCCTGGGTGTCTGGATTTTTTATAACATCTGGGTAATTCTAATGTCTGGCCAGGGTCAGAACTATTGCTTTAACCATCTAGAATTGTGTGGTCACTTCTCTTTTGCTCTTTCTCCTAATATCCTTGTGAACTAACTATCCTGCAGGCATCATATGGGTTACGTCTGGTCCTCCCTGCACCTGTGACTTTCATCTTTTTGAGGTCATAAATAATCCTGGGGGTAAGACTGCGAAATGGGTAGAGAATGTGGTTTCATCCTGCTCAAAAACGCAGAGGAAGAGTGATCACTTGGGTGGAGATGTTCTTCCCAGTGGAGCCCCTTGCACCTGGGCAAGGGTGTGTCCAGAGGGGCCGGAGTTAGGTGAGTGTGAGCAACCCCTGGGGCAGGCTGCCAGCCCACAGTTGGGCCTGGCTCCTCACATCCTCAGGAGGACTGTCCCTGATGCCCATGTTACCCTTGTACACTGCCCTTGCACATGTTACCCTTGTATACTTCCTTCTCTTCTGCTAGAACCTAGCCAGGTAGAACCAGCAGAAACTCAGGGCAGGGTGGAATCTTTGTATTCATCTCATCTGATCTTCTTAGTGTTCTGCTGGAGAAAGTAGCATCCAGAGACGCCCAGCTGAGGCTATTTCCCTCCACAACACAGTGGTCTTTATCTTCCAGGATGGGGGCAAATTACGTAAACTTTAGGAAGTTCATCAGCAGGGCAAAGCTTGGTTTCTGATGAGAACCTGACTGTCCAGACAGTAGAGAGTTCACAATCACCCTTTTCTGCTGGGTGATGTCCCAGAGGAAAGCCTGGGTCCTCACCCTAGTGAGGCCATTCACCAGACTCAGATCAGTTTCCTTATCCACCAAACATGGTCAGAGCACTGGGCTGCTCAGCATCTCGGTGTGCCTGAGAAGTAATAAGAGGATGAACCCAGTCAGCACATAGTTGTTGATGAGGCTCGGATCTCAAACGCCGGGGACAGACCGGGAAATAAGACAGACCACAGTCTGCCTTTTGGGAGTGGAGTGAGAGACAGACAGATGATAATTGAACATTCAGGATAAGTGCTGATAATGATAAGTCTATGAATAAAATAAAATAAAATCACAAGATAGAGAGAAATGGTGGGGAGGAAGGAGGGTTCTCTCACGACATGGTGCTCAGGGAATTCTCCTCGAGAAGGGGACATTGGGTTGAGACCTGGATATGCATTGCAATGAACACTGTGCATGTACATAGGGGGTTTTGTGATCACCATCATGGCCTATTGGTAAACGAATTCCAACAAGTACAAAAGAGTAAACATGGTCATTTAAAATCATTCTTAGATGTTTGCTAAGCTTAAAAGTGAAGATTGCCAGAAAGTTCTGGAAGGCTTCTACTAATGGCCTGTCTGGCCATGTCCTCAGGAGGGGGTCAAATTGTCCTGCTTGAGGTTAGGGAAGAGAGTGGGATTACACAGCAGGAATGCTTCGACATTTCACCGTTTTATAGACTGTTCAGGTGCCAGTCCCAGAGTGTCAGAGTTCAAGAAAGCATTTAGGAAATCGGGGCATCTAAGTGAAATGGGACGGAGGCATCGACCATGATGAACTGTGCACTGCACCCAACACTTCTTCAGCAGAGCCCACTCAGACTTGGCTAGAGGTGCTGGGTGGGGACCGGGGCTGAGTTGGTCCCATCCACTGTTTTGTCTCCAGAACCAGCACACAGCAGGCCCCTAAGAAATCCTTATGGGATGAATAAGTGAAGCAGTAAAGGATGTGTGAGGGGAGGGAGGCAGCAGAGATGGCAGATGTCTCTAGTGGAAAGC